>NC_000017.11:14430504-14733535 GCF_000001405.40 Homo sapiens | reverse complement strand
GTTGCTCAGTTTCTTTCCTGATGTGGAAGTAGAAGAGAGAAGTAGGAAAGGACACAAACTTTGAGGTTAGACGTTCTGAGTTCAAATCTGGGACAGACAACTGGACTAAGATCACCCAGGGCCTGAGTGACCTTGGGCAGTTATCTAACCTTCCCACAACTCATTTTCTGCATTAGTAAAATGGGGGAGATAATAACAAAACCTCTCAGAGTATTGCTGCCAAGAAAGTTACTACAAATAAAGCACTCAGAACAATGAGTCAATAAGTAAGCATTCGATTAATACTAACTATTGTGAACAGGCATTAGGGATCTTATTGGGGTATAGAAATATTCTAAAACTGGTTTATGCAGATGATTGCACAATAAATCATTGAATTGCACATTTGAAAAGGGGGACTTTTATGATATAAAAATATATCTCAATGTACTTGTTTCCTAAGTCAATAAACATTAGTTGTCATTACATGTCAACAGGTTGATTTTTATGTATTAATTTTTAAAGTTTTTATATTTTTCCTGAGAATCTTGAGCCTCTTGAATATCTATTATTTATGTCTACAGTAACATGATTCAGGATCTGAGAATTGAGCCCCCAAATTATTCTGCTCCCTCATACTTTTCTTCAAATTTATAGACATTTAGTTTTGCTCTTAACCACCCAATGTTCAGGAGTCAAGAGATCTGAATTCACATCCTGGCCTTGACATTCATTAGCTATGGAATTTAAATGAATATCATCTCTTCTCCAGCTCCAAATTAGTCCTTATCTACCTAAAAGGTAGACATAGCTAAACAATCTCTACATTTCCTTCCAATAATAGCATGTTCCTTTCTCATTCTCTCTAAGTTCTCAGGTGGCGTAGAAGCTTTATATAAATGGGAGTTTTATTTATATGATATTATGCCAATGTTTATAGTTATATCTCAGTCCAGCCCTTTTCCTATCTTCCTTCTCTCCCATGTGGTCCCCCAGGAGAAGTATATTCACAGGGAAAAAGGGAGAGAAGAAAAAATAGCTACTGAGCTCATGATTTACCCCCTAGATTCCAGGCAAAAGCTCAGTGAGCCAGGCTGGGCATGTGGGCATGAGGAATTCTCCTCTGCCTATGCTATCTAGGCCAATATAGCCACAAAGCACAGCCCACTCACTTCCTCAAAATAGACACTGAGAATAGAAAACTATGTGGTGTCTAAAGATTCAAAACTGGTTCCACCATTTTCCACGCAAGGAATCTTGGACAAGTCACTTAGCTTCTCTAAACTTCAATTTCCTGGTGTTTAAATGAAGTTAATAACCCGTATCTTTCAGTGTTGCTTATAAAAAGAAAAAAAAAAGGACATTCCATGTGAGAGCATCTAGCACATCCTGAGGACTTAACAAGCATTGAGCGGATGAACCAACAAGGCATTGACTTGTAACAGAAGGGACCAGCAGGATCACGGTTTTCCCAGTGTCTCCTGTGGTGAATTTACTAGAGCTGGACAGAGACCTGAAGTGGGAAGTCTAATGAGGCTAATTGAACAGATCTCCTTTCTCTTTTGCTCTTCTGGTTTTCTGTTGGCTCTAATAGAAAGAAATAGAGTTAATGAAAAATAAACATTTCCTAGTAAGCTCTCCTCAAACAGCTGAGGGTTGTTGCAAGGTTGAGAAAGAAAACAACTTCAACTGAATTCAAAAGGTCAGGAATTAGGATAACCAAAACAATCTCATGACAAGAGCCAGTCCCCAGGAAGCCATGAGTGACAGTAGCCCAAGGCCATCTAACCAGTGTGAAAAACAGGAAGACTACTGGGAGCAAAGCGAAAAAAAATCCTCCTCAAAGCTTGGGCTTCATTTCATCATGTCCTCCTCCAGGAAGGCCAACAGATGACTTCAAAGTAATGCATGGGCACGAGCCCACTGAATTCAACACGAGATAATTTTCTTCCAAGAAACATCGTCAAAAAGTGACTCTCAGACACGTTCAAGTTCAAAAGGTTTGTAGCTGTGGTCCCTAAAACCTTCCATGTTGTAATTTCCACACAGCCATAGAATGCTCAGGATGTCACTGGACCTCTAGGGTAATGAACATTGCATGAACTTGCAAAGCAGACAGGAAGGTGAGTAGAGAAATATCTCCCTACAAAACACTAGGGAAATACAAAGAGAAAAAATAGTCAATTTAGGGTGGAGAAACTTGGAAGACACCACCATGATTAGGTACGATGAATGGACCTTATATTTCTCTTGATGTGAGACACCGTGAAAAGCCAGAATCTGTTCTGCATATCGGTGCCAAGAATCCATGACCAGAGTCTCATCAGCATGAAACATAGGGCGAACCTAGGTTGAGGGTCATCCTAGAGAATGAAAATCTTGTTCTCCTTAAGAAAGTCAGAGACATGACAGCTAGGAGAGAACAAGCAACTATTCCAGATTGAAGGTGATAATGAGATACAACAAATAAGTGCAATGTGGGTTCCTAAGTAGGATCAGAAAGGATAAAGAGACTTGGTTGGGACAGTTGTCAAAATTCAGAGTCTATGAGTCATCCGCTACTAGGAGAGTGGCTGGAGGGTGATTTTTTTTTTATATCCATCATTGCTTCTACATATGTTAGTGGGCATCCTGCTATAAGAATGAACATTCATTCTCCTCCATTCACTTCTTTATTGATATCAGTATGCAGTCATGGCCTTCTATTTTATTCAATGGGCAGCCATCCAATATTTTGGTGCTCAGCTTGTTCTGCTTTGGCCAGGGGGATCCTGCAAGCAGGCTCCTGCCCCTTTTGATATGTGTCCCTGATTCTTCAAACTCCTCTTCACTTCCTGGCATGATATTTCAGACTCATCTTGTACTTTCCTGCGATACCCCTGGATCAAGTTATTTCTCCAGGCCAGGAATGGTGGCTCACGCCTGTAATCCCAGCACTTTGGGAGGCCAAGGTGGGTGGATCATGAGGTCAGGAGATCGAGACCATCCTGGTTAACACGATGAAACCCCGTCTCTATTAAAAATACAAAAAAATTAGCCGGGCGTGGTGGCGCGCACCTGTAGTCCCAGCTACTCAGGAGGCTGAAGCAGGAGAATGGCGTGAACCTGAGAGGTGGAGCTTGCAGTGAGCCGAGATGGCGCCACTGCACTCTGACAGAGCGAGACACCATCTCAGAAAAAAAGTTATTTCTCCAAGGAGCCCTGGATCCTTTTAGTAAAGTATTTAGAATCAATGTGGGTACTAGGTGTGCTCATTGCTTTTGGGAGAGAGGGTGGAGGGTGGCTGCTTCAAGTGATTGGAGGTAGGGAATATGCATATCTACATACAAATATATGTATATATATACTCACTTATTCATACTTTGTAACTATTTTGTTATTAGTCATACCTCAAAAGTCTTAGTACTTAAAACACAAGAAAGTTTTATTATTTGATCATACATTTATATATAAATATATTTAATACATTATATATTTATAATATATATTTGACCTTGTGAACTTAACACATTTTAATAGTAATTTAAGTGCCTCTAATTTACAATGGCAAACATTGTGATAAAAAATTTAAAATTAATTTTGTATATTAGATAATTACATAAGACATATAAACAATGCAAATATCAAATGCTATTTTTTGCAAGTAGACTGCCACTGTTCCTCTTGTCTTTCCAGCGAGATTGTAAATGCCATTGAGACAAGAAACAGTATCTTTTCTTTTGAATCCACTGTAGCTTGCAGAACAGCCAATATGTTAACTCAACACATGTGAATAAAATAGTATATTTATCTGGCCACAAAGACAGAGGTAGAATCAGGAAGCAAAGAAATAGCTTACCAGGCTCAACGCCTCCCAATGTTCAAGAATCTCCCTCTTGCTTGAACAAGCAGAAAGCATGTATCAAGTTGCTCCCAGATGCTCATTAGGAGACTTTAGTAATAATTGTGCTTCTGATGAGATGGCCTTGAAATCTAGAAGTAGAACCAAGATTGGGTAGAGATCTTTCCAATCCAGGCACGGATTGGTCCATTAAAGGTATTTCTTAATACTCAGACAGAGAAATGAAAAACAGATAGGTAAGGCAAAATATTTAAAAATGTAAAAGTGGGCCTGGTGCGGTGGCTCACGCCTGTAATCCCAGCACTTTGGGAGGCCGAGGTGGGTGGGTCACGAGGTCAGGAGATTGAGACCATCCTGGCTAACACGGTGAAACACCGTCTCTACTAAAAATACAAAAAAAAAAATTAGTCGAGCGTGGTGGCGGGCACCTGTAGTCCTAGCTACTCAGGAGGCTGAGGCAGGAGAATGGCATGAACCCGGGAGGTGGAGCCTGCAGTGAGCTGAGATCACGCCACTGCACTCCAGCCTGGGCGACAGAGCAAGACTCCATCTCAAAAAAAAAAAGAAAAAAAAAAAAAGTAAAAGTGATTTTTATTTGCTTTATGCTACAGAATATGTGTTCACCAAGCCAGGAATATGTGTTCACCCAAGACCAGTTCCACCAATGTAAATCAATTTTCAGTCATTTCTTTCCAATGTATAGATAAAGCAATATAAAAAATCAAACATTGTTCTGTATGTCACGTCAAGGAAATCTAATAAAATTTAAGTTTTTCAACAGATTGTTTGCATAGCAGGAAGACATACCCCTGTACACACAAGCATAAAGGATTTTCTCGCTAAGATCCACAATGATCCCCTGCCATTCTGAGATTTGTTCATGAATTAGAGAAAAAAAAGTCTCATGTTTTATAGGTGAGTTTTCCCAGCAACCAGATTACAGGCTAATGAGACAAATTTGGAGTACATCATGTCTAATTTACCCCATCTCCAGGCTCCTCTTTCTTTTCCTTCTCACTCCTAGGATCTGTGATAGGAAATTTAGGGAATTTCCTAACCACAGTATAGTTTAGGTTGTGAAGATGACTGTAGTTGATCCAGTCACTGATTAATGCAACTGCAAGCATTCTAGGGCCATATTTCCCAAAGTGTTTTTCACTGGGTTCTCAACTCTATAACAGCAGGGACTATGTCTTATTTATCTTAGAACTGAAGTCAAAAGGAGCAGCTACAGTTTATGGAGCAACCACAGAGAGCCAAACATTTTTTCTTATGTTTATTCTAATCCTCACCACCATCCTTCAAGACAGCATGAGAATTATTCCCATATTCTAGACGAGGAACTGAGGCTTGGTGAGGTTATTACATGGCCCAGATCCACCACTTGGTCAGCAGTGAAACTGGGAAGTCAATTGATAAGTCTAGCTTCTTTGCAGCCTGGGTTCTTTCCACTAGACCATCCCTGCTCCCCATCCCCTCCCCAGCACCTAGGAGAGTGCCTACATATAATAAGATTCAATTTGCAATTGTTGAAAGAAATGGAACTAAGCTGAGTATAATATCCAGCAGCCCCTTGATTATAACCAAACTGGGTAGGGGTGGAGGTGGGGAGTAAAGTTTGAAATGGTAGGAAAAGCTCCAAGCAGGATTATCATCTATCCTCAGAGACCTTGAACAAGTGACTCCAGCTCTTCCTCCTTAGTTTCCAAAATAACATGAGATAGTTATTCTTGATCCCTAATGTCCCTTCTACCTTTGCTCTTCTTTACTTTTACCTGTCAAAAATCCTTCCTTCTGCATTCAGAGAAGAGAAGCTCTGAAGCTCCCAGTCTCATTAACCATCCCCCAACTGTTAGCCTACCTCCACTCCCTTGTTAGGAAACAGTTTTTTATAAAAGGAACTTTAAGCAACTGGCTGCTTTTGGAAAAGTAGGTGCTTAACAATTAGAGGTGTGATATACCAGTGATTCCCACTGAGAAAGTGCAACTCAATGCATCCTCAATGTGCCCAAGGATTTTTTTTTAAAGGTCCATATTTACATATCTTCTTTTTCTCTTTTGCATTAAAACAACTAAAGAATGAAAGATTTTTTTTTTTTCAAATGGGGAAGCATTAGCAATGAAGATCAGCACACACTATAAGTAAAAGCCCAATTCCCACTGAAATAAAAAGGCCTTTAGACATATGATAAAAGCTATTCATTCCACAGCCATTCTCCCATGAAAGACGGGATGCCATTTTTAAGATCAAACATCCTATTTTGTGCAAATACGCTTGATAATAAAGTTTGAGGGGAAATATCAAACATGCATTTATTTAAAATGCATATATTTCTAATGTATTTATTCGGGCCAAAGTCCAAATGTGAACTAATATCAGGATTAGGTAAAGAAAAAAGAAAAAAAAAAAGGCTAATGCTGAACCTCTGGGGAAATGAACACATTTTCCACACTGGAGTCTCAAAATTAGCACCTTCAAGAACCAGCAATCATTAGCACGTCAAGAATTAGGGTGATACCTCTTTCAGCCCAGTTAATGAAACAATTCTTTTTATTTGTTTTTTTGCAGAATGCAGCATTAGCCTGGCTTACAGAGGCAGATTTTCATGGAGGTCAATGAAAGTTCACCTGTCAAAAATAGAAGTAGTGACCTATAAAGAATTTTTTCCAATGTAGTCTTTTCAGGGTCTAGGAGTATTCATAAGAAATACAACCAGGCAGGGCAGACATTGATGGCTGGGGAACAGAAAGCTGTCAAATACTTGTCCTCCACTGGAGCTCAATGGGGTCTCCGCTCACGTGGGGCCCTGCTTGCCCCACTACAGAACGCAGCCAGCCCAAGCTGCAATGAGTTGATGGCCTTTCCCTGGGCACACTCAAATGGAAGCTCAAACTTTTACAAAATAAGAAAATAGAAACTCCCAAACTGTGTTCCCAATAACTGAATCAATGAAAAGAGGCTGTGTAATTTGGGAAAGAAGTGTTTCTCACTTTCCTGTCACCTCTGTAAGGGCAGGGACTGTGGCTTATTTATCTTAGAATTGAGGATAATAGTGGTGACTGCCACTGTTTATGGAGCAGCTACAAAGAGCCAAACATTTTGCTTGTGTCTATTAAAATTCTCACAGCCATCCTTCAAGACAGAATGGTAATTATTCCCATATTCTAGATGAGGAACTGAGGCTTGGCGAGGTTATTACATGGCCCACATCCTATAATTGGTCAGCAGTGGTCAGAAACACAAAATCCACTTGGAAAACATTTAGCTCTTCTTGGTTAAAGACTGCGGTAACAACCTCTACTGGAAGCTAAGAAAAGTGCTGGCTCTCCCTCTGCAAGAGAACCTCGGAAGGAACAGGTGCCAATGCCCACCTGAAGAAAGGGAGGGTATAATTATTTGCATTGTGAAAGGATTCTTTTACTTATAAGAAGTTTCACTGCATTCCTTTTTCATTTAACCTTCTTACAGTTTTACAAGCTCATTACAAAAAAAAAAAAAGTAGTAAACACAAATAAGAAAGTAGTAAAGTCCCTGTATTCCACCATCCAGATATAAACAATGTGACCACTTACCTCCAAGGTATTTTTCCCTCTGCATATACAATTGCACATATATTTTCAGACAAGAATGGAATCACATTGAACATGTTATTTTATAACTTATTTTTTTCACTTAATAGACATTGCGAACATCTGTTCATGTGAAGGAAATATTTCTCCAGCATCATTTTTAATGGCTACATGGAATTTACCCATTCCGTGTTTAGCCTATGCTGAGGGTCATTTAAATTGCTTTCAATTTTTTTACTCATAAAGAATGCTGCGGTGTAAATTATTTCAGCTAAATATTTACTCACTTCTCTATTTATTTCCTTTGGATCAAGTTCCAAATCTGGAATTCTGCTGGAAAGTGTGCACATTTGGATCATTTACTTTTTGCAATGCTGTCATCCAGAAATCTGCCATCAAAACGTACAGTTTTTAATTACCATGTAGATAGGGCGCAGTTTTGTAAGCTTGTGGGTTACTCTTATCTTTTTCCTTTCTCCAGCATGCCTTCGCCTATTTGTAGCCAGCCTGCCAGCTGGTCCAGGCAGGTAGACAGTGATAAAATTCAAGTGTTGTTATATCTGATTTGAAAAGCCTTTAGAAGCAATTTCCTATTGGTTCAGCAGAGCTTCTTGATCTTGTTTTCACTTGTCATTTGCTTCTTTAAAATCTGGTTTTGCTTCAATGATGTGTTGACTGTTGGGATGACAAGCCAACTCCTTTTGTCCCTATGACAATCTGGTGAGGGAGTCACTATTTTTTGCAGCCATGGAATTCTTTGGAATCATGCTTGTGAATGACTTTTCAGTGACAACTTTTGAAGTATCCATGAGGAGACCACGAGGACACAGGGCTCAAGCTTTGTGGACAGAGGAGCTGAGAGAGGCAAATTTCTAGTTTACCCTCAGACTCTTGTTCCGAGCCTGTGACTTCGGAGGGCATATTCCGCACTCACGGGCAGTACAATTCCCATTTCCGTATAGTTGATCTCCTTTTAAGAAAGGTTGGATATATTTATGTTGCTTAAAATCAAAGACCCTGGAGATGGATTTAACTTCCTGAAAGAGTTTTCTAAGATAAAATGTGACCCTGCCCAGGGGAGGAAGCAAAGGACCATCTTATTGAAAAACTGAAGTCCCGGGAAGACCCTCAAAAGTTTGTATTCCAAAATGTCACCTAAGAATTACAGTAAATGCCAAGTCATCGTAAGACAAAACTCATCTCATTGGTGCTTACTTCTTCCAAATCCAAAATATTGAGTCATTTAAAAAAGATGTGCTCTCTCCACCTGTCAAAAGTTTGACCAACCAACATCAACAAAAGATAACAAAAAATTTAATTTTTGCAAAGTCTGAAAAGATCCTGGCTTTTGCTCAGATTTTGTTTTCAAGGTTCTAAAGTACCATTTTCATGCTGCTCTTCTGATCCATTTGGCATTGTGGCCTAGGGTAGAAGGCAGAATCATATCCTCACCTTCCCTCCATTGGGTTTCATGCATTTTTTTCCTGAAAAATAAATAAATAAATAAATAAATAGTGCTTTTTATCACCTTTGTACTAATTTAAATAGATACAAATTCCAGGATCATTATTATGCATGACTTTTGTGGACATTTCACAGGGTATCAGGAGCAAGGTAGGTTGCAGAGTGACTTTGTTTGACCTAGATGTTGTCTGACAACACACCGTAGAGAGAAGGACACTACAGTTCTGATGGGGAGAAGCAGCTTCCTGGTGACAACCCATATTAAGTGTTGTGACCCTCACCCTAACCCTCATGCTATCACGAGGTAGCTTTAACACATGCCTGCATTATACTTCTGGAAACAATATAGGTCAAAACAGATGGTAATCATTTTAGGAAACTTTGTTTTCTTTATGTTAAAGATTTACTTCCAGTGGATACAAAAATGCATAGAACAAAATATACTCAAAATATACTCATGAGCTAAATATTCTTAAAGCATTCAATGTACCAGGTATGTCTTGAATCTTGTGTAGCACATTATTTAAAGCAAATTTGCTGTGATGTTTTTCTGTGAAGAGCACAGACTGAACAGGCAGCCTTCCGATGTCCATATAGTCAAAGCCTATGTCACTGGTCTTTATCTCCCACTGGGTTTTGAGGTGGACCCGTTAACACTTAGGACTTAAATGACCACCCAAATTGGTGATGAGAAATTCCATGAGCACAAGCACTAATTCTGAAAATATAAAGATGTGTAAGATTCTTTATTCTTTCTATGTTTAGAAATTGAATATTTTTTTTCACCTTTATTTTAGGTTTGGAGGTACATGCTTAGGTTTGTTACATAGGTAAACTTGTGTCACAGGGGTTTGTCATACAGAATATTTCCTCATCCAGGTACTAAGTCCAGTACCCAATAGTCATTTTGTCTAATCCTCTCCCTCCTCTCACCCTCTACCCTCAAGTAGGCCCCCGCATCTGTTGTTCCCTTCTTTGTGTCCATGTGTTCTTATCATTTAGCTCCCACTTATAAGTGAGAAGATGCAATATTTGGTTTTCTGGTCCTTTGTTAGCTTGCTAAGGAAGATGGCCTCCAATTTCACCCATGTTTCTGCAAAGGACATGATCTCATTTTTTATGGCTGCATAGTATTCCATGGAGTAGATGTACCACATTTTCTTTATCCATTCTATCATCAATGGGCCTTTAAGTTGATTCCATGTCTTTGCAATTGTGAATAGTGCTGAAATGAACATACACACACATGAATGAGTCTTTATGACAGAATGATTTCTATTCCTTTGGGTATATACCCAGTAATGGGATTGCTGGGTCAAGTGACAGTTCTGCTTTTAGCTCTTTGAGGAATCAACACACCGCTTTCCACAATGGCTGAACTAATTTATACTCCAACCAACAGTGTATAAATGTTCCCTTTTCTTCACAGCCTCGCCAGCATCTGTTTTTTTTTTTTTACTTTTTATTAATAGCCATTCTGAGAAGTGTAAGATGGCATCTCATTGTGGTTTTGATTTGTGTTCCTTTTTTTTTTTCTTTAAATTTGAGACAGAGTCTTGCTCTGTCACCTGGGCTGGCAGGCAGTGGTGTAATCTCAGCTCACTGCAACATCTGCCTCCTGGATTCAAGTGATTCTCATGCCTCAGCTTCCCGAGTAGCTGGTATTATAGGAGTGTGCCATCATGCCTAACTAATTTTAGTATTTTTAGTAGAGAGAGAGTTTCATCCTGTTGGCCAGACTGGTCTTGAACTCCTGACTTCAAGTGATCCACCCACCTCGGCCTCCCAAAGTGCTGGGATTACAGGCACGAGGCACCATGCCCAGCTGAGCTTTTTTATATGCCTCTTGGCCACATCTATGTGTTATGTTCTTTTGAAAAGTGTCTGTTCACGTCCTTTGCCCACTTTTTAATGGGGTTATTTGTTTGTTTCTGGTAAATTTGTTTAAGTTCCGTATAGACGCTGGATATTAGGCCTTCATTAGATGCATAGTTCACAAATACTTTCTCCCATTCTTTACTCTCTTCATAGTTTCAGAGCTCTGTAGTTTAATTAGATTCCATTTGTCAATTTTTGCTTCTGTTGCAATTGCTTTTGGCATCCTCATCATGAAAGTTTTGCCAGTTCCTATGTCCAGAATGGTATTTCCTAGGTGGTTTTCCAGGTTTTTATAGTTTTGGGTTTTATGGTCTTGGGGCTTTAGGTTGACACTTTATGGATTTAAGTCTTCAATCCATCTTGAGTTGATTTTTGTATATAGTGCAAGGAAGGGGTCCATCTTCAATCTTCTGCATATGGCTAAACAGCCATCCCAGCACAATTTATTGAATAGGAAGTCCTTTCCCCATTACTTGTTTTGTCAGCTTTGTTGAAGATCAGATAGTTGTAGGTGTGTAGCCTTATTTCTGGGCTCTCCATTCTGTTCCATTAGCTTATGTGTCTGTTTTTGTATCAGTACCATGCGTTTTGGTTACTGCAGCCCTGTAGTACAGGTTGAAGTCAGGTAACATGATGCCTCCATTTTTGTTCTTTTTGCTTCGGATTGCCTTGGCTATTTTGGGGTCTTTTTTGGCTCCATATGAATTAAACTTTTTTTCTAGTTCTGTGAAGAATATCATTGGTAGTTTGATACGAGGAATAGCATTGAATCTGTAAATTGCTTTGGGCAATATGGCCATTTTAATGATATTTATTCTTCCTATCCATGAGCATGGAATGTTTTTCCGTTTGTTTATGTCATCTCTGATTTCTTTGAGCAGTGTTTTGTAATTCTCATTGTACAGATTTTTCACCTCCCTAATTAGGAATACCTAGGAATACACCTAGGTATTTTATTATTTTTGTGACAATTGTGAATGGGGTTGCATTCCTGATCTGGCTCTCAGCTTGGCTATTGTTGCTGTATAGGAATGCTAGTAAATTTTGTATCCTAAAACTTTGCTTAAGTTGTTTATCAGCTGAAGGAGCTTTTGGGTCAAGACTATGGGGTTTTCTGGACATCAAATCATGTTGTCTGCAAAAAGGGATAGTTTGACTTTCTCTCTTCCTATTTGGATGCACTTTC
Organism: Homo sapiens; assembly: GCF_000001405.40. Classification (NCBI taxonomy): domain Eukaryota; kingdom Metazoa; phylum Chordata; class Mammalia; order Primates; family Hominidae; genus Homo; species Homo sapiens. The sequence goes on along the minus strand of NC_000017.11, from coordinate 14,721,617 downwards.
TTTCTTTCTTTGGCCTAATTGCTGTGGCCAGGACTTTCAGTACTATGTGGTGAGAGAGGGAATCCTTGTGTTGTGCTGGTTTTCAAGGGGGATGCTTCCAGCTTTTGCCTATTCAGTATGATGTTGGCTATGGGTTTGTCATAGATGGCTCTTATTATTTTGAGGTATGTTCCTTCAATACCTAGTTTATTGAGCGTTTTTAACATGAAGGGATGTTGAATTTTCTTGAAAGCCTTTTCTGCATCTATTGAGATAATCATGTTGCACATTTTTTTAAATTATACTTTAAGTTTTAGGGTACATGTGCGCAACGTGCAGGTTTGTTACATACGTATACATGTGCCATGTTGGTGTGCTGCACACATTAACTCCTTATTTACATTAGGTATATCTCCTAATGCTATCCCTCCCCCTCCCCCGACCCCACGACAGGCCCCGGTCTGTGATGTTCCCCTTCCTGTGTCCAAGTGTTCTCATTGTCCAGTTTCCACCTATGAGTGAGAATATGCAGTGTTTGTTTTTTTGTCTTTGAGATAGTTTGCTGAGAATGATGGTTTCCAGCTTCATCCATGTCCCTACAAAGGACATGAACTCATCCTTTTTTATGGCTGCATAGTATTCCATGGTGTATATGATGTTGCACATATTTTTATTTTTAATTAAGACATGTAGAATAGGATTATTTTATTATTTTTATATCACAAATGAATTTTATTTCAGGGAAAGTTCTCTGAAAGTGCACAATTAATAATAACTGTGTAGTATGAATTGTAATGTTGCATCTTTGAAGACATTTTATGTGCAAAAAATAAGCCTAGTAATGGGATGGTGGAAGGGTGTGTTTCAAAGAATTAGGGCTGAGGAACACAGACAGGAACTAAAAAGACAGATGCATTAGTATGTGTATAGGTTTGGAAGCTGGAGGAGAGAAAATCTCATGTCGTATCATACATGGCATCAGGCTTGTAATGGGCTGAATTGTTTCTCCCCAAAATTTACATGTTGAAGTCCTAAGCCCTAGTAACTTCAGAATGTGACTGCCTGTGGAGATGGGGCCTTTTAAGAGGTAATTAAGTTAATATGAAGTTATTAGGGTGGGCTCTAATCCAATATCATGGGTGTCCTTATAAAAGGAGGAGATTAAAATACACACACACACACACACACACACACACACACAAGCACATACATGCACGCATGCACATATGCAGAGGGAATACCATATGAAGACACTAGAGGAAGACTGTCATCTACAAGCCAAGTAGAGAGGTGTCAGAAGAAAGAAACTAATATTTCTGACACCTTGATCGTGAACTTCTAGCCTCCAGAACCATGAGAAAATAAATTTCTGTTGTTTAAGCCACCCCGTCTATGGTACTTCATTGTGGCAGCCTCAGCAAATTCACACATTTGCCAATTTTCCCTTCTGAGGTCTACCAAGCAGTTATTCAAGGTATTGAGTCATGATGCAGTCACTTGTAATCCTTACCTCCAACATCTTGCCTGTTGCCACCAAGTCTTGCCCCTCTGGAATGGCACTTCCCTCCCTGCTCCCTCCGCCCACCTCACCAGCACCTGTGACTCTGCCTGCCCACAGTCAATCAGTGCTGAGACCCTGCTGATGCCACTGCCCCTTGGTTCAGATGCTCCCCATCCCTGTCTAGACAATTTCACCAACCTGAGCTTTCCATGGATGGCCTCTTCCCTCTCCAGTCCATCTTTATGTTACAACATGATGTCTACATAGATTATCTGAGAGAAAGGAAACAAAACAAGGAGAAGAAAGCTTTCTTTCCTGAGGTCGTAAATCAACTCTTCAAGCTCTGCAGGCTGCCAGGAGCACCTTGGAGGAAATACTGTTTGCTTTAGTCTTATTGTTTGTGCACGTTCACCTGTGTGTTTGGGAGGATTGGTGCCATCTCACCTTCTCTGCTGATTCCCTGGGATTGGCTGCTGATCGCCACCTGCATTTAGACTCAGATTTCTCCAATAACGTTGCTATGCTTTCTTCTTTCTACCATCGTGCACTGCCTGGTGCTTTTTATTAAAAGATATATATTTTAATTGAGGCAATATATATACATGACTAAAAGTAAAATTTTACCAAAAAGCTTAAAATAAAAAATAACCACACTCTGTCCCAATCTCTCCTTGTCTCTTAGTCTTCATCCCCAAAGTCAATCACTTTAAACTCTCTTAGTCGATCCTGGTAGTAAATCCTACATTTCTAAATAGCATGTTCATATTACCCTTTATTGATCTGTCAATTTAAACATTACTCTCTGTCATGATAGCTGAGAATTTCACTCTCCTTTATTTCTCACCTCTTCTCCCACCTTCCCAGTGTAGTTATTTGTAGTTAGATCTCTTGACTATTCTGTTGACTATTTATGTGCCTTCTAATATTGAGCAAGGCAATATACTATGATTACATAGCATTATGTGTAGTAAATATTATAGAAGCATACTCTTTTCAATCATATAGTGAGGGAAGGAGGAAGGACATAAAATAGAGAAATGGCAAAATGTATGACCCGGCTTCATCCTCCTGAGCAAAACGCCAGGTAGAGGGAGGAGATATGTAGGAAGGGAAATAAAACCAAAAACAGAATAGTCTTTACCCAGTTTCCCATTGGATCTCTCGGAAGAGACTACCTGTATTAATTAGTCAGCCTTAGGTCAAGAAAACAGAAGCCACTTTATGTATTTTTGAGTATTGGAAGTCTTTAGATAAAGATGTTGGGTCTTAGTCTTTGGAATACCTGGGAGTGCGGAGGGAAGAGAACACACCTCTGTTACGGACTGGATGTTGATTTCTCCCCAACAAATTCATACATTGAAGCCCTAATCCCCAGTGTGATGGTATTTGGAGGTGGGACCTTTGGGAGGTGGTTAGGTTTAGATGAGGTTGTGAGGGTGGGACCCCACAATCGGTAGTACCCTTATGAAAAATGAAAGAGACATCAGAGGGCACCCTTTGGCATGTGAAGACACAGGGAGAAGGTGGTCATTTGCAAGCTAGGAAGAGGCTGCTCACCAGAAATCTCAGGAACTAAATCTGCCATCACCTTAATCTTAGACTTCCCAGCCTCTAGAACTGTGAGAAATAAATATCTATTGTTTAAACCACCCATACAGCAGCTCAGGCTGACTAAGACCATCTCCAGTGACTTTAGCCTGAAACATCAATGTAGCGGATTTCAAGAGCATACCAAGAGGGCATTGTGTATCTTACATCTGCCCACATATCTGGCTGTAACTGCCTCAGGAAAGTAATGGCTGTCCTCATCCACCTTCCAAATCTCCATGAGTGTCTCTCATTAACAGACTCTAGGCTCAAAAATCAAGTTCTATTCTCCTCACAAAGGAATTAGTGGAACCAGGGACCATTATGGGAAAGAGGGTTTTAGAAAATGTAATTCTTCGCTTATCCGTCTGCAAAATAAACCTCAGATGGGGTTGGAAATGATACCAAATAGACCACAATTTTACCAGCTGCAAACATCAGAAGCCACAGGCATACAAGGGACACCATTACTACAGAGGTCACGAGGACCAGATGGCACCACAACTGATAAGACGTATCTGAAACTCACCTCTGCACAGCTGAAGCCACCAACCTTGCAGTGAGGATGCAATAATGTTCATCTGCTGTCAGGATGCAGTAATTTTCTTCATATACTCAGAATGCCATCTCTGGGAGAAAAAGTGGGAGGGGACACAGGGCCCTGAAAAAACAGAGCGGTTACCTTAAAACCTAAAAACAAAAGAAGACAAAATAGGACACAGGCTGTTGTAAGAAGATAGTATTCAAACTTTGAAGAAATACTCAGTGGAGTGCGGGCTGTTGGGAAGACCATGTGAGTTATTCAGCAAAAAAATTAAAGTCACTTTTATTCTGCACAAGTCGTTTGTATGTGTAAGTCATAATCTTACAGCATAAGGAATAAGGAAAATCTCACAGCAAACAACCACAGAAAATATGGGACTAGAAAGGGAACTCCTCAGGCAACTTCCATGTTTTTCACTTGCATCTAATGCCATTCTTTTCCCTTTGCACACTAGATCCACTTCTCAGTCATCTATGTGTATGCAGCTAGGATCATGGCCCCACAAACAGCAGCCTCAACCCCTAATCTACAAAACCTTCCAGCCCCAAGCCCCAACAGTAGCCACCTCAGTCTCTGTCTCTATCAGAGGAGAACATCGGTCTATACATTTGTGGGCGAAATAACTGTAGATTATGGAGGTAGGAGAGGGGAAATGATTATTTCCAAAAGATATTTAGTATAAGAAATAAACAATTTTCAGACAGAATTCTCAACATCTTTATGGCATTTTCTTTCTCTTGACACTGGAAACCACACTCTCTGAGCTAGCACTTTCTCTATTTGCGTTCAGTTAAATACCCATCCCATCAACAAAGAATTATTTAAAAGCATATTTATCAAAACGGAGTTATTCAAAAAGGTCCCAAATACAAGCTGGCAGTATTCCGATTATGCAGAAGTGAAAAGTCCTAGGTAATATTTGCTGAAGGTATTGAAGTGAAACAAAGACTTTGAAATAAATTAATTGGTAAAGACCCTGTATTTTTAGTAAATCAGTAAGCAGGGATTAAAGCTAGGGCCCACTAGCAAGAAGTCACATTCTAGCACAATCCAGACAAGAAGGGGAAAGACAAGGAGGACAAAATCAAACCAGATCAACACAAGCCATTGGCTTAGTTAGCTTGTGATGGGTTCCACTAATTCCTTTGTGAGGAGAATAGAACTTGATTTTTGAGCCTAGAGTATATTCTTCAGAGTTCATTGTATATTAAAATGCAGTAAAACTATGGGTAATTCTCTGCATCATTTATTTCCACTAGCAAATATCATCAAATTCTTTGAGCATCTTGTACTATGTCCCCACGTATTATGATACATTACGTCGTGGGAGTGGGTAGACTACAGTCTGCTGCAGTTTGAATGTGCCCTCCAAAATTCAGGTGTTTCCAATGTGACAGCATTAAGGGGTGGGACCTTTGAGGGGTGATTAGATTAAGGGGTCCTCCTTCATGGAGGGGGTTAGTGCTCTTATACAAAGGCTTCACAGAGGGAGTTTATCTCTCTTGCCCGTCTACCATGTGAGAACACAGCAAGAAGTCCCTCATCAGACACCAGCACCTTGATCTTGGAATTCCCAGCCTACAGAACTGTGAGAAATAAATTTCTGTTCTTTATAAACTGACCAGTCTAAGGTATTCTGTTATAGTAACACAAAACTTAGTAAGCCAGTACCTTTACAAGAGTCTCTTAATAAGCCTTATTTCTGTCCTACAATTACAGTAAATTTTTATATGGTGGTATTTTCACTAGATTGCCAGCTCTTTTAGGATGGAAATTAAGTCCTATTCATGTTCATATTGTAAACATATAATCTTGTGCATGTCACACACTAAACACTAGAATAGCTGTACTTTACAGTTTTAGAAATAGTTTGAACTACTTTAGTTGATTTTATCATTATGGGAGTCCTCTCAGATAGGTAAAGATAATGGATGTGCTGGAGAAAAACAGGGATGAAAATGTTGAGTGTGAGTGTTGTGATCAATTGAAAACAGAAAACCAGAATCCATCAGTTGTATTTTAGGCTCACTTCCAAGTTCCTCTTAGCTTGAGAGCTTCTTGCTTTAAGGTCTCAATTGGTTTTCCTTGTGGATTTAGATGGTGAAGTTTGGAGTCTGGACAAAATGGTGTGCTGAAATAACAACAGCCCAATAAACTAACAGAATGTACACATCCTTGCCATTTGGTGGATTCAATAATTTATTCATTCATCCTATACTTCAGCAAAAATTCATTATACTAGGCACAGGGCCAGCCTTGAAGACATGCTGTTCTTATTCATGGCCCTGGGTTGAATGGAATCCAGAATTGATATGAAGCAATGGCAGAAAAAAATTGTAAATGGAGTTATCATCAGAAACATTATGTTTGAGCAGTTAGATACTGGCAAGAATTGCCTTGTTTAGTGATAAAATTTTTCCAAGTAAAACATATTTCATCTGGGATCATTTTAGTTTACTGTTATCTCTATAGAGGAGAATAAAGTGTATTACTTGCTACACTTTATTCCAGCTGTGAAATTCCTAGTTATACTAATAAATCTATACAGAGAATATTCTACATGATAATTCAGCTAGTCTTCCATATGCTTATCTTCCTTCACTTTCCTATTGATGCTACAATAAATGTATCAGGGGAAAAATGATCTTTAAAGAGTCATATAGGGAGTAGACTCCTTCAAAAATTTAAATGTATTTTTTCTCTTTCCTTTTGTAGATATCATTTCAAAGGACAGATGTGTTTCCAAAGCAGATTCCTAAAAGATAGTTGAGGTAAAGCTACTAGTTAGTTTTGAAGGTAATGGAGCTAGGCAAGTGCCTCAGATGAAGGAAACTTAGGAGTATCTTGGTGTATGAGTTTCACAGAAGAAAAAAAGATTGTTTCCTCAAGCTTAACGAAGTTGTGAATCTTTTCTGTCCGCATCTGTAACCTACTTAAGACAAAGATTTTCTGAATTCTAGAAGGGAAAGGGATGTGTTGAGTCTGGTTTTGGTGACATTTCTGTGTATATAATTTTCTTCATTGTTTGTGACTTGCATCACAGTCACTTTCCAACACCAAAGAAGGAGAGGCTTTCTTTGAGAAATGCATTTCACCCAACTCTTTAGACTCAGCCAGTTGAGTAACATCTATTTATCATTCCTGTCTTAATTCCTGTCGTCTGTCAGCACTACCATGGCCAGCCACATCTCACCCCATCCTGGGGGTGCCAGTCACTTCTCTCTTGTACCCCATGCACCCTGCGTATGCATTTATTCGGCACTTTGGATGTTTGTTTGCCCTTACCTGATTAGATTTAGAATCTCCTACTTCTAGACCAGTGTCATTCAATACGGATAGTCCCATCTTCTGAGGTGCCATTTCAGGAATTTGCTGGTGGAGAGGAGGCCTTTTTTGGTGGTTGTAGTGATTCAAAGGTGCTGCTGGCATATAGTGGGTGAGAACCAGGGAGGCTGGACATACTGCAATGCAAGGGACAAGCCAACAAAAAAAGACTAGCTCCTCATCTCATTTGGCTTGGAATGCTCAGCTGGATATTTATCCATTTAAAAACCCAATTGATACTCTTCTGAGCCTAGACTGTAACTTCGCATTGTACATTAAGTACTTTTTAAACACATTTATATATATTGAATTTTCTAGGAAAGCAACCACTATATAAATCAAGAGGAAATTGAGTTTTGTTTTGTTTAAAACATAGTTAATTATTCACAATTTCAGCAGCAATACTTCCTGTGGTGATTGGGTTAAGGAAAAATAAAATAAGATGAGCCTACAACAGTAGCTGTCACATTTGAGGTGATTCTACATATAGGATAAGTATTTGACTATTTTAGTAAAGTTATGAAATACATATTGAAATACAGATTGTTTACTTATGCATCTTTTTTTCATTTATGTTACAAAAAGTTTTATTGATTTTATGGTATGTGAGCAGGTGGGTTACATTAGCTTGTAAATAAAATAAAATTCAGGATCGTTATGGGGTGATTACAAAAAGTTGTCAAAAAGGTGTTAGGTCTGATAAGGTTGAGAAATACTATACCAGACCATCATTTACTTGAAGATCTTTCTTATTTTTCAAGGTTAACCATCATATTTACATCTTTATTACTAATTCATAACAAAATACCTTCTGTATAAAAGGCACTATTATCTTTTACTGTTTATTTAATACATGTAACCTACATTTCCTGTTTCTTGCTAATTTAAACCCTCAAATATTAGTACAAGGCCACAGTTCTCTGCAAAATTATTTTCTCTAAACTATTTCAAGGAGTTAGAAAAAGTCTAACAATAAGTATGGTCAAATATGTAAGGCACCAGGCTTTGTATGACAAACAGACCTACCTTTACCTGGGAACATGGTGTATGAGAAAAGTCACTTTATAATTGCATAAATAATAAATTATTCAATAAATGGCATTGAGAAAATTGGTTATTCATTTTGAAAAAAGCATATCCCTGCCTCACACAACACACAAAACATCCTCTCCAGGTAGAATAAAGATAAATCTGAAAAGCAAAACTTTAAAACTTTTAGAATAATGTATAGAAGTATGTTTTTATGAACTTGGAATGGGGAAGAATTTCTTAAACATGACTCAAAAAGCACAACTTATAAGTTGTGCTTATAAAGAAAAGATTGACAAATTTGTTCACATTAAATTTTAAAGTTTCTGAACTGCAAGCCATCATAAAACCTTGTATATCTTAATACAACAGACTTGAAAAAGATTAGCAGTGGATATAACTCATGGAGTATCTGGAATATATTTTTAAACTCCTATAAGTCAATCAGAAATGAACAAAAAATTGCAAAAGTTGGCAAAAACTATAAACAAATCAATGAATAGGAGACTCAATGACCAGCAGAGTGGTGAGAAGTTACTCACCTTCACTAGCAATCAGGGAAATGAAAATGGAAATGGTGTAGTGTTTTACGCCCTTTAGCATGGAAAAAGATGATCCATCCGAATTTTAGAGAAGATCCAGGCTCTCAAATTCAGATGATGAGAGTGTAAGTTGATACTGCCAACTATGGAGGAAATTTTGCCATACCTAATGAAGTTAAATATGAAGAAAGCATATGACTCATCAAGTTCATCTTAGATAATTACTGTCAGTAGAGTGTATTTCAAACTGTCTTTAAATAACTCACAGTAGAAAATACCTCTTAAAAAACAACTCAGTACATATATATGTACATATGCCCTTATAAATAAAACAAAACTTAATTTCATGAAACATTCATTATCCTTAACTCTATGTAATACAGTTGTATTTTTTGTATTGCTCAATCATCTTTCTTAAAATATGTTGGTGGTGACTACATTTATTTCACAATTTTCTAAAGAGGCGCAATCAACACTTTCCAAGAGAAACACTAAAACACACATGGAGACATGTTTAAGGGTGTTTATTAAGACACTGTTTGTAATAGTAACACTCCAAAACTTATATTCATCGATTTGTAGACTTTCTGAGGTTGTAAGAAGTAAGAATCATTGAATTACTTCAGTTACTTCTCTGCTTTCATTCTGCAGCTGCAGTGACTGAAGTTGAGAGAAACAAAACAGCTTATCCAAAGAGTTGTCACTAGAACCCTGTTCTTCTTAATCCTTAACCAGTTTCATCTCACAGACTATCCTGCAAATTGTATTGTATTGTATTGTATTGTATTGTATTGTATTGTATTGTATTGTATTGTATTGTATTGTATTGTATTGTAATTTCTTTGAAAATTAGTAAACCATCAAATCACTGATGGTTGTTTCAAAGCCAAATGTGTTCACTTGGGGTTCTCATAAAATAATTTGGTCATGGAGCTTTTGAAGTTCTTTGAGTGCCTTGGAAGAATGCTAGTTTAATGTGATGATACTGCTCCTTTTAAAGCCAATCTCCTGTCTTGTGTGATAATCTCAAGCCCATCTTCATGTGGACTTGAGATCATCTGTTTCTCTTTTACCATCCATTAGATGTTCCTTTCCTACTCATAGCAATTTGAGTATCTACCTGAGGCCAAGCTATAGTTGTCACTATAAATTTCTCTTCCAATAGCTCAATTTAATCATTTGCTAATAAAATGTCTCAGCTGGCAAAAACTATAACGGTAATAGAATTACACCATGATACCAGGTCATGAACAGCAGTAAATCCGAGTTACTAGTTGAAGAGTTTAGTCGAAGGGACACAAAAAACAGGAGATCAGCTCAAAAGTGGGGTTGGAAAAATAGGTTCAATGAGTATTATTAGAACAGTTCAAGGTGAACAATTATACAATAAAGTAGGTTCTATGAATTCCTAATCACTAGAAGAGCATTTCCCAAACCAGTATCCCACAACTACGATTTTGTAGAATATTGCTGGAGGTATAATGAAAAATGTGTTCTGTGTTCAAATAAGATTGTGAACTCTGATTAAACATAGTCAAAGAGATTGCCTAGCTGCTGATACTCTTAGAAACACAACCATTTTAATAATCATTGTGGATCCCCAAAACAATGCCCAAATATTTCCCTGTCTTGTGTAGTCATAGAAAGTGTTGTGATTTTTTTTGCCAGAGCATCCATTAACATCTCTTCAAATAATTAATTTGCAAAATTTTTCTTTGAAAAGCAATTACACTAGGAAAAAAAGTACATAGGAAAGAAGTAACATAGAAAGAGAAACATAAAAAACTGAAAGCACGAAATAAAATAACAAGAAAATTACGGCATTTATAGCACTACGTAACAATGACTTAAACACTCATATTGAAATAAAAGACTTTTATATGAGATGAAAAAAATTCAGCAAATCTTACTTTCAAAATTATAGGGTTAAAAACAGAAAATTAGAAGAACAGGAAATGAGAATGATTGCATATGTAAACTTTGTAAGACAGAGAGGGAAGAAGAAGAAGAAAAGAAGGAAGAAAAAGAGTATGGAAAAGAGGGGGGAAGAAAGAAGGAGAAAAAAATAGAAAAGAAAACTCAGTTGACCGAATAACATCGAAAATAACAAAATTTGTGGCAAAATTGAGTTTAAAAATCAGGAAGAAATGAATAATCCACAATAAAGGTATCATAGTTATGAGCCTATATAGGTTAAGTGACCCAGAACGGAAATATATATAAATAAAAATGATTATTAGGTATTCCAAGATATACTGACAAAACAGCTATGTTATTACACTAAATCATTCGACTAGATCATTAAGCTAAAAATATGTAATAATATACATAATTTGAGTAATATAAGTTAACAAAGTTATTTTACCAGTAATGTTTCTATAACAGATTTTATGCTCAAGAGGATACAATTCTTTCCCCCACTTCACCAAACAATCATGAAAATAATTAATATATTACATTACAGAGAAAATCTCAAAAAAATTCTAAAACATAAAAATTAACAGGCAAAAATCTTTTAATACAGCATACTGTCAAGCAGCAGAAAGAATATATCTGGGCCGGGCACAGTGGCTCATGCCTGTAATCCCAACACTTTGGGAGGCTGAGGTGGGTGCATCACTTGAGGTCAGGTGTTTGAGACCAGCCTGGCCAACATGGTGAAATCCTCATCTCTACTAAAAATACAAAATTAGCCGTGTGTGGTGGCACATGCCTGTAATCCCAGCTACTTGGGAGGTTGAGGCAAGAGAATCGCTTGAACCTGGGAGGCAGAGGTTGCAGTGAGCCAAGATTACACCACTGTGCTCCAGCCTGGGAAACAAGAGTGAAACTCTATCTCAAAAAAAAAAAAAAAAAAAAAAGAAGAAGAATATGTCTGAAATATATAAATAACAGAAATTAACTAAAAGATATTGAAAACTGGAGTCCACCACTAGTAGTGAAAGAATTTAGCAAATCTTGCAGATAATCAGCAATTAAAAAAGCATCAGGCCCAGATGTTTTTTTGGGAGAGTATTATTAGCCTCCAAAGTGAAAAAAAAAGAGAATTCCCATACCATTTAAACTGCCCTGGCTCACGAGAATAGATGGACAAAGGACGTACTAACAGAAGAAAAATAATAGACTCTATATGAATATGCATATTACTGGAAAGTTATGAATAAAATATGAGCAAATAAAAACTAGTACTTTATTAAAAGAATAATGATACAATTCTGATACATTACGGCCAAGTAAATTCACCACAGGTATGCTATGATGGATCAATATTCGAAAATCCATTTATATTTCTCATGTTGTCATTAGGTCAAAGGAGAAACACTTAAAATCTTAAGTATTAAAAATGGCTTTTCATTATCCTAAGTGAATTAACACAGGAACAGAAAACCAAATCCTGCATGTTCTGAGATTAGTAGGAGCGAAACATTGGATACTCATGGACATAAAGATGGCAACAATAGACACTGAGGACTACTCTAGACGGAAGGTAGGGAAGGAAGAGTTGAAAAACTATTAGGTACTATGTTCACTATCTGAGTGACAAGATCAGTCGTACCCCAAACCTCAGCATCCCACAATATACCTATATAACAAACCTGCACATGTTTGTTTCCTGAATCTAAAAGAAAAGTTGAAATCGTTTTTAAAATTTTAAGTAAAAATTCAAATAAGTTACTTCAAGAAGAATTATAATATTATTTAACATGCAGAGATTAGGTTTTGCTCAATCAGTAGTATTTATGAGCAGTGATTTACAGGCACACACACAAAGGAAGGTCAAATTATGAAGTAACAGAACACTTTTTTCTAACAAGATGCATTGACATAATTAAGGTGAAAAATTATAAGAATGATCATTCCTTCCTCAATATCTATTTCCAAGTTTTCAATTATAAAATAAAATTAAAAAATAATTAAAAATATGGCTTTCGTACAATTAAGTATCCAACTTTATTTTTTAAATTATTTATTTTTTAAAAGCCTTGGTAAATTAACTATAATATAAAAGATACTAATTTTAAAATAATGCAAATATCATCCTTAATGGTAATATATAGCTAGCTAATATATTTCCACTAATAGTAGAAAGAAGAGTAGAATAACAGCTATCACTACTGCTGTTTATCATTGTCCTGAGAGCTCATTTCAAAATACTAAAATATAAAAAATAAAAAAGTGGAACAAATATTTTAAGAGAGAAAGCTAAGCTAACTTTAATGTGTAGACTATGTTATCTACTTCAATATTTCAAGAGAATCTGATGAAACAAATAGTTATTTGGGACGGCTGCTTTTAAAGTAAATGTACATCAGTTTCCATCCAAAACATCAGAAACAATTAAAAATTCAATAGCCCATGGGTCCATAAAGCCCACATTATAATTTCTAAATAACATTTGTCACTAGAAAGAACCAGGGCTCCTTGGAAAAATGGCTGATTCTAGGTCTAAGGAAGGAAATGTACAAGGTTGGATCTTGTAAATGCAGAAAGTAAGAAAACTAACAAAGTTTAATTGCAGTCACGTGTGGAGGCTAAAGCAACTCCATCTTGGATGTGAATCTGCCATATTGGCTTCTGATTTACCCCAGTTCCCGGAACCTCTCTAAGATTTTCAGTTTATCTAGTGTTCCTTGGGTGACCGCTGTATTTATTGCAAATCCTTCCCTTAGGTCAAACTACCTTGATGTTACCATACTTCAAATGTCCCACATATCCCTTCTGAATCACCCATTTCCTGTGGTATATAAGCCCTGGCTCTGGAGACTGATGGTGTGAAGGGATCCACCATCTTGTCTTGCCGCAGCCCAAGACAAAGATATGGCTCCTGTTCATTAAGCCCCTATTAACGGTTCTTTCTGAGAAACTGAATTTGTCAGTCTCTTTCTTCAGCCTTTCAGCTTCCTCAGACTTTGGAGGTAGATTTGCCCTCAGTTGAACATCATGTCAAAAGGATTCAGGAACCAACTTGAAGAGGCTCCCTCTGGACAGAGATGGGACAATTTGTTCATCAAAAAAATAATAACATTAATGGATTTGAAGCATGTCAAATATATTTAAACTGTTGAGCTCATAATGATATTGAAGAAATTGGTCACCTTGTGGATATTCTACGAATATACCCAATTATTTTGAACGTTTTCAACTAAAAGAAAACAATCCAGGATTTTTCTTGCCTTTTCTATATGATTTGTAGCACTGGGTAATTAAGTAAGCGATGAGGAAACAGTGATCTTTTAAGAAATATTCCAGCTAATGGATGAAGAAGGAATGATACAATTCAAGTATCACTGGTTTGTAACTACTCATGAATTAATGGATCTAAGTGATAATCATCAAGGCTCATATTTTTGTCAAAAGAGAGACAACCAGATTTTATGTGTCTCCTGATGGAAGTAAATGACATTACTTACGAAGTGTTCTTGCTAACCATATATATATATATATATATGTGTATATATATATATGTATATATACATACACACACATATAATATGTATATTTGGATTCAGGTTAGATTCATCCCTTTGGATCTAACTTCTCATTTTCAGAAAAATACCAGGCTTGTGTTAAGTGACATGATGGGAAATTCAATGTAGATGAGATCATCAAATCCAGACTAGGGGAAATTTTATGGGACAAATAACCTTGTGCTTTCAATAGAAGTTTTCAAAAAGAAAGAAAGATTTAGAAAAAGAGTTGTTGAACTTGGGAACACATATCAACCAAATGGAATGTTTTAATCTTATTTGGACTAAGACTCCAGTGAATTTAACTTTAACAATTTATATAAGACAACTGAAGAAATAGGAACACTATAAGGTATTTGATAAATGAAGGATTTATTATGCATTTTTAGCTTGATAGTGATATTATGATTATGTTTTTAAAAGTCACTATCTTTTAGAGATAAGTATTGAAACATCAATATATAAAATAATGATTAATGTCTTCAAATTATGCAGGGGCTATGGAAAATTGAATAGGGGTACAGATAAAACAACATTGGTCAGGTATTGATAAATTTTGCAGCTAAATGTTAGATACATTGAGTTCCATATCATCCCTCAGGCTCTTTCCTGGAGAGGTAATGTTGTGATGTAATTTTATTTATTCACTTTCCACCGACAGACTGTGATTTTATTAAAGCAAGTTTATTTATTTATTTTATTTTTTGAGATAGAGTCTGGCTCTGTCACCCAGGTTGGAGTGCAGTGGTGCAATCTTAGCTCACTGCAACCTCTGCCTCCTGGGTTCAAGTGATTCTCCTGCCTCGGCCTTGAGAGTAGCTAAGATTACAAGCACGCACCATCATGCCTGGCTAATTTTTGTATTTTTAGTAGAGACAGGGTTTCACCATGTTAGCCAGGCTGGTCTTGAACTCCTGACCTAAAGTGATCCGCCCGCCTCGGCCTCCCAAAGTGATATTTTATTTATTTTTGTAAGCAAGTACCTCTTTTAAGAATTTCGAACACAAGCTTTCATGTCACGGAGACTAAAAGAACAAACTCTCAACAACTCTACCTACTAGTGTTGACAATAGTGTTTATAATCACACTTTGGACTTCCAAGCAAATGGGTTTAACAATAGTCTTTTGAAGCATATCTTTTTCATAAGTAGAGTCCTCTGTATTCGCAGCACCTAGTACATTGTCTACATAAATCAAAAGGTATTAATTAATAAATAACATCAAAAAATAATGTTGTAGTGAATTGAAATAAAATGAATTCGTATCACACCAGCTCCTTGGTTTGATGATTGCTAATGGGAGAAACAAAGCATATATTTTGCCTTTACAATAGAAATCTATGTCAGGATAACTGAATAACCCTGATGAATGTGTGTAAACTCTATAGAAGGATGTGTGCTTATTAAATGTGGGAGGACTGATAGCATTAAAGGACACACTTCTGTAAAGCCTAATGAAATTCCAGATTGAGAAAGAATTATGAACCAGTGTTGAGACAATCATTGGTGGGGAACTGGATTTTTGGATAGCGTACAACACAACACAGTCACAAGGGGGAAAATGTGCATGGGGATCACACTTGCATTGCATTACTCAAGTCCCCAAGTCCAGTGGTTGGTGGGACGAATGGTGGGACAACCAGAAAACATGTGTCTTCTGATGTAAATAAACATGAAGACCACATCACTTCTGTGAATTATCATATTACATGTCAAGATATTTGACTCGAATACATCAAGCTTTAGACCTAACTCTAGTTTACTGGATATATATGAGCTATAGAAACAAGTTAAGTGATACAATGAGAAAGTGACAAATGACAGAAGGAAAAACACTCTGGAGGATCATTGGCCTGATCTCCTAAACTTAACTAGTGCTATTTCAAAGAGACATAAGGAATACAACAAGCAGACACAATGCATAGTCCTGGGTTGCATATAATATGGGGTGGGGGGAGAACAAAAAAAAAAAAACCCCAAAGCACAGCTAAAAAGACTTCTGGGGACAATTAGGAGATTTTGAATATTGTCTAACCATTAGATGAGATTAAAAAATTATTGAAAAGATTCTTCCACAGGAGGCCTACACGCCGCCGCTTGTGCTGCTGCCATGTCTCTAGTGATCCCTGAAAAGTTCCAGCATATTTTGCGAGTACTCAACACCAACATCGATGGGCGGTGGAAAATAGCCTTTGCCATCACTGCCATTAAGGGTGTGGGCCGAAGATATGCTCATGTGGTATTGAGGAAAGCAGACATTGACCTCACCAAGAGGGCGGGAGAGCTCATTGAGGATGAGGTGGAACGTGTGGTCACCATTATGCAGAATCCACGCCAGTACAAGATCCCCGACTGGTTTTTGAACAGACAGAAGGATGTAAAGGATGGAAAATATAACCAGGTCCTGGCCAACGGTCTGGACAACGAGCTCCGTGAAGACCTGGAGCGACTGAAGAATATTCGGGCCCATAGAGGGCTGAGTCACTTCTGGGGCCTTCGTGTCCGAGGCCAGCACACCAAGACCACTGGCCGCTGTGGCCGCACCGTAGGTGTGTCCAAGAAGAAATAAGTCTGTAGGCCTTGTTTGTTAATAAATAGTTTATATACCAAAAAAAAATTATTGAAAAGATGAATAATATTAACAGCAAAGTTACAAAGCAGTATGTTCAATATAAACTCATTTCACTGCAACATTATAAAAGATCTCACAAGGTATAAATTAGTGTTAAAGAGGTATCCTGTGAGTAGTGAGATGTGTTTTTGTATTCTTATGTTTGTTCTGTGTACTTTATAATTTTCTAAAATATGCATATCTACTTTTATAGTAATGAAAGGTGATTTTAAAAATACAATATACATAAAGTACTCTATTATAATAAGTACTCCAATGTATATATATAGAGACTACCAAAAATTAAAAAGTACATAGACTAATGAATATGCTGTGTTCTTATAATTTGCTTAAAATCAATCTGTAAATAGAATGGATTTTCAGTCCCAATTTTAATGTGTTCATTTTTTCTTAAGTCTACACTTTACTATCATGGTACAAAAAGCAACAGCCATAAAAGAAAATTGACAATTAAATGAAACTACATAACTTTTGCAGTTTAGAAGTAATTGAGTGGCAAATGTTGAACAAGGGGCAAAATTTTACCACATGAACAACAGCTTAATAGCTTTAATAGATAAAATGAGTCATTTTAAATCAACGAGAAAAAAATATCTACCACCGAAGAAAGCAAATGATACTAACTGACACGTCTAAAAATTATAGAGTCATAGGCAAGAAAGCTTTGGGCTCTGAGGACACCAAGGACAGCTCCTAGACAAAGACGGGCAAAATTCAGTCCGTTAATTCAAACTAAATATGGCCTGAGAAGGACTCTGTTCTTCTATATTTGAGTCCTTGTGGATGAAATGCAACCTAACTTAAGAGGTAGACAAGATTGAAAACCTAACTTTGGAGTATGTGTCTGTAACAACAGCTGAGTCTTGGCCAATCTCAGCGGCTGTACTTCAACCACTCATAGACTGCTGAGTGTTCAAACCGTGTTCAATTAAGGCAAACACAGACCTGTAACCAATCCAGCTGTTCTCTGTTCTGTAACTCACCTCCGATTCTTGTACCTCACTTTACTTTTTTTTTGAGACAGATTCTTGCTCTGTTGCCCAGGCTGGAGTGCAGTGTCACGATCTCGGCTCACTGCAACCTCTGCCTCCCGGGTTCAAGCTATTCTCGTGCCTCAGCCTCTGGAGGAGCTGGGATTACAGGCGCCAGCCAACAAGCACCTGGCTAATTTTTGTATATTTAGTAGAGACAGGTTTCGCCATGTTGGCCAGGGTGGTTTCGAATTCCTGATCTCAGGTAATCCACCCGCCTTTGCCTCCCAAAGTGCTGGGATTACAGGTGTGAGCCACCGCACGTGGTCACATCGCTTTACTTTTTTGTCTATAAATTTGTTCTGACCACGAGGCACCCCGGGAGTCTCTCTGAATCTGTTGTGATTCCGGGGGATGCCCGATTTTGTGAATTGTTCATTGCTCAATTAAACTCCTTTACATTTAATTTGGCGGAAGTTTGTCTTTTAACAAGTCTGAGCCTCTAAAATGAGGTTGCAAGCCGAGTGTGGTGGCCCATGCCTGGCCTGTAGTCCCAGCCACTTGGAAGGCTGAAACAGAAGGACTGCCTGAGCCCAGGAGTTTATGGCCAGCCTGGGCAATATAGTGAGATGTAGTCTTGAAAAAAAAAATAATTTGAAAATTAAAATAGAATGAGGTTGCAAGCTCAAATGTCTCCAGATTGGGTATGCACATGTGTGAATCGGGATACACAGTGGGTACAAAGCAACGGGAGGTGGTGAAGGCTGGGTGAACTAGAGCATGTATGTATTACCTAACGATAGCCAAATCATTGTTATTTTTTAAAGCTGTGCTACTCTGATTTGGCCCATGGGCCACCAGTCTGTGGTTTTGTATAGTTATTAAAAAGTAAAATGGTCTAAAGGAGCTCTGGAAAATACACTTCAGACAAAGAATCACACGTTCTTGGATGAAGACTGTAAGAGAAACTAAAGATACCAATGGTCTCCCAGTGCAGATTTTTTTTTAATGTGCAAATGATGCAAGAGGCACACTAGACATTTACCCTGGAGATTTCAACTGAGTAAAAGGAGGCAAACTTTAGGGACTTTCAAGTAAACAGATGCAGAACTGTAGAGACAGCTATTAGCTAGAAGGAAGAGAGTTAAAAGGGCATGACTGAGGGAAATAGAAGTTGAGAGAGCATGTTGTTTGCTGCAGACATTGACTATGAAAGGAACCAGAGCTGGTCGTGGTGGCTCACACTTGTAATCCTAGTATTCTGGGAGGCCAAGGCAGGTGGATAACCTGAGGTCAGGAGTCCGAGACCAGCCTGGCCAACATGGTGAAACCTCGTCTCTACTAAAAATGCAGAAATTAGCCAGGCGTGGTGGCGCGCCACTGTAGTCCCAGCTACTCAGGAGGCTGAGGCAGGAGAATTGCTTGAACCTGGGAGGCAGAGGTTGCAGTGAGCCGATATCATGCCACTGCACTCCAGCCTGAGCGACAGAGCAAGACCGTATCTCAAAAAAAAAAAAAAAAAAAAAGAAAGAAAAGAAAAGAAAGAAAGGAACCAGAGCAATAGGTTGATGGCTACAAGTTGGAGCAAAACTGTAAGGTGTTTTTTTCCCAAAGTAATAGTTATCATTTGTGGGACCTGTAGGCCTGGCTCTAGCTACATCTCCACACACATTCTCTTACTTATAATAACAGCCCTGTACTGGGTTGCATAGTGTCCCCCAAAATTTATGTTCACCCAGAATCTGGGAGTGTGACCTTATATGGAAATAGAGTCTATGTAGCTGTACTTAGTTAAGATGAAGTCAT
Organism: Homo sapiens; assembly: GCF_000001405.40. NCBI lineage: Eukaryota > Metazoa > Chordata > Mammalia > Primates > Hominidae > Homo > Homo sapiens. The sequence continues at coordinate 14,702,235 of NC_000017.11, read as the reverse complement.
ACTGGATTAGCCTAGTCTCTAAACCCAATGACTGGTGTTCTCATAAGAAAGGCATATGAAAATGCAGACAGCTATACTCCTAGGGAGAGTGCCATGTGACCATGGAGGCAAAAAATTGGAATGATGCAGCCACAAGCCAAGGAATGTCAAGAATCATATTCCGCAACCATCAGAATCTAAAAGGAAACAATGGAAGATTCTTCCCTGGAGTCTTCAGAGGGAAGATGATTTTGCTGGCACCTTGATTGGAGACTTCTAAACTCCAGAACCATGAGTGAATACATTCCTATTGTTCCAAGCACCACCACCCACCCACCCACAGGTTGTGGTAATTTTTTACAGCAGCCATAGAACACTAATACAAACCCCATTGTTGTCAGGGGAGAAGAGAGACACTGAACATGTTGGGATGGATTTAAATAGAAAGTCATGTGATCCCAATAAGAATACCAACAAGCTTTTTTTGAAGCTAGACAAGTTGACTTAAGGTTTCTTAGTAAAAACATTCATGCAGCAATAGCTGTGAAAACAATGAATAAGAATAACAAGTGAGGGAGATGGAATTAACCCTAACAGACAATCAAATACCACAACTCCTCTAATTAAAATAATGCAGTACTGGTGCATGGACTAGGTTAAAAGTCCAGTAATAAACCCAAATTCATGTGGAAATTTGCTACCTGATTGGTCCTTTTGTTTTTGTTGTTGTCGTTGTGTTGGTTACCTTTTTTCTGCAAATACACTCAGAAATAGGGCTTGGGGGTACAGCTAAAAGAAAGGTTGATTTTCAAATGAATTCAGAGAGCTACAGAGTGCAGGAAAAGGTGGCACTCTTCTTCCATCAAGACTACAGGGCCACTGATAAGGAACAAATCACTTAGAACAACAGATAAAAGTTATGGGAGGATGGAGCTAGCCACACGTGGAGGTGTGGTTACCTCTGGAAATGAGTGAGTCTCCTGATAAATCAGAAGTAAAGAGGCTTGCAGAGGAAATGTGAGGGGCCTGAGGTCCCGGAGTCCATCAGCCAAGGTGTAGACTGGTCTTGAAGCCCAAATGAAGACTCAACCAAGAGAAGCACCATGTTTTTTCTTCCATGGCTCCCACATATGCAATGCGATGAGCAAATGGAGAATGGACACTAACGGGACTTTGCTCCTGGATTTCCTTGGGACTTCCTGGTGGACCTGAGGTGCCCAGGCCAGGAGTTTCTACACCCTGGTTGGGGGCAGTGGCTGGGGGCCTGATCTCAGGGAGGCCTGAGTGCCTGGAGTAGTACTAGGGAGAATACCTCTTGTCTTCCATGCCATCCCATGCCGTGCGCTGTCAGGTATAATCACCTTGTCATTCATCCTGTCCAACTTATTTCTCCAATAGGAGTTACCACAGACAGTCTGAGCTGAGACCATTTGCTTCAAACCAATGCTGGGGAATGACTGGCTTTCAACCCAACAATGACAGACACCTCTGCCTCTTTAAGGCTCAGATGCCACCTTCCTTGTGTAACTTCCAAAATTTTGGGAAGGATGTGTTTCTCATTCTCACTTTCTCTTTTAATGAATCAAAGACATTTACTAAGCTTTCTGCAAGGTGAGAGTGAGCAGGGGCTAATGTGGGTATTCATACTTCAAAAGAACATTCAAATGTAGGGAGTAACTGACACCTCTGTGGACAAGTTAGTGAGGACTAGTTAGGAAAAATACCAGTGGTTTTCTGATCCAAAACCCTGTGATCTACCCTGTCAGAGCCTGAAACTTTTTAAGTTCATGTGCTTTGTTTTGACTTTTCCTCATTTCCAAGTCAGCGTTCTCAAGTGGTAATTCGAGTTACAGGATGGTGTTAAATCGCATACTTCAATGTGTGCAAACCTAAAATAATGCCAAATGTAATATTTTTTCCAATTGTTTGAGAATATGTGCTTGATCTTGAAATCATTTATAAACGATTTCATCCATTTGGATTTATTTGACTTTTTAGCATGATGAAATTAATGCTGTTCGTAAAAGTATCATTTATTTATATTCAAGTACTGCCTAATTCATTAAATAAGAATAATTGTTGGTCTTTCTCTTCCTTCTGAAGTAATCCTTCCTCAAAGAGACAACTAAGCAGCATAATGACCCCCCTTTGTTCTCTAGCTGGAAGTGTCCTATCACTGACTCCTTTATTCACTCTCCTTTATTTACTAGGTCAATAAAGCTTTCATAGCTCTTTTCCTTGTTCAAACAAAAACAAATTCTCCTCTCTCACACCCTCATTTCACTTAGGAATTTGCTTTAGTCATAATTAGATTAAAGCTCCTGAAGTTCTATTCAACTAACAGTGTATGTTAGAAGGATTCTTAGCAAATAGTTTTCCAAAGCCTGTAATTTGCGTAGCAATGCAATCAGCTCATCTCTGAGATTTGCAGCAATGACTGGTGTTTAGTTCAGCATCATGCTTAAAAAGCATTCTAATAGGCTCACAGTGACCATAAGTGCTATTTGCAAAGGCCTGAAAATTCTGGGTAATGGTATTCTGTGCAGGAAATCATTCTCTTAAGCTAATCCCACACACTGTTCATTTTGTCTGCCCAGGTTTTGCATGACTCTGCCTGGAATGGTATTATAATATTTTGTCAGGCTGCAGGCCAGTGACATTGGTAGAACTTTTGGTTCATCCTGGGAGATGCTTGACACAATCACTTCAGCTAAGGCCAAGCAGAAAGTAGAATGAATTTTTTGAATAATTCAAAGTAAATAAACCATACCATCATCTTTGCCTTCCACTTATCTTTGACTGTGAAGAGAAAACTGTGTCTAAACCTACAACGAATTGAATCTGGAATTTGGAGTTACCTTTCAAATAAGTCACTTGATCATTTTAATTTTGTTAAACTGCAAAATCAGTTCTTCTTTCAGCCAATATGCTGAGCTCATAGATTGGGTACGGGTGCTGTAAGATTTACACAGGGATGCTTTTCCATATAAAACTGTCACAGATGAGACCAAAACAACTGGGTGATTCAGACAAGTCAGTGAAAAAAAAATATATATCACTTGGCTTTTGAGTTTCTTCCAGTCACAGACTAGGAGCATCTTGGTCCATGCCAGTGCTGATCATGGGCCTGAATGTGAGTGTCCCATATGCCAGGGTTGACTTCTATAAGTTGACAAAACCAATTAATTCAAGTGAGGTCCATTTAATGTCCATGTGCAAATACCACTTAACTTACAAAGCAAACAAGGAAAGTCTGCATGTTTGGGGAGGGGCAGTCAAGAATAGTAGAATAGAAGTCAGCCGAAACTAGTTGGTTTGAGAATTGAACTCTAAGCCCTAAATTCTCTTAAATGTATGAAGTAAATGCATAGTCCTCATTTACCTGCACTTTCACATGACTTAATTCCTCAATTATTTTAGAGCTTCCTTAAAGCAAAAATTAAAGCTTACAGCTATCTCTAGCCATAAAAAGCACTCAGTTAATTAACTGACTAGGAGGTATGCAGTTTTCTAATTGTTAACTAATTTAAGAGGATAAAGAAATCCTGTTGTAAGCTTTGTGACTAGTGTTAACCCTTTGCCTCGTTTTGTCAATTCCCAGATTTGGGCCCAAGTCTTCACTCATACTGGGCTGCGGAGCATGTCTACAGGAGCTGCTGTGGCTGGTGACTGGCATATCTGCTTCCAAGAACCCATCCACTTCTTAGGCTATGACCTAGGAGGGCCCAACAACCAGAAGATGAGGGGCAGGGATAATAATGGAAGCAACACCATGGACTGGATAGGATAATTCAATCTAAGCAATCTGTCATATCACCCCTCCATTTCCTCTCTTTATCATGCATAAACCACTCATTCTTTCCTTCCATAGGATTTTCTTTTAGGTGGTCTTGAACTTGGAATGGCCCTGTGAAAGTCACTAGGTCTGTTGGAAATATTGGATTCTCTCTTTTCTCCAGACATTTGGGAGGGTTATTGCACATCCTTAGGTGTGGCCATGGTTCTTGGTTTGACCAGAGAGGTATGAACGGACGTGATGTGGGCTACCTCCATGCAGAAATGTGAGGAGCCAGTGCGCGCTTTACCAAGTGCCCTCTTCTTCAGCCTCCAGGGCCACCGCCAAAGTTCCCTGTGGCAGTTGCTCCATCAGCTGGGGCCCAGTGTAGGTGATGACGTGGAGCAGAGTTCCTAGCCCACTCATAAAGGGCATGTAGCCTGAAAGAGACTAACCTTTTTTATTCTTCCTTTCGTATAAATCTCTGAAATTTGAGATTATTTGTTTCTATGGCACAAACATCTACCCTGACTAATAGTCACCTGATTCAGCCCTACCATTAGGCAAATCAATTTTTTTTCATTTCTTTTTTTTTTAATTTTAAGTTTCAGGGTACACGAGTAGGATATGCAGGTTTCTTACGTAGGTAAACGTGAGGCAAATCAATTTCTAACAGGCTCGATTTACTCAAAGTGAGTCACGTTTAGCCCTAGCTTTAGGGGATCACACTTTTTTTATATGAATAAGAGGATTCCAGAGAATGATGATTTTAATAAAAGGCTAGATTAATTCATAGTGTTCCAGAGAGCTGATTTTCGTGGTTCACTCGTGCTAAGGACCCACATATACACCTTCATTTCGGGTGTTTGTTTCTTGTAGTAAAAATTAATGTTTATGGTGGGTGTACATGCATCTTTCAGTGCAATCTTGCAGTCTAGTTTGCCTCTGGTGATATTTGCACAAAGCCATTTCTGCTTTAGTCTTCATTCATGCACACTTAAGCTCTCCTGCTATGAACTATCACATCCATATGCCCATATAAGCAAGACTTACATACTGGTTCTCACTGAAACTTGAGGTGAGGAGCAGAGGGAGAATTTTCTCATTGTTCAGGCAGCAGGGTCAACTGAGTACTGGATATTTATAGATATAATGTTTTATATAAGTCAATTACTAGGGAGTATATAAAAAACAAGGGCCACAGATTGCATTTTGCAATGCATACCTTTTCCTGTGCTGTCCTGGCTCATGCTCCAAGAAATGCAGTTACTTTTGTCTGTGCTTTCAGTTACAATTTTGAATAGGGATCCTGGATATTTTAAGCCACTGTAAATGTATGAAGAACAAAATGCAGTCTATGACATGATTATGATATTGTGAAGTTATTTCCATAAATTAACTAGAGCTAGGAAGAGAAATATGTTTTAAAAAATGAGATTGTGAATGGCCCATTTTTAAATTTTAAAATCCTCTCATTATTGTTAAAATGTTTTAATAATAGAAAGCAGAAGATTCATAAAACATGAAAACGGCACAGGGTTTGAGTGAATTGGCATGTTCCTACTGTAAAATGATTCGAGTGGCTTGACCTGGGGTGTTCAGTCCATCTCTGTCCTTCCAAACCTCCCTGCTCCCCAAGCTCTCTTGGGACACTGGGATTATGGGAGGTTGCTTCACTGAAACTCATTCATTAAAGATCTGAGAGTGGGGTGGATCTACCAATCAGTTTAGTACTCCAAGTTAGTTGGAAACAGCTGGTGTTTGCCACACTAGACTCTGGTTCCACATACACCTCTTCCAACAATTCTACAACATCTCCATCAGAATGTGCATTTAGAGTAATGAATTTCTGTCATTAATATGTTGGGCATGTTCCATGGCTGTAAAGTATCCCACAAGAGAAAAGTCATCGCTACAGACAGACATGTTTTATAGCTGCTACTGATTTACAGGCTGGTAAAGCCACTCTTCAATTGCCCTTGAGGATAAGAAAGAGCAAGAAAAGCAGAGAGTGAAATCACCCAGATGGTGTCTTGGTCTCCTCTGATGTGAGGGTTGAGAATGCAAGGACAGTGGGCACCTAAATAAAAATCTTTTCTTTTTTGAGTGTCTCCATCTCAGTCACTCCATTCTGAAATCTTGGTTTTCTTGGTATCTGTCAGGTATAGGGTTTTACTTTGCCAGCAGAGCAAGCTGGGACCATCTGACACCTGGAGTCTAGCAGACTATGAGGGTTGGACACACCACAAGGAGTTAGAATTAGAGGAAGTATTCACTCATTAGCATGGAACAGAAGTCATTAACCCTCTGCTCTCCATTCAAGATCCCTGCTTAATGAATGACCAGGGCTGGCTAGAACAGAGACTGGGCTGGCAGAGAGTGAGTAAATTAAGAGGACAGAACTATAGGAACCACGGGACCTAAGTTTTCAATGAAAGGGAGAATCAATATTTATTGATCACCTACTATATGATCAACCAATATTATTAATCACCTGCTATGAAATAGGCATATTCTTTAATCTTTATAATAACCCTATGAAATTGGTATTATCTTTATTTTATGGAAGAAAAAATGGAATATGGTGGTTGAATGACTTATGTGAGGTCAAAACAAACTCTCTCTTTCCCTTACCCACAATTTTATTTCCCAATTCCATTGACATCTTCCACCTTCTTGCTTTCTCAGGCCCTTTCAGGAACCAGCACTTCTAGTGCTTTTTGCTTGTGGGTTCTATTCATAAATATGCCTAGATTTTCTGGCCCCCAGTAGTCAGACATGATTATAAAAATTCCATCTGGATAGTGTAAAATTAAAATTTGTAGTCTGTTTTCTCCCACTCCTAATCCCACAGCCCAGGAATCACCAAATTTAACTATTTCTATTGACCTCTAAATAATTTCTTAGACTTCTGTTTCCTAACTGGTCATCTTTAGAAAGTGTCTGCAGATTTCCTATCATGAAAAATGAAATTTCAATACCCTTGCAATAATTGCAATAATCTTCTGCCTTTAAGTTTTCAGTTCACCTCTTCTTGGTTATCACCTGGGCTTTACAATAACAAATCAATATTTCTTGATCTACCAATTTTAGGTAGTCCCTCTTAACTTGCTGTATGTAATATGAATTCTTTAGCCATGTTACATTTTCTCTCTAACTCATCTTCTGAATTTACTCCCGCCCTGCATTCACTGTATCATTGATTTTACATTGCCACAGACTAAGGCTTCTATATTTCTTTCTGAACTGGAAAGTCATTAGTGCTTTGTCTATAAGTGGATTTTTAAAATTGAGTACCTGTAATTCACATTTAATGTATTAGTATTGTCGAAATATCATTTACTGCAGAACCCAGCAGTGAGTTTAATTCATGGAGATGGAAACTCTGTGGCATTAAATATGTGTCACCTAGAGTAGGTTTCAAAAGTTGCAAGTTGAGAGGGAAATAAGAAAGTGACCTATGTTTTGCATTTTTTTTTTTTTTTTGAGATGGAGTCTCGCTCTGTTGCCGAGGCTGGAGTGCAGTGGCACGATTTCCGCTCACTGCAAGCTCTGCCTCCGGGTTCACACCATTCTCCTGCTTCAGCCTCCCGAGTAGCTGGGACTACAGGCACCTGCCACCACACCCGACTAATTTTTTTTTTGTATTTTTAGTAGAGACGGGGTTTCACCATGTTAGCCAGGATGGTCTCTATCTCCTGACCTCGTGATCTGCCTGCCTTGGTCTCCTAAAGTGCTGGGATTACAGGCATGAGCCAACATGTCTGGCCTGTTTTGCATATTTTTGTAGTTAATATTATAATTTTTATCTCTTTTAATTGAAATTATCCAGCTTTCCTATTTTAATTTTATAGGAAATTATTCTTGACAGTATTCTCAGAGCCCTTGAGCTGTCAGTCAGGTTCGGATAACCGGCTTTCTAAAACCACTGTAAAGAGGTTATTCTAGAATTTTTTTTATTATTGTACTCCTGGGTTTGTTCTGCTTTTGCATCTAACTCACTCACTCTTTTTCTCTCATTCTCTCTCTCTCTCTCTCTCTCTCACACACACACACACACACACACACCCCACACACAGATTCCTTTATCATTTTGTTGATGTACATCTTGATGTATAAGTGATAAACTTTTGAGCCCTTTCTGTCTGGGAATATCTGCCTTTTTTCCTTTTTCTTAGTAGAGTCATTTCCTTGTATATTTTTTATACTGAGACTTCCTCTACTATAATTTAAGCAAACAACCTTCCCTCTTTTCCAAAACTTTGAAAAGTCTTTACTCCACTGCTGTGCTCCATTTCCTAAACCTGCCCCCATTGTAAGTGCTTTCATAAACCCACCCCATGCTGTTCAGTAAATTATTAGGAAAGAGAAGGAAAATGTGTGCTCAGTCCAACTTCTTGAACCATAAACCCTCCAACCAATGCATAATATGGTACAACAATCATGGGTGCCACTTGAACTTTGATACCTCTAAATAAATAGCCTATTTGATGTCTAATGAAACCAATTTACAATCTTTTCTATTATTTCTATTAGTAGGCAGTCACTACAATCACAGTAAATTCAAAACACAGACTTAAGCTATTTAAATACTCACTTCCTTGCCTTCGCTGTCCTTAGTTTTCAAAGCAAGTAAAAATGATAACCTCTTTTAATTGAAACTTTTAGTAAAAGTTGTATTGTTTATTTCACTTAGGATTTTATTGATTAGCTAACCAGCTCTGCTGGGGCTGCCCCCAAAATTAGTATTTTTCTTGGCAGTCCTGGAGTTCTGATGGATCCATCAGAATCTAGCTACCTGGGGGAGAATGGAGACAGCAGGTTGAGCTGTTAGATACCACAGTTCCTCCCACTCATTGTAGCTCAGCATAGAACAAGTAGACAAAAACCACAGCTTCCTCCTTCTCTCTGGGGTAGAAAAGAGTTGGAAGAGTCCCTCATAATTTCTGGCTGGGCTGATTGGTGGGAGTTTTCTCTTGTACAAGACCAGTTTGTGAAGACAGGAAGATGTGCCTCTTTTATCTAATACACAGACATCAACACAGAGAGTCAAGGAAAATTAGGAACTAGGCTAAGACGTTTCAAACAAAGGAGCAAGATCAATCTCCAGGAATCAACCTTAATGAAATGAAGTTATATGATTTACCTGACAGATAACTACAAATAACTCTCCTAAGGCTGCTCACCGAGGCCAAAAGTACAATGCATGAGTAAAGTAAGAATTTCAACAAAGAGATAGAAATATAAAAAGGTACCAAATAGAAATCATGGAGCTGAAGAATGCGATAGCTGAACTGAAAAAAAAAATTACTAGAGAGTTTCAGAGAAAACTAAATAAGGCAGAATAAATCCGGGAACTCAAAGACAGGTCACTGAAAATACTTCAGAGGTGTAAAAGTTTTTTAAAAATATAAAAAAGTGAAGAAATTTTTAGAGAATTATGGGACACCATCAAGCAAATCAATGTATACACTGAGGAGTTCCAGAAAGAGAAGATAAAGAAAGGAACAGAATGTGTATTCAAAGAAATAATGGCTAAAACCTCCTCAAATCTGGGGAAGGAAAAGGACGCCATATGAAATGAACCCAAAGAAATCCAAAGTGAGACACATTATAATCAAATTGTAAAAAAACAAAGAATTTTGAAAGCAAGAAAAGTGATTTGTCACATATGAAAGAACCTCTGTAAGACTATCACTAGATTTTGCAGCACAAACTTTGCAGGCCATAAGGGAGTGGGATGCTATAGTTAAAGTGAGGAAACAAAAAAAGAAATCAACAATACTATATCCAGCAAAGCTGTTCTTCAGAAATAAAGGAGAGATAAAACTTTCTCAGACAAATAAAAACTGAGGGAGTAGACCTGTCTTATAAGAAATGGTAAAGGAAGTTTTTCAAGTTGAAACAAGAAGATGTAAAATAGCAACACAATAGCATAAGGAAGTACGAAATTTGTTAGTATAGATAAATATATAGAAATATACAGAATACTCTAATACTGTGATTACTTGTAATTCTAGCATAAAAGTTGAAAATCAAAAGTATTAAAAATAACTATAACTAAAAGTATGTTAAAAGATACACAATACAATTAGATGCAAATTGTGACAACAATAACATCAAGTGTAAGTGCAGAGAGTTAAAGTGTAATGTTGTGTGTCATTGAACTTGAGTTGTTATCAGCTTAAAACAGACTATTGTAACTATAGGATAGTTTATGTAAGTCTCAAGATAACCATACATGGTTATGCAAAAAGTATCAATAGAACTTACATAAAAGAAAAAGAGAAAATAGTCAAAGCATATCAATACAAAATAATCAACAAAATATAAAAGAAGACAGCAAGAGACAAAAAGACAGCAAAAGACCTAGAAAAATGACAGAAAACAACTAACAAAATGCCAATAGCAAACCCTTCCCTATCAATAATTACCTTATATGTAAATGATTTAAACTCTCTAATCAAAAGAAATAGATTGAACAAACTGATTTAAAAAAAAAAAACAAGACAAAACTACATGTTGTTTAAAGAAATTCACTTTAAATTTAAGGATGCTCATAGGCTGAATTTTAAGGGATGGAAAAAAAAAATATTGAGGGCAAATGGTAACAAAAAGACAGCAGGTGTGTCTATACTTATATCAGACAAAATAGACTTTAAGCCAAAAACTTTCCAAAAGAGACAAAGAAGGACATTTTATAATGATGAAAGGGTCACTCCATCATGAGAATAGAACAATGATAAATACATATGAACCCAGCATCAGAAGATGTAAATATATAAAGCAAACACTGATGGTAGTGAAGAGAGAAATAGACAGAAATACAATGGTAGTAGGAACACTTCAATACCTTAATTTGAATAATTGACAGGACATCCAGACATAAAATCAATAAGAAACTTGAATAATACTATAAACTAAATAGATCTAACAGACATATGTAGAACATTCTACCCAACAACAGCAGAATATACATTTTTTTTCAAGTGCACATGATTTTTTCTCCAGAATAAATCAACATTAGGTCACAAAGCAAGTTCTAACAAATTTTAAAAGATTGAAATTATACCAAGTGTTTTTCTGACCACAAATAAATAAAATTAGAAACCAATAGCACAAGGAAAATTGAAATATCCACAAGTATGTGGATATTAAATAACACACTCTGGAAGAAACTTTGGGTTAAAGGGGGGAAATCACAAAATAAATTAGAAAATACTTCAGGGTAAAATACATACCAAAACTTATGGGACTCAGCGAGAATAGTACTAAGAGGGAACTTCATATGATAGAGGCCTATATTAAAAAAGAAGAAAGATCTCAAATAAACAACCTAAAGTTACATCTCAAGGAACTGAAAAAAGAGTGAACAATGTTCAAAGTTAGCAAAAGGAAGGAAATAAAAAAGATTAGAACAGAAATAAATAAAATAGAAAAACAGAAAAACAATAGAAAACGTCAACAAAACTTAGAGTTGTTTTTTAATAAGAAAAACAAATGACAAAAATTTAGCTAAACTAAAAAGAAAAGGAATAAATAAAACAAAAAATGAAATAAAACACATTACAACTGACGTCACAGAAATAAAAATGATTATGAGATTATTGTAAAAAATTGTATGCCAACAAATTAAATAACATAGAAAAAATGGATAAACTCCTACAAACATACAATCTACCAAGACTAAATCATGAAGAAATAGAGCATCTCAACATACCAAAGATGAGTAAGGAGATTGAATCAGTGAATAAAAACCTCCCAATTAACAAAAGCCCAGGTCCTATTGGCTTCACAAGTGAATTCTACAAAACATTTAAAGAAGAAATTGACACCAATCTTTCTCAAACTCTTCCAAAAAATTAAAAGGTGACACTTCCAAACTCATTTTCTGAGGGCAGCATTAACTTAATACCAAAGCCAAAGATACAAGAAGATAAAATTACAGATAAATGTTCCTAATGAACATAGATGCAAAAATCTTCAACAAAATACTAGCAAATTGAATTCGACAGCACATTAAAAGGATCATACACCATGAGCAAGCAGGATTTATCCCTGGCATGCAAGGATAGTTTAACATATGTAAATTAATAAATATGATACTCCACATAAACATAATGAAGGATAAAAGTTATATGATCATCTCAATAGATACAGAAAAAGTATTTAACAAAATGCAACATCTTTTTGTAATAAAAACTCTCAAAAAATTAGCTATAGAAAGAAATAACCATAACATAATAAAGGCCATATATAACAAGCCCAGAGCTAACACCACATTCAACAGTTGAAAGAAAGAAAGAAAGAAAGAAAGAAAGAAAGAAAGAAAGAAAGAAAGAATTGATTTTTCTCCAAAATCAAGAAATCAGGACTGAGACAAGAATGCCCATTTTTGCCACTTCTTTTCTATATAATACTGGAAGTCCTAGATAGAGCAACTTGCCAGCAAAAAGAAAGAAAAGACACCCAAATGAGAAAGGAAAAAATAAAATATTCTGTTTGTAGATTTTTATATATAGAAAATGCTGAAGACTCCATCAAAACACTTTTGGAACTAATAAATGAATTCAGTAAAGTTGCAAGATACAAAATCAACATTCAAGAATTAGTGGCATTTCTACACACTAACAACAATAATAAATGAAATTATTTCCTTCATTTCTTTTTTGGAACAAAACTTAGCTAAACTAATTAAAAAGGAAAAGAAGTTCAAATAAATAAAATTTAAAATGGAATATATTTTTGGGAAGAAATGAAGGGAATCATTTCATTTACAATAGCATTGAAAAACCCTGAGATACTTAAGAATAAATTTATCCAAGGAGATAAAATGCCTATACAATAAAACTATAAAATATTGAGGAGAAAATTAAATATGACACAAATAAATGGAAGGATATCTGTATTCCTGTATTGGAAGAATTAATATTCTTAAAATGTCCATACTGCCCTATAAGATCTACAGATTTACTGCAATCCTTATCAAAATTCCAATGGTATTTTTCACAGAAATAAAAATCCTAATGTCATAAAGAACCACAAAAGATCCTCAATAGACAAAGCAATCTTCAGCAGAAAGACAAAGCTGGAAACATCACACCATCTGATTTTAAAATATACTACGAAGTTATAGTAATCAAAATAGTATGGTACTGGCATAAAAGCAGACAGATAGACCAATAAAACAACAGAGGTCCCAAAAATGCATCCACACATTTATTGCTATTGATCTTCGACAAAGGTTATGGAATTGGGAAAGAATAGTGTCTTTGATAAATGGTGTCAGGAAAACTGAATATCATATAGAGAAAAATTAAATTGGACCCTTATCTCACACTGTATACACAGTCAATTCAAAATGGATTAAAGACTTAAATGTAAGACCTGAAACTATAAAAATACTAGAAGAAAATTTAGGGAGAAAGCTTCATGACATTGAGGTGGACAATGATTTCATGAATATAAAAGTACAGGCAATAAAAGCAAAAATAGACTGAAATCAAACTAGAAACCTTTTGTACATCAAAGAAAATTCTCCAGACACCTTACAGAATGGAAGAAAATATTTTACAAAGCATACACATGATAAGGAGTCAATATCCAAATATATAAGGAACTCAAACAACTCAATAGCATGAAAACAAATAACCCTATTTAAAATTGGTCAAAAGACCTGAATAGAATTTCTCCAAAGAAGTCATACAAATGGCTGCCAGGCATATTAAAAGGTTCTCAACATTACTAACTGTCAGGGGAATGTGAATTGAAGCCACAATGAGATATCATCTCATACCTGTTAGGATGGCTATGATCAAAAAGACAAGATAACAAGTGCTGGCAAAAATATGGAAAAAAAGGGAACATTCTTCCCAGAGCCCAGCACGAGGAATATTCTCCAACCAAGGAAGGTTCTCCACTTCCAGATCAGGAGTACACACTATTTATGCCTAGCAGCGTTTTATCATGGCTAGAAACCAATGACTGCTGTGGTTTTCATTCTCCCATTTTTCAAAGTGGGAGATTTCATTGTCATTCCTTGTGTATTATGGTGTGTTAAGAGCTAACTTATCTTTAAATATAGAAGTTGCCAGTCTACATGAAGCAGCATGTGGCATTGGAAATAGAAGATTGCAGATCTTAGACTTGCAGCTAGAGGCAGCACTCTGTGTTTACTGGTTTGAAGACGAGCATGAATGTATTCTTCCCATTACAAGGCCTCCCATGAGTATTTTAGTAGCCAAAATGGTGAACGATGGCAGAGAACACAGTTTCTATTCTCCCCTCTTTCTTAATATCTTAGATTTTTGGCTGAGCCTCCATCTCTCAATTGTCTTTGCATTTATGTTTGAGCACATGTTTAAATTCTGGTCAATAATATGTGAAGGAGACTACTTTCTAAGAAATGTCTTTAAAAGATTGCTAACATGTGACCTTTGCCCCTTTCCTTTTTGGTCCCTCCTTTCGTCTTGATATCTAGAACTCCAATATGATTGTTGGAGTTCTGGCCTTTATCTTTGATCATGAGAAAAAAGTCTCTTTTCCTAGCAATGGTGGACTTACTCATTGAAAAGATCATTGGTTTCTATTAATTCTATTGTAACTCCTTCAGTAAACCAAGGCTGCCTGCCTCATTTACATAAGAGGCAAATAGATTTCTAAGTTTTTTAAGCCATGATAACTTTTAGATATTGGCAGCTCACCTAATCCTAATTTACACACTTCCCAAGCAGCCCCTGCATTATGCAACAGGTGAATGGTGGGAAGGAAGAGAGAAGAGACAAAGGAAAATGAAGTTATGCCAAGGAGTCATTTGATTTGTACCTGACTCCCCATATTTCCTTAATGAAATCCAGAAATCCCAAAGCGCAAACATTCAAAACATATTCTCTTCTATGCCGCAAAGTCTGCTGAAAGGGATTTAGTGCTCTAGGACATCCTAGGCCCACTGCTTCATGGAGGCTCAGCCTGGAGCACCGGGCGATGCAGCAACATGGCAAGTTAGGACAGCTGGCTCGGAGCAGGGCTCCTCAGTCTGTGGGGCCTTTGGGTTGACTGGAAGTCATTTTTTCCAGATGGTGCCTTGTGTTTCAAAGGCACATTTTGAAGCCTCAGCAACTGATCAAAAAGACGACTGAATGTTGTTCTCTGTGTGTGATAGCTACAGTGGGGTGTAGAGCTGCAGGAAGTGGCTCTGCTGACTTCTGAAGTTGGTCTTACACAGTTTTCCTTTTGGAGCTCTTTCTTTCTCTCTTTTTAATTGCTACCTCCTTCTTCCCTCCCTCCCTCCTTATCTATTCCCATCTCTCCCCACCCCGGCCCCACCACCCCACACACAGTTCTCTCTCAAACTTGAAGCTCTGTCTCCAGCTTGCCAGTAAGGCATTGACATCCCTTAGCAGTAAAAGATTTGGAACTTCTTATTGACCACTGCTTGGGCCAGTGCTAGCTGTCCCTGACCACTGGGCAGAGATAAGAATGTGTTAAAAATGAATGTTTGTTTGCTGAATGTTTGTTTGCTTAATGTTTAAGAGGAGAAAACAAAAGCATGAAAACTACTAGCAAGAGTTTGCTTAGGGCAGCTCTCTAAATGATCTAGGCTGTTATCCAGCTCAACATGACACTGAACCCCAGCTGCCTGGATGAGTCCTACCAGGGAAGGGGATGAGGTAGCCTTTTGCACAGCAAATCTAGAATCATTGGACCATTTCAAAAATTGATCTGAATGTTCCCCTCCTCTCCACACAAACTGTCATTCTCTAATCCCATTGTTTATTGATTTTGATGGGAAAGACAATAAGGATTGAATTCAAGTGAGGAAGTACACAATTTCCCATTATCCTCACATCCAGTGGCTGAAGTGCTATGAGACATTCCCAACTGATGCGTTCTCTGGCATCACCTTGCTTTGGTCAATCCTCCTCAATTCTGCTGAAGTAATCTTTACAAAATTATATACATATATGATCAAGTGACTCCCTTGGCCAGATCCTTCCATTGCTCCTCACGCTCAATATGCACCATGCAAGGCCTAAACCCCATATATTTTCACAAACACATTCCCACCGCCATCCCTACCAAGGAAATCTGTGGTCCAATAACATCGAACTTCTCATCCCTCTTAAAATATTACATGCTATTTCGTGGCTCCTTAGAATGATTAACTAGTATGTCCAAAGTTACACGGCTTGGAAGGGGTAAGGCTGAGATTTAAATACAAGCAATGACTCTAGATTGCATACACCTTTTCACTGAGCTATTTGTTGTGCTCACCAATGACATATGGATGTGTAGGTTGTTTGCAATTTTTTTAGGTTATGAACAAGGCTCCAATGAACAACAATGGTTACTCAATTATTTAATGCCTCCATGATAGTTTCCCTAGAATAAATGCTAATTTATTTACATGGGATTACCAAACCTAAAGATGCTAAATGTTGACACACCCTTCCAGGTGGGCAATTTTATAATGCATATTCTTTAATCTTTTTAAATCTGAATATAGAATACAGACAAACAATATCATTATTTTGAATTATATTTCTTTGGCTACCAGAAAAATTGGACTTTTTAATCCCACGTGACTTTGCCTACTTATGTTTTTGCTTTCTGGTATTAAACATTGTCTTTTGTGTAGACTGGAAAACTCTTTATATTTTAAGAATATTATTTGCCTGAAATTTCATCAGCATACTTGTGGCAGCTTGTAGATTGTCTTTTAATTTTTTATGGTTTTTTTTTTAAATATCACTGTTGGCTAAAACAAGGACTGTCCAAATAGAGTGACTGTCAACAGGCAGGATGCTTGTATTGGCCTTAATTCTTATTTAACGGCCAAATCCATTTCACAGTCCTGCAGTGAAAAGCCACATTGACATAGGCAGCTCTATTCACTGGACAACTCCTATCTACTAAGGGGCATTGTTTCCCACATTCCTTGGTTCTTTAATATCTAAGCCCATCTATATAATATACTGCATTAGCCAACATACTCTTCTGAGAGATTCTTTCCATCTCTTACTTTTGTGAATCATTATCTTTTATTAATCCAAAGATGTTTGGTGTCTATTGTGTTCTAAACATTGCTCAATAAACAAAACACAAACATCCTTCTCCCCATGGAATTACATCCTGGTAGGATCTATTATTATTGATAACAAATAATAAGCTTAATAAAGAAATAAATTATATAGAAAAAATGTTATAAAATTAAAGCAGAATAAGGGGGTTAAGGAATAAATATATGTAGGCATGAGTTGAAATATTAATAGGATTGAATATTTTAATAGAAAAAGACTAGAAGAGGAAGAGAGAGAACCATACAAATAGCTAACAAAGGAAAGCTCCAGGTAGGAGAAGTTGGCAGTACAAAGGCCCTGGGGTGGGAATAAACCTGGTATGTTTGAGGAATGGCAAGGAGCTCCATTTGCTAGAGAAGAATGAGCAAGAGGGGGATGAGTAGGAGATGTGATTAGAAAGGTAATCAGTGGTCAGATATGTGAGGTCTTTTACATTACTATAAGGGGCGTGTGTTGTGCTTGAAGGAAATGGGGAGCAACTGAAGGCTTTAGAACAGAGGAATAATATGGTGTCACTCCCATTTTAGCAGGATCACTCTAGTTTCTGAGACTGAAAATAGAGGGAGTATGTAGAAGGCCTGTGTAGTAATCCTGTTGAGAGATGATGTTGGCTAGGACCATAGTGCTGCTAATGGAGGTGTTGAAAAGCGGCTAGGGTGAGCTTGTGGAGAAAAAGGAACACTTACATACTGTTGGTGGGAGGGTAAATTAGTTCAGCCATTGTGGAAGGCAGTGTGACGATTCCTCAAAGATCTAAAGACATAAATACCATTTGACTCAGCAATCTCATCATTAGGTATATACCCAAAGGAATATAAATTGTTCTATTATAAAGATACATGCATGAGTATGTTCACTGCGGCACTATTCACAGTAAACAAAGACATGAAATCAACCTAAATGCCTATCAGTGATGGACTGGATAGAGAAAATGTGGTACACATACACATCACTGGGAGATGTGGCTATTCATTTTCCATGAATAGCTGCATACTAGGCAGCCACAGAAAAGAATGAGACTGTTTCTTTTGCAGGGACATGGATGGAGCTGGAGGCCAGTATCCTTAGCAAACTAACAGAACAGAAAATCAAATACTGCATGTTTTCACTTATGAGTGGGAGCTGAATGATGACAACATATAGACACACAGAGGGAACCAACACACACTGGGACCTGCTGGAGAATGGAGGGTGGGAAGAGGGAGAAGATCAGGAAAAATAACTAATGGGTACTAGGCTTAATACCTGGGTGATTAAATAATCTGTACAACAAACCCCCGTGACACAAGTTTACCTATGTAACAAACCTGCACATGTACCACTAAACTTAAAAGTTAAAAAAAGAGAAGAAAAGAAACGTTGCCAGGGTTCTGGATGTGTACTGACAGAAGAGCCAACACTATCTCCTTTACATTGGGTGTAGAAAGTAAGAGAAAGAGGAAAATATCTTCCAAGATGGAGGTTCTCATGCTCAGTCCCCACGACTGCCTTCTTTTCTCTTATTTTCTGTAGCTACTGTCTGAGTAAGAGCAGAGGGTTCGATAATTGTCTGGGAAGCCAGCATTCATGGAAGAAAAGCAAAGCCTTCCTGTTTTCTGCATGGTGTTTAGACACAGGGAGTGAGGAAGGAAGAAGGTGTATTCTTACTTTTTTCCAACAAGAAACACGAACATGTTATGAGGCAAACTCTTTCTGATACCTGTGTATTCTTACTTTTGCCAGTGGTATTTTTTCCAACAAGAAACACGAACATGTCATGAGGCAAACTCTTTCTGATGGCTGCCCAAGCAGCTCCAGCTGCCTTGCAGAGTCCTGGCTAGGCTGGTTGGCCATAAGTCTCAGTGATTCCAGGCTGGGAGCTTTCATCTGTGTGTGTGCTGTGTTGTCTTCATGTGACTTTCAGTGGGAAGCTGGCTGTTAGAGATGATCTATTTTTTCAAATTCGTCATATTTTATTACTTTTTCTTGTGCAGTAGAATAGTTGTACTGGATCCTCCTGTGGTAAATCATTTGGATCCAACTAAAGTTCAAATGAATATTAATAGATGCTCTGAAAATCATAGAGTTCATCTTTAGCATTTGCTACACATGGGGCTATTGTTCTCATGTACAGGTTTATTATAATAATGCCTTTATGATGTTGGATAACAAACCTATTTTCATACCTTAATTAATGGTTAAGGGACTATATTGTTTTAAACTATTTTTTTTTTTTTGAGACAGAATCTTGCTCTGTCACCAGGCTAGAGTGCAGTGGCATGATCTCGGCTCACTGCAACCTCCACCTCCCGGGTTCAAGCGATTCCCCTACCTCAGCCTCCCAAGTAGCTGGGACTACAGGCGTGCGCCACCATGCCCAGCTAATTTTTTGCATTTTAGTAGAGACGGGGTTTCACCATGTTGGCCAGGATGGTCTCCACCTCCTGACCTCATGATCTGCCCGCCTCGGCCTCTGAAAGTGCTGGGATTACAGGCGTGAGCCACCACACCTGGCCATTTTAAACTTTTTATTTTGAAATAATTTTAGATTTACAGAAAAGTCGCAAACAGAGTACAGAGAGTTGCGCTCTCCTATTTGCCTGCCATTCCGCATTGTCACATTTTACATTATCCTGGCATATTTATCAAAACTACAAATTGTCACACTACTTTCCTATTTGTACATTATCATGAACTAAATTCCAGACTTTATTCAGATTTTACTCGTTTTTTTTCCATGCATTTCTTTTTCTGTCCCAAGATCTCATCCAGGATACCTCATTGCATTTAGAGCTCATGGCTCACAGTCTCCTGTGGTCTGTGACAGTTTCTTAGCCCTTGGTTGTTTTCTATGACCTTGATAGTTTTGAGGCATCGTGGTCAGGTATTTTGTAGAAAGTTTCAGATGTTCCTCAATTCGGGTTTGTTTGATGTTTTTCTCATGCTTAGAGTAGGGTTATGGGTTTTGGAACGAATACCACAGAGATGAAGTCCCCTTCTCATCACATCATATGGAGAGTATTGGAAATCAATATGTCTTATTGATGTTGATGTTAACTGATTATCTGGTAAAGAGGGCATTTGCCAGCTTTCTCCACTATACAGTCAAGGTTTTTATACTTTCCACACTCTATTCTAGTCACTAAGTCCAGCCCACACTCAAAGGCATGGGTGGGAAAGTGGATTTTGTTTGTTTGGTTTTCATTTTCCTGTTTGGTGGAAGACAATTTTTTTTCTTAAAAAAAAAATCTAGAGCACTCAGAGGAGGGAATAAATGTGCATCTTCTCCCTGTTGGTTTTGATATTATAGCCATGGAGGTGATTCTTTGAACATACAATCTCCCTTGCCTTTCTCTATCAAGACAGTTTAATCCCTTCTGAAAAACTTCCCAGTTATCTTCACCCAATTTTTCTGCATCCCTCTGAGAAACTCTGTTTAAACAATTCTGTACTGCAATGATTTCTACCTTTCTTATTTGACTGTGTAAAAAGTGACTGAGGACTAAATTCTGGTTAAATGAATAAAAAGATTAATGTCTTTCATGAATTTCTCCATTTCGTCCCCTCTTGGAGGGAAGGCAGCAGATTTAATTTTTTTCTTTCCTCCTCACAGTAACTGAGGTTGTAACTAACACTCAACAAATGCTTTTTATCAAACTGAATCCTATCATTGATGGAAGAGCTTCTAAATAATCTGCAATTCTCTCATCAAACTGTCAGACCCAATAAGCGCCAATAAAATTTGGAAGAGAAATTCAATTCCATGGCTGAGTCCCCAGTGACATTTTCTCACAAAGATTCATAATAATAATCATCACTGGGAAATGTGGCTATTCATTTTCCATTGTTCTTTGTAGAAGGGCTGTTAGCTTTGGGTTTTGCTTTGTTCTGTTTTGTTTTTTCAAAAACAAAGAATAATACACTGTGACTTTTGAGAAAAGCACAGTGTTGATGAAATATTACCAAAAGGAATAAAAAAGAGGAACTACAAAGGGCAAATTAAATTCTGTCCTTTTTTAGCTTCCAGGGTGCCAATTTTTGTATTTTAACAAGCACAAACCATCCCTTGTCATGTCAGGAGGAGGAGAAGCTCACAGAAAGGGGATAACAAAGTAATTCCTGCAGCAGTACCGAACACCTCCCTTTCTACCCCTTTTCTCCTCTCTTAAAAAAGAAATCTTTGGTTCCTGTAGAAATATTAGAAAATGTATATAATAAAAAAGGTAAAATATCTATAATTATGGGCAAATGGGAAAGAAGGAAAATGTTTATTGTTGTAGGTTTCGGTGGCTTCTTTTGTGTTTGTCTGGAATGAGGAAACAAATGGCCTTCACAGGGAGAAGGAACTTTACCCAGGAGACTGAGAAACGTGGGGAGGGAGGGTGTCCAGGAAATGTATTACCAAACAGTGATATTAAACTGAGGTGATACCCCTTCCTAACCCAGCATGACTCCCCGTATCAGAAGACCACTGGGACTGGGCCCTGCCAGGGAATGTAAGAGAAAGTGGAAGAAAAGGTGCTGGTTCAAATGGCCATCTTGAAACAGAACAGTCAGACATCTTTTCAATTTTCATTTTTCCTTTTTGTCTTCATGCGGGATGGTGGCTGCAATTATTTCTCATTTGTTGAGATGAAACCTGAGTATCACCAGAATGCAAGGCTGAGACTCTCCGGAGAGCTGTGATATGGACACGATGCTGTGTTACATTATTTTTGGTATAACTGAGAAAATAACCACGGTGTAGCACAAAGGTCAGCAAACCACTGCCCATGGGCTGAATCCAGCTGCTTTGTATATAAAATGTTATTGAAATACAACTTGGCTATTCATCTACATATTGTCTGTGGCTGCTTTTGCGCGACAATGGCAGATTTGAATAGCTGCAACAGATACCTAATGGCATGCAAAGACTACAACATCCGACCTCTTACATTTAAAAGTTTGCTGACATATGGTGTACTGGAACAGAAAATAAACTTGAAGTTAAAATATCCAGTGTCTGGTCCCAGGTCTACTTCTACCTGCTTTTGTGACTTTGAACAGAATTCTTCTTCTCCCTATGTCTCCATTTCTTCTTTTGTAAAGAAGACTTCTAATTTCTCTTATAACTCTCATTCTGAAGCTCAGTGGGATAAACATGGCCCAAGGCTGCCAGCAATTAGAAAGGGTCTGCAGAGGGAAGTAACAACCTACAAGAGACAGGAACGGTGTGGGGAGGGAATGTTAATCCTTCCTTTTACTTGCCACATCGCTGTGACCTTATATTCAAAGTATCTCTTGTAAACACCACAGAACTAACATTGAAATCTAGAGTGATGATCTGTACCTTTCAGCTAAAGAGTCGAGCTCATTTGCATTTGTTGCAGGTTCCGATAAACATGCATTTCATTTCTGCCACCCTATTTTTGCTTCCTATCCGTGTTTCTATCAGACATCTCTAGTGCCCAGGTTTGTGTCATATTAATCCACTATTTTATTCCAGTTATTGTTGTGGCAATCAGCTCTACACAGGTGTAACCTGATATCAGCTTCTCTCAGCTGTTCTGTGAGTCTTCCATTTCCTCCCCTTGGAGTGTCTCTGTTGCCACCACACGGGATACCTAGGAGAACATGCTCGTTATTCTAATGCGTGCACAAACCTGGCATTGAGAAGCAGTTAACACCCTCTGGGCAATGGGTGATGGATAGAAACCAGAAAATAAACACCCTCTTCTTCTATCCCTTTGGTGGACAGTTCTGGAGAATCTGCTTCGGGCTGCTTCAGAGGGTGCCTGGTGGGATTGAAATGACGAGGATCTAAGTGATGCATGCCTAGAGTGGCTTTCCATCACCGTTGCCTGTTTCACTCTGCCCAGTCTTTTCTTGCTGCTACCTCAGTTAGTTCCCAAATGAAATGCCTGTACACAGGCCCTCATTACAAATTCTGCTTTTGGGGCAAACCCCAGTAGGATATCTTCTTTTCTTTCATTTCATTTTCATTTTTCTTCCTTTCTCTTATTCTTTTGGAATAATTGAAATATTTTCCCCCTTGTTCTTTTTTTTCCCTTTACTGGTTTGAAAATACATTTCAAACCACACTTATATTATTTAGTAATTACCTTTAGAATACTAACATGTATGGTTAGCATAGTGTTACTTAAAACTATGCTTAAAATGCATGCTAATATTTCTCCTGAAAAATATAAGGAACTTTGACAATTTTAATTTCAAATGACCAGTCTGGCTTATGTGATATTATTGTCCAGTATTTCAGCTCTGTATTTTAACTCAATAAATTAGCTGTTATGATTGTTATTGTTTATTCCATCAAATTGAATGTTTGTTATATTTTTCCCAGTGACTATTCTTTTATTTACTTGCTATCCTTTGTGTTTCTAACTTTTCTTTTTTCTGAAGTACAAACATTAAAAGTTCCTACAGTGCAAATCTGCACTGATCAACTCTCTCAGATTTTGCTTATCAGAAAATGCCTTTGTTTAATTCTTGTTTTTGAAAGGTATCTCTAGTTCTGTGAAGAACTACCCAAACTACCATTGGGTAGTTTGATGGGAATAGCATTGAATGTATAAATAACTTTGGGCAGTATGACCATTTTTATGATATTGATTCCTCCTATCCATGAGGATGGAATGTTTTTCCATTTGTCTGTGTTCTCTCTGATTTCCTTGAGCAGTGGTTTGTAGTTCTCCTTGAAGAGGTCCTCACATCCTTTGTTCTCTGTATTCCCAGGTATTTTATTCTCTTTGTAGCAATTGTGAATGGGAGTTCATTTACGATTTGTCTATTGTTGGCGTATAGGAATGCTTGTGATTTTTGCACATTGATTTTGTATCCTGAGACTTTGCTGAAGTTGCTTATCAGCTTAAGAAGTTTTTGGGCTGAGACGATGGGGTTTTCTAAACATAGAATCATGTCTTCTGCAACAAAAAAGAACCCAAATAGCCAAGACAATCCTTAGCAAAAAGAATAAAGCTGGAGGCATCATGCTACCTGATTTCAAACTATACTACAAGGCTATAGTAACCAAAACAGCATGGTACTGGTACCAAAACAGACATATGGACCAATAGAACAGAACAGAGACCTCAGAAATGACACCACACATCTACAACCATCTGATCTTCAAGAGACTGGATAAAAACAAGCAATGGGAAAAGGATTCCCTATTTAATAAATTGTCCTTGGAAAACTGGCTAGCTATAGGCAGAAAACTGAAACTGGACCCCTTCATTACACCTTATATAAAAATTAACTCAAGATCGATTAAAGACTTACGTGTAAAACCCCAAACCATAAAAACCCTAGAAGAAAACCTAGGCAGTACCATTCAGGACATAGGCTTGGGCAAAGACTTCATGATGAAAATGCCAAAAGCAATTGCAAGAAAAACCAAAATTGACAAATGGCATCTAATTAAACTGAAGAGCTTCTGCACAGCAAAAGAAACTATAATCAGAGTGAACAGGCAACCTATTGAAAGGGAAAAAACTTTTGCAATCTACCCATCTGACAAAGGTTTAATATCCAGAATCTACCAGTAAAAAAAAAAAAAAATAACCCCATCAAAAAGTGGGCAAAGGATATGAACAGACACTTTTCAAAAGAAGACATTTATGCAGCCAACAAACATATGAAAAAAAGGCTCAATATCATGGATCAGTAGACAAATGCAAATCAAAACCACAATGAGATACCATCTCACACCAATCAGAGTGGCAATCATTAAAAAGTCCAGATACAATAGATGCTGGCGAGGCTATGGAGAAATAGGAATGCTTTTACACTGTTGGTGGGAATGTAAATTAGTTCAACGATTGTGGAAGATGGTGTGGCAACTCCTCAAGGATCTAGAACCAGAAATACCACTTGACCCACCAATCTTATTACTAAGTATGTACCCAAAGGAATATAAATCATTCTACTATAAAGACACATGCACATGTATGTTTATTGCAGCACTATTTACAATAGCAAAGACGTAGAACCAACCCAAATGCCCATCAAGGATAGACTGAATAAAGAAAATGTGGCACATATACACCATGGAATACTATGCAGGCATAAAAAAGAATGAGATCATGCAGGGACATGGATGAAGCTGGGAACCATCATCGTCAGCAAATGAACACAGGGACAGAAAATCGAACATACGTGTTCTCACTCATAAGTGGGAGTTGAACAATGAAAACACATGGACACAGGGAGGTGAACAACATACACCAGAGCCAGTTAGGGGGTAGGGGGTGAGGAGAGGGAGAGCATTAGAACAAATAGCTAATTCATCCAGGGCTTAAAACGAAGATGATGGTTTGATAGGTGCAGCAAATCACCATGGAACGTGTATACCTATGCAACAAACCTACATGTTCTGCACTTGTATCCCGGAACTTAAAGTAAAATAAAACAAATAAATAAGTAAATAAAAAAGAAAGATATCTCAATTGGAAATGTAATTCCATATTGGCAATTTTCTTTATCATTCTAAAGATATTTTACCACTGTCTTCTACAAGTCTCTGTTGCTTTTGAGAAGTCAGAGGCTAATTTGCTTTTCTTTACCATTTGTTTGCTTTTCTCTGGCTCTTAAAGATGTCTTGTTGCACTTAGTATTTTATTTTACTGTGACACATCTACATGTGAATTTCTTTTTTTTTTCTACATGAATTTAATTGGACTTCCTGAATCTAAGAAGTCCTGTGTTTTCATCAATGCTGGAAAATTCTCAATCATCAAACTTTAAATATTCTCTTTCTTCTTTCTAGTAAATTACTGAAACTCTGATCAGTATGTTGGACCATTCTTGCTCTTTCTTCCTTCTCTCTCAATGTTGCTTTCATTGTTTTTCTGGCTTTTTCTTTTTGTAAAACATTCTGTTTAATGCATTTAAGTCTACCATTCATTCATTAACTCACTTTTCATCTCAGTCCAATTTTCTGTTTGCTCTTTTAACAGAGTTTTAATTTTAAATATATATCTGTGTCCTTCTATGTATTTTAAGATACAGATATTTTAGTATATTTAATATTTTTGTCAAAATCACATCTGCTACTTTTGATAGCTTCTTGCTTCTTACTCATAAGTGTTATTCATTCTTGTATTCTTGAAATATATTACACATGTATATCTTTTATTCTGTATCCTGTAATTCCAACCTAACTTTTTAAAAGTAGGGCTCTGTTGTTTGTTCTGCTCACTCTCAATCACGTGCCTAGTGGTCTCTTGTGTTTTATTTTTGACTGTAGGCACATGTTTGCTTAAATTCTGTCAGTGGAAATTCTTTTAGACCTGGATTGAGATTAATTGTTATAAAGGAACAGAATTTGCTTCTGCCAGGTTCCTCAGGCTATTATCAAACCTGGTTCACTTTTAATTAAAATTTTCAACTTCGGGCTATGGCCATGTAAGTATGGTTAATGCAGTGTACAGGCCTATGTGAAGCCAGCAATATCCATGCATTGGTAAAGGACAAGTCTCCCCCTTACCCTTCTTATCCAGAGTCAAGCTCAAGACGTGTGGAGTTTTCTTAGTTCAACCTTTCCTTACGCATATACACCATCCTGTGCTTCTGATACATGTTGAGTTCTGTGATCCACTTCTTTCTCCTGCAAAGGCCAAAGATTTTCTCTCCTGTCCCTGACTTGGATGGAGCCATTAATGCCAAAGCTCTGGGCCTCTCAGATCAGTAGATGCCCCAGGCATGTCGAGGCTCCAGGGCTTCCTTAGCACCCTGGGTTCATGCACCCACATTTTTCTTGCCTTCAGAAGAATATTTTTTCTTTCTTACAATTTCATCTATGCATTTAAAAGCATTTTCATAAATATTTTTCTAGAATTTGTGTTTGATATTGGAAGAGTTTCAGGAGAGCTAGTCAATCTACCTTATTTCCAAAAATGGGAGATTTTCATAAGGACTAAAAACCATAGACTTCATCAAGTTAAATATCTGTCATTAAATATCCGTCATTCCCTAACATGCCCATGTCCAAACAAAAAAGAGCAGCCCCCAAAATGCCCTGTTGGTAACTATGATCCTTTGACACCACCGTGTATGTATTTTTTATTCTTACATGAAAGAAGTGGATTAATAGACATGAATATTTTATAGTGTTCTTAAGCAACACAGGAAAACTGAAAGTTTCTTTACAGAAAATTGGCTTTACAGCTTGAACAAGGGTGGGAAATATGGCATACTTATAATTTTTCTGTTTAAAATCTCTCTTTGTTTAGAACTCGTGCTTGTGTAATAACTATACATAAATGAAGAAAACTGCCCTTACTTGCCCCAAATAAGTTGAGAGATGTAATTGTCCATAACCACAATTTCTATCCCAAGGAAGAAAATTTAAAAGGTCAGAATATCTCCTAAGTACTGGAAAAATTGTCCAGTTGTCCACACAAAAGATCAGCTATGTGGTTATTGGAAAAATCTCTTTGTGTTCTCAGCCTCATTACTGAGAAAAGTAACCCATCTCCAAAGCTCAGCCTGTTTAGGCTATTAAATTATCTCCCTTTTGGTGGAACACTGAATGTGTAGAGTTAATTGTAGCATTGGTAAAGAAAATGTTAATAACTAATAAAGGGAATCTGTTGACCAAGCAGATTAAGATTGTCCTTTAGAATTATAAATTTTCCCATTTTGTTATGATTAAAGAATCAAAAAGAGTTCAGCCCAGAGAATTGTTCCTAATTTGCCTGTCCTATGTCTACCGCTACTCCCCCACCAAAACACACACACACACACAAAGCACTGATAATCAGTTGTACTATCTTCATGCATAGAGTCATTATGTTAAGTAAAATTCCATAGAAAAGTACTTTGTGGATTTATTGCATAGCTTATAACATGTCTCGTATGGTGCATTTTTCCCAATGTGAGAGGATAATTTTGTAAAACAATCTCTCTTGATTAAAATGTGAAATTTGCATGTACCAGGGGCCTTCTTTTTTGTAGGAAGGGCAGGAGTGCCACTCGGAATGTTTCATCTTGGCCTTTTTTTTTACTTGCAGTCTCCTCATAAATCCCCTGAGTCTTGAGGTCTTTATGCCTGTCAATAGGCAATGTAAGAATTGACATTTTTGGATAATAATTTTTCTTATCTGCAATGGGGTGGTTATCATTCCTTTGGCCACTCAGCATGTGAACCCCTATTTCTGTATTTTTTAAATCCTGTCCCTTATTAGTCTTGGTTGGAGGCAGCTTGCAACTAGGGTGTAGACACATGACCCAGGTTCTATGTCAGAGCAATTTGACCTTCACAGACAAAAAAAGAATGACCTATCTCTGGCTCCAGCTCAATGCCTTGCACATGGTAGAAGCCCTCATATCTTCTTTATTCAATGAATGAATGAGTTTTGAAATCAGATGTCCAGAGTTATTTTCCTTATGGTCTGAAAATGACAGAGAATCTGTGGTTGGCCCTTGGCACCCATTAGACTAAGCAGACTATAAACATGCTATCATAAATGTCCAACTAGGCCAGGTGTGGTGGTTCACCCCTGTAATCCCAGCACTTTGGGAGGCCAAGGTGGGGAGATCACGAGGTCAGGAGATCAAGGCCATCCTGGCCAACATGGTGAAACCCCGTCTGTACTAAAAATACAAAAATTAGCTGGGCATGGTGGCATGTGCCTGTAATCCCAGCTACTCGGGAGGCTGAGGCAGGAGAATCACTTGAACCGGGGGATGGAGGTTGCAGTGAGCCGAGATCACGCCATTGCACTCCAGCCTGGCGACAGAGTGAGACTCCATCTCAAAAAAAAAAAAAAAAAATCCAACTATTAAAGTCCTTCAGCTGTCAGTCCTTTTCTTTCCCTTGATACAAATTTCATCAAGTAATCAATGGAGGGCTATGTCCAGGAGGTATTGTGGGAAAGATCAGAATGAAAGAAAATATTTTCTAAGTTTAGATGACCAGAAGAGAAGCTGTAAAAATGGAGAATATGAATTAAAAATAAGAGGAAAGAACTATTGCTGCCCAGATCAACTAAACATAAGCAGATGAGAGAAGGGTGTTGAGAAATAGAGAGATGGCTCAAAAATTACTACATAACTTTACACAAGACCTGTCCTTCTTCTGGGCCTCAGTGTCCCCGTATGAATGATGATTGAGCATTAAGATTCTTAGGATCCTTGTTCAGCTCTGACATTCTACTTTTTGGAGGAAAATCAATTTTAATCCATGATTTCTCTTCCACCCAATGAAAAAAATCCTCTAACAGAAACCAAACAACAGAGCAGAAGAAAGATTGAGCCCTGTTATCATGGATGGGAAGCTGGGCCAAAACCAGTTAAGGACTCAGCGGCTGGAAACCTATTAGCAGCAGCTCAGATTTCCTGGTTCCAGTGGATTGCAACACACTCCGGATTAGCTTTGCCCACAGCCTGTGGTTAATGACTGTTTGTATGCTAACAGTCTGCTGTTGTGCCGACAGAATGCCTGTAAAGACTATGCTTGGATTTTTGAGAGAGGCCAGATATTCCCCCCATGGATGGTAATGCCATTCAGAGAACAAAAAGACTCTGGTATATGTTGCCTAACACCCTGTCCAGCATCAAGCTCTGAGCATCCATCATTACGATGCTAGAGGCAGTTGGCATCCCACACCATGAAACAGAACATTAACATCCACCAAGGATGCCTGGCTTCATTCTCTCCTCCATCACTATCCTATCAATTTCTTTCCCTTTATGATTTCTTTCTTTGTTTATGAGTTTTAAAAAGGCCTTCTGCACCTCAAGGGAGGCTTGGATAGATATTCATATTTTAACAAAATTCTACACCAATGGTGATAGTGAATTTTCTGTTATCAAGGAAGTGTATTAAAACATAGCTGAAAATTTCAGTGGTTTCTTATTGCCAAAGAAGAGAGTTCAATTTTCTTTACATCATTTAAGCACCACTCTTCTATGACTTCGTCCTAGGTTTTCAGGCTTACCATTCACTCCTCTACTTTATCCTGCTCTTGCTTTAGCCAATTATAATTTTTAAAAACTACTTTAGATGATGGCTGGGATTTTATAGCCTTGATCATCTTGGTTCACCCTCTTGCTGCAACCAGAATGTCCATCCATCATTACTCCTGTTGACATCATCTCTTTTAAGTTGCAGCCTACATGCTTCTTCCTTCACAAGACCGTAACTGAGTCCCCAGCAGAAGTAATCTTCCTTCTATTTATTTCCTTAACATTCTGCTTAACATTCAATGATTTGAGTATGCATTTTGCCTTTCTCCAATAGACTCTAAGCTTATCGAAAATAATGGCTGTGTTTTATTCCTTTTTCTATTTCCCCTAGTGCCTAGCACAGAATCTTTCAGAGTAGACACTCAGTGACAGCTGAATCATCATTGTTGGTTTTATTTTACATTCAAAATTTAATTTTACCCAAGAAACCAAGGGAAATTAAATACAGAAATGACACCCCTCTTGGTAGACTTGTGGATTCAGGGATGCTAAGAATATATGAAGTTCCCTTTGACTCTTTTGACTGATATGATGGAATAAAACTGGGGCAAACATTTCATAGTCCTATTTAGTATTAGTATATTCTAACTATGCTTTGAAAGTAATTATGTTCTTCTAGACCTGGAATTTAGTAAGTTAGTAACTTAAAGCAGGTTGAGTCAGAAGCAAGTTGTAAATTTTAGAGGGGAGCTTCAGGGCTTAGGTGTAAAGAAAATTCCTCCTTTCTGATTGAGAATATAATTACAAAGATTCACACACAAATACACAGAAAGACCATAATCTTCAGCCTTTTGGGGCTTCTGCCAAGTTGCATGAAAGAGAAAAGTTGAGTTCTAAAAGGAGGCAGGGGATAAAAAGCTTCTGGGGAATCAGAGAGGAAAAGTGAGCCTGGGAGGGTGAGAGAGAGACAATAATTGGTGGTTCTCATTGAAGGGAGCCAGAGGGACCCAAAGAAGCCATAAAAGACATACACCCTAAAAGAATTTCAACACCAGTGGAGGCTGGTTAGAGACCAAGGAGCCAGCTGCCCACTTTTACTTAGGGATTCTCGTTTCTTTAGTACTGGCCTAGAAAAATGCCTTTTCCAAGACAACATCCTTTCCTGTTTATTGCTAGCCTTATTATGAATGTTCTTTTTATGCACCTATTGGAAATCCTAAACTTCCCCTCCAAAGAACATAATGTGAAAATGACTGGACTATCTCCAGAATTTAGATGAGTATAGGAACAAAAAGAGAGAAAGAAAAGCCATCTGTGATAATACTTTCAAGGTCTCATATTTAACTTTTCCCCATAATGACATAGCAAGTGTGTAATGGAAGTTGAATCAGTGCTTCTTGTAATATACAAACACATACTGAGTATCCTGCTGTGAAAACACAGCAATGACCCTGCTGACAGGGAGGATGCATTGTGACCAGAAAAAAATCTTGTGGTTAGAAATATTGATTCTAGAGGCATAAATACAAAAGAAGGAATATGGATCCATTCCAGAATGTCACAAAAGGTAGTGCACTCTGACGCAAAGTCTCCAAGATGAACCCAGTTGTTCTAATATTTCAATGCTTTCAAGAGTATCATTAAGCCCAGAGGGGTGGCTCATGCCTGTAATCCCAGCACTTTGGGAGGCTGAGGCGGGTGGATCACCTGAGGTCAGGAGTTTGAGACCAGCCTGGCCAACGTGGTGAAACTCCATCTCTAATAAAAATATAAAAATTAGCCAGGCCTGGTGGCACGTGCCTGTAATCCTAGCTACTTGGGAGGCTGAGGCACAACAACTGATGAACCCAGGAGGTAGAGTTTGCAGTGAGTCTACATTGTGCCACTGTACTCCAGCCTGGGTGACAGAGTGAGACTCTGTCTTGAAAAAAAAAAAAAGAGTATCATTAAATACCAATATACACATATACTCATAGCAGGATCCTAACGTTGAAATCAATACCCTTCCTGTTTTTTTAGAGGGAGGATGCAATAACTTGGCTGATGGACACTGAATGCTCCTTTCAGCCAGTATGAGTTCCTTTTACCTATTTCAGATATCTCAGGATATGGAAGATTTGTTGAGAATATACACTTATAATTAGTAATACCAATCCTCCTGATTTTCTGTGGAACCTCTAGATGTCAGTTATCCACAGCTATAGACACACACAATTTCATGTCATGAGAAGCAGGCCTCTAGAAGCTTATGGTCTAATTTAAGGGAAAGGTGATTCTTATAACAATATCTTAAAATATTAATACAGTGTAGCAGATGCTAATTTGGAAATGCAAGTAAGTGCTGGGCAGCCACGGTGTTATGAACAAAGTACATATTCAGAGTTGGTCTAACTCTCACCTCTACCACTTAGAAACCTTGGGGTCTGGGCTGGGCGTGGTGGCTCATGCCTGTAATCCCAGCACTTTGGGAGGCCGAGGCGGGTGGATCACCTGAGGTCAGGAGTTCATGATGCGCCTGGCCAACATAGCAAAACCCTGTCTCTACTAAAAAATATAAAAATTTAGCCGAGTGTGGTGGTGTGCCCCTCTAATTCCAACTACTCAGGAGGTTGAGGCAGGGAGAATTGCTTGAACCCGGAGGTTGCAGTGAGCCAAGATCACACCACTGCACTCCAGCCTGGGCGACAGAGTGAGACTCTGTCTCAAAACAAACAAACAAACAAACAACAACAACAAAAACAAACTTCAGGTCTTAGTTAAGTTTCTTAACTCTTGAAGCCTTTGTTTCCTCATCTGTAAAATGTAGATGGTAACAATCCTTACTTCACAGGGGAATGATTAAGTATTTGATGGCTTATCACATGGATAAAGCATACAACAGGTGATCAATAAATAGTAAGTGTTGTTGCACTGGAGCAGCTGAAACATAGTAGAGATGACTGTGGGGCAGGAGCATTTGGAGGCTGAGCTGGGTACAAGTTGACTGAGATGGGGAAGCAAACAAAGGGCATCCCGGAAGATTTCCTGGAAAAGGATAACTGCATAGCAGTGTAGAAGGCCAGGATATGAATCAAATGTCTGGGATTGAGAGTAGAACTTCTGGTGGGAATGGCAGCTTTGAACAGAAAATAAGACAGGATTTTAACCCAGAACTTAACTCTGCCCATTTTGCCTTCCTGTACTGCTGGATTTCAGCTAGAGATGTGTTGTCCACATTTGATGTCCAGATGTTTAATACCCTGGAACACAGCTCAATTCATCATGAATGAATGAGCAAGTTGAACTATGGGGCACCTGGATTTGTTGTAAGGGGAAGTATAGAGGAAAGAGAAGAGGGCTGAAAATGGCATTAAGCTGTGTCTGCATTTACAGCTCAGGCTTGGAGTCAGGAAGCCTAGGTTACATTTTCAGCTCCACTTCTTACAAGCAACTCCCTGAGCCTTAATTTTTACATTCTTGAAATGGCAATATATACCTACCTCATAAAGCTTTGAAAATCAAAGATAATATAGATGAATACGTTTAATGACTAATGCAATTTACAAGTATTAGTGTTATGGAGGATGTGGGAGAAATAAGAGGAATCATGGAAGGCTGCATTGAACAACAACTACCTCAACAAAACCAGACTCAGTGCATGGTGTCTTGGATGCTGAGATAGAAGAATTACAAAGAAGACAGAATACAAAAGGGTTAAAACTGCTGAGAAAAAGTTGGTGATTAGCAGATCTTTGGTGACCTTGGTGAGAATGGTTTCTGTTGAGAGATGGGGACAGAAGCTAGATTTTATGAGATTAAGGAGAAAGTGGGTGGTAAGGAAATGGGGAGTGGGAGTGAAGACCACTTAATTAAGAAGTTTACAGTGAAAGGAAGGAAAAAAATGGGATGGTAGCTTGAGGGAGCATCTTAAATTATTACCGCTGTTATGAAAATAGACATTTTAACAGGGATCAGCTCCTTAAACTGGAGGGATTAAGTGCTGTTGGTGGAATTTCAGTCAGCCAGAAGGTAGGGGAGAAATTTCTTCTTTGACACTTCGGGCACTTTCCAGAATTTTGGGATCACACCATGAATAGGCATTTGCCTGTTCTGCCTGAATGTTAAACTGATCCTATAGAACTACAGAATTAGGGTCCCTCCTGTCATCAACTTTCATTATTATACATTTTCGTACCATTTTAACGGTACTTACAAATGCAATGGTTTGCTCAAAATGATGATGCTATGCAGGAGGTTCTGCAGAAATGGGAAGAAAAGGCTACGTTTCTAAAAGGTCAACTTCTCTTAGGTGCAGATTCCAAAACACCAAACTGTATTAGGAAGTCAAGGGGAAAAAGCGTCTGAGTTATGCATACCTGTCACAGTGTTCATAAAGTCTAGTCCATAGAAAAAGAGGTAACACCTCTCTTAAACTTCTTCAACTAAACATTTACATTCCCTGATCATCTCGGCTTTTGCCAGCTGAACACCATTATCCCCCAGAACACACCATCTTCACTCCAGTCTTCAGCCTCCTCAGGGCCCCCTCCAACTCACACCAGCCTTTTCTCTTTTCTACACCTGAGTTCATCCCGCCCTCCCAGTAACGCCCTCTTCCTCCCCTCCTTCTCTTGTCCCATCACAGTTTTACCCATCTACAAAACTTAGTTCTATTCCCATTTACTTGCAAAGGTTGTTTTGACAACTCTCCCCCTTATGGGGTTTTCCTTCTCTAAAATCCTACAGATTGACAGTCTGTACCACAAAAGTTAGCCTTGACTTGTACGTGGTTTTATTTCGTGTCTGAATTGTTCCATGCCTGGTAGCCTTATTTCCTTAGCCCATTTTCAGTTTCTTGACTGCAAGTACTATTTATTATCATTCTATATCTCTTAAATTCCTGCTCAGTTTTTATGTACTTAGTAGATGCATTTCTATGTATTGATTTGAAGGTGGTCTAAGGCACAGGCTTAAGTTTAAACATCGGGGCTGATTGGGAAACAGTGAACTCAACATCTTGTAATGGTGCCCCCTTTGGTGAAAACTTCTTGCTGTGCTGAGGTTAGTGTGAAGGGCAGCAGAGGGTGATGCTGATGACCAGGAATAGGAAGATGGATTTATAAATAATGAGGGACAGTTGCCACTTTGAATCCTGAGATAGCAGGCGGGGCACCCAACTTGAGTACGGAAGGCTAGAATTTGCAGACTGACCAATGCATTCTCCTTTTATGCACTACATGGCTGCCCTTCATGCCAGAGATATTACATATTGATTTCTAGTGTGCACAAATATAAAAGAAGCTGGTTGTTTAGAATATAGCACAGAAATACCTCGTTCCCTCCAGTCCACCTGATAGCCCCGTGACAATCCTCTCTTTTTCCTACCTCTTTTCTCTTCTCCCCACAGCCCTGGAGAAAAAGTCAAGTTAAGATCAAGATTTGATGTCATGTTTCATATTTTTCCATGTGTTTTACAAGGTCTAGCATTAGTTATTCCTGAAAACATTCCCATTAGAAGGTGAGGTGATGCTATTAAACTCATTCTACTTTATAGCTCTGGAAGCAGAGGGACAGAAAGGTTAAGTGACTTGGCAGAGTTGCCCAGCAATTTGAAGGCAGAGATGCGCCTTAACTCCTGAGTGTCCTGCCTGCTGTTTAGACTGCCTGACAGGATCCTACAGAGAATGTTCAAGTGCCAAAGAATTTTCCATGTCCATGACGAGGAGGCATTTAGAATAACCCAAGGAGATAGGACCATGCATTAGCATGCAACTCGCAAACAGGTATAATTGATGGTCACTTAAATACCGAACATGTGAATGGATGAAATGGATGAAATCATAAGAAAAAGAGTTTTAAGTCTGAATCTGACAGAGGGAAGGGTATGAATGGATCGGCACACAGCAGACTCTCAACAAATGATGTAGAATGTTGCAGCAAAGGACTCAAAGTTTGGAAGCCTCGTTTTCCCCTGTTCTCTAGCAGGAAGCCCCTCCCTGAGTCGACAAGTTTTTAATGTGCTAGCCTTGGACGCGTTAGTATTCTAACTCTGTCTCTTCCTTTATGGCTTTTCATGACTCTATCTGATGACAAAGCGGCTCTTTGCCATTTAAAGGTCGAATGCCAGTAATAGAGAGATGGCTTTTTATCATCAGATGAGTGCAAGCAGAAGGGAGATGAAAACTTGGTGAATTGCGCCAAGTGCAATCATATCCCAGGATTGAGATTCCCTGAAAATATGTAATGTAACTTCAATTAACCTTTTACAAATACCTGGTCACAGAGACCGATTTATTTGAAGGTTGGTAGCTGTGTTTGGAAAGCAGTTATTTCCTGCTGAGATGGAGGAAGAGTATGATTTTATTCTACATCTGGTTCCCCAAATTAGAAATTCCCCCAAATCTCCCAGTGATAAAGAAAAGATGCCTCTGATATCCCTGAGCACAGAGTCCAGGCTGTCAGGGGCCATGCTGATGGGATCTTCTAGTCTATTGGAGAAATAAGATTTTTAAGTATTAGTTTTCTTGAAGAATTTTTAAAGGGAAATATATATATGTGTGTTACAGAATAGAATATTAATAATTACAATAGTAAAGAAAATACAGCTTTATGTTGAAGGCTATTTTATAACTTAAAAACCTTCTACATACCTAGTCTCTTTTGAAGTCTTTTGAGAAAGTATTATTTATATGTGCCTAGAGAGGCCAAGTGAATGACTCAGCGTCACCCAGATTCTAAGTGGCAGAGTTGGGATTTTGAGTTACAAGGGTTTTTAATCCAATCCTCTTTCTGCCATTGCAATGACCTCCCAGAATCATTAACAGAAGGAAGGATTTGGCTCTGCAGGAAGAAGAAAGGCCTCCTTCTTGCCTTAGAGGGTAAATTCCAAGCAATTCTGTCCTAATCAAGAGGATCTGAATGTGCCTGTTTTTCTCTGTTTCTCATCCTTCATTCCCTAAAAAAAAAAGTGAGAAATCTAGACCTTCATTAAGATACAGTCATGAGTCCCATTGGAAACCTGAATTGGAGCAATATCACAAACAAAACCAGTCCCGGGGGGACTCTTGCCATGTGTTCGGGACTTTTTTTTACTATCCTGTCATTTGTTGCAGAACTCGACCCTCACAACAATCATGGGAGGTAGGTATTATTTTCCCGAATTTATGGTAAGGAATGAGAAACTCAAAGTGGCAAATAATTCAAGATCACTCAGCTGGTAGATGGTGGGGCCTGGACAGAAACTCCAGTTGGCCAGTCCTCAAAGTCTCTGCCATTGTTGAGCACAGATTCCCAGGAAGGCAGGAAGTGAGCCAACATGGGCCAGACAGATGGAGGGGGCAGAGGTTAAAACCAGCAGCCAGGAGTGGGTCAACCTACCTGGCCAGTGGCCATCCCAGTACAGTATGACCCTCAAGGCCCCTTGGGCTTTGTCTTTTTGGGGCCCAAAGAGCTTTTTTAAAGAAAGATTTGGAACTCCCGTGGTAAGAACGTGAAATTAGGTCTTTGGAAAAGAACAGGAGGACACACTTGTTCAAAGTTCAAGTCTAAAAAACTAATAAATTATATACAAGGAATAGAAAGCCTGTTTCTTCACCTATAAATTGGGAGTAAGAGGACTACCATACAGCACTGTTGTAAGGCTCAAAACATATCAAGAATGAAAGGCCTTTGAAACTCTAACGCAGCCTATTAATATCTTCATTGTTTGTAATCCACAAATATTTTCCACCCTTCTTTTATTGCTCATTTTGTAGTCAGTATAAGGGGAGCAGGAAGAGAGTGCTTGGAGCCAAAGAGTATTATTGGAAATGCTTATCTTGTTCATAAAACCCTAGTGGCGACAATAGGGAGCATTTCCTCTCTGCGAGTTCCCTTTAATTCCAAAGCCCTCAACATCTTAGGAAGCTTTGTTCAGGGCCAACCCTCAACACTGAAGTCATTAGGCCTGTAATTTACCCCCCACTAGAACACGAGAAAATGTAATCAAATAAACATTATTGTTTTTCCTTCCTTTCTTAGCAAATTACCACCTTCCGCTTCTCTCTTCTCCCAAGCTCTACTAGCTGGGCAAGTCTGGAACTGATCTTTCCGCAGAAAAACCTTTTAAATCAAGACGTTGCCATGTGTGAGACATTCTCCTGTCCTTGAGGCCAGAAACCCCCTTCAGAAATCAGGAAATAAATTCCAGTTTGGCTCCAACTGAAGATACTCAATTGGGTTATTAAATTCTACATAGTAATTTACATGTGTGTTGTAAAATATAAATTGCCCAAACAAAATGCATCCTAATGCCACTGGGACAAATATTTAATACCTTCCCTCCCCCTGAGGGAATTCTACATATTTGCACCTTTATGGGGAGTTAGGAGGAAGAAAATGAGGGAGAAAGCAAGAAAAAGAAGCGAAGGAAAGAAAGAAAAGATAGGAAAGAACAGTTGTAGAGGGCTTGTGTTTTCTGCACACAAGACATATTATCTGGTGTGTGTGTGTGTGTGTGTGTGTGTGTGTGTGTGTGTTATTCCTAAATATATACCAGTATGCCCCATGGTTGTAGACAATTGTTCACATACGTGAATACTCCCAGATACATGAATGCTTTCTTTAATAGCCATAATGAGTACAGATTTAACCAGAGCCCAAGTCTGGGGAACAAGTTAACAAGTGAGTGATGTGCTACAGAGATTTTTGAGGTCCTGCTTTGAGAACTTAGTTTTGTTGAGATGCCAAGGCATGTAAGAGCATTTAACAAGCATGTTTCCTTTTTTCTTTGTTCTTTTCTTTCCCTGTCTTCCTTCCTTTCTTCCTGTCTTTTCCTATCCTTATTTCTTTCCATCCTTTTTTAACATCCATTATTCAATAAACAGTGAAATGAGGCCAGGCGCTGTGGTTCATGCCTGTAATCCCAGCACTTTGGGAGACCGATGCTGGTGGATCACCTGAGGTCAGTAGTTCGAGACCAGCCTGGCCAACATAGTGAAACCCTGTCTCTACCAAAAATACAAAAATTAGCCAGATGTGGTGGCACATGCCTGTAGTCCCAGCTACTCGGGAGGCTGAGGCAGGAGAATTGCTTGAACCCAGGAGGCAGAGGTTGCAGTGAGCCAAGACCATGCCATTGCACTCCAGCCTGGTTGACAGAGTAAGACTCCGTCTCAAAACAAAACAAAACAAAACAAAAACAGTGAAATTATTATCTAAATACTTTCAGCTCTTATATTCAGAGCCACTGTTGTGGTTAATACTGAGTGTCAACTTGATTGAATTGGAGGATGCAAAGTATTGATCCTGGGTTTATTTTTGAGGATGTTGCCAAAGGAGATTAACGTTTGAGTCACTGGGCTGGGGAAGGCAGACCCACCAATCTGGGTGGGCACCATCTAATCAGCTGCGAGTGAATATAAAGCAGGCAAAAAACATGAAAAGGTTAGACTGGCCTAGCCTCCCAGCCTACATCCTTTTCTCGCGCTGGGTGCTTCCTGCCCTCAAACATCGGACTCCAAGTTCTTCAGTTTTGGGACTCAGACTGGCTGTCCTTGCTCCTCAGCTTGCAGACAGCCTATTGTGGGACCCTCTGATTGTGTGAATTAATACTTAATAAACTCCTATATATATATATGGGATATATATATGAGATATCATATGCATGTATATATCTATATATATATATATATCCTATTAGTTCCATCTCTCTAGAGAATCCTGACTAATACAGCCACACAATTGTACATTCAAAGTTTGTCTATTTCTACTTTAAAATGGCTAAGATAGAGACTTATTTTAGTAAGTTTCTCACTTCCTAATTCTTCACCTTTGCTTTTCTGTACAACATAGGGCAAAGGATTAGCCATCAGTTTTTAGTGCTCTGAGGCAAACCTTCCAGGGCAGCTTGTCCAGAATCCCACAAATAACACCAGGTGATTTAGTTGTGATTCCAACACTTCTGTCTTAGCCATATAGATCTGAATGGCCTGAAATTTCCACTTGGCCAGACAAAAAGTATGTATTCTACTCTCCTGGAATGGTGGAATAGCAGATGACCAGATTTGCACTTATAATTCATGTAGGGAGATAAAACCTACCTACATACTCAAATTATATAACTTTAATGTGACCCTAGGCTGATATTTTTCACAAATTATCTCATTTAATTTTCCCCAAAGCTCCATGAGGTGGATGTTAATAGCTGTATTTACAAATGAAGAAACAGAGGCTCAAACAAGGTGGTTTGCTGCTGACGGTATAGCTAGTCAGTATTTGTGTCTGGAACATAGTATGTGCTCAATATTTGCTAAATGAACGAATGATCAAACAAAAGGCAAGTCTTCCTGATTCAGAAACCTGTCATTTTTCAGTGACACCATGATGTCTCGATGAATTTTTAATGTAAAATTGTGTGGTTCTGATGGTAAGTATTGCAGGCATGTAGTCAAGTGTTTCATTGTTTGTTGAATAAACCATCTATTCCCCACAATTTTGAAAAGACATCTTTATTACATGCTAAATTATCATCCAGTAAACAACCACGTGTTAAGAAACTACAGTGCAATGGTATTAACCACTGGAATTTAAAGATGACTTCTGACTGCTGGAATTGTATATCCTGGTAAGGGGTGTGATTTTTAACAATGCATGAGGTATTGGAATCAAATTACTGTGGGGTGGGACTGGGGTACAGCAGGACTATAATGCATGCACATCTTGGCTGGGCTTTACCTATGTAGAGGTGGTCTATATAGGTAACATACAGACTCTACCCATATCTCTCATCTGGGTCACTCCCTGCCATTCTTCCAAACCCTATGTCTACACAGGCCAGCCTGAGAATCACTGCCAATGAGGCAAACCTCCAAGGCAGCTTGTCCAGAATCCCACAGCCACTGTCAGTACTTCTTAGGCTGCCCTGTGTAGGTACACAGTGTGGAAGACTGGCAGGGAGTAATTCGGACAGGCATGATCAAGACCCTTGGTTTCTGAGCTATTCCAAGTGATAGCTCCCACTTCCAATATGGAGAATGCTGTAGACCAATGCTTCCCCAACTTTATGTGCACAAAAACCACATGGTATCTTGTAAATTTAGATCCTGATTCAGTCAGTCTGGAGGAGAGCTGAGATTCTGCATTTCCAGCAAGCTCCCAGGTGATGTAGATGCTGCTGGAACATGGGTCTCACTTTGAGTAGCAAGGCCATGGATGGCTAAGCACATAAAATCATTCAGCCATACCCTGTCATTTTATTTGCATTTGTTTGAGTTTTTTTCAGGGGTGCAAAGTATCAGCTCAGTAATAATCTTTGCTTTGCAACACGTTATCACTGATTCAGGCATAGCCTGCCTTTCTTTTTTCCTCCCTTTTATTCTTCCTTTATTCATTCCTTTCTTAACTTATAATAATATAATAAGCATCCATGATCCCATCCTCCCAGCACAAACTAGGATATGAGCAGTAGCCTACAAATAGCCATGTGATTCTCCAGTCTTTGCTTTCCCCACCTGAGGTAGCCATCATCCTGAATCCTGCATTCATCATGGCCTTCCTATCTTTTTTTATGCAGATTTATTGTACCTAGATATAATTCTAAGATTACTATGAATATGTATAAATATATACACTTATAGCTTTATAAAAAGGATACCAAGCTATATGTAATCTTTATGGACTCACAATTTTTACTTAATAATATATTGCTAAGATACATCCAGATTGTTGAATGTTGCTACAGTCATCAATTTTGGTAGTTATATAATATTCCATTGCATCAATATAGCATTTCATTCATCTACTTTCTCTTAATGGATGTTTGCATTATTTCCTTGTTGTTGTTTTGCTATGGTAAACAGTGCCACTAAGAACTTAAGAACTTGTTTATTTCTGCTGCATGCTTAATTCTCTTACGTGTACTCCTAAGAGCGGAACTGGTGAGTTATTTGGTACATAATATTTTTAACTTTGGGAACTAATGTCTCAAAATAATTGTACCTCATAGAACTCAAGGATCTATATTTTTTTCCAGCACTTGATACTATTAGTCTTATAAATTGGAACTATTAGTCTTATAAATTTTTGCCAATCTAATGAGTATAAGGTGATAACCTACTATACTCTTGACTAGCATTTCCCTGATCACTAATGATGTCAAATATCTTCAACATATTTATTGGTTATGTGTAAAATTTCTACTTATGACTTTTGTCCATCTTTCTATTTTACTCTCTTATTACTTATTTGATTAGTCATTTATTCTTTTTAAAAATGGTGACAGGGTCTTGCTATGTTGCCCACGCTGGTCTCAAACTCCTAGGCTCAAACAATCCTCCCACATAGGCCTCCCAAAGTGCTGGGATTACAAGTGTGAGCCACCACACCCAGCCAGTTATTTATTCTTGATACTAATGTTTTGTTTCTGTGTTTTGCAAATATTTTCTCATAGTTTGTAAATAATTGTTTTCCTTTTAAATCATCTTTTAGTGTACAATCCTTTTTTATTTTAAGTTAGTCAAATTTGCCAGTCTTTTCTTCTATGCTGTATGATTTTTATGCCTTATTTTTAAAAATTATGTTTATCCCAAGGTCAAAATAATATTTATTCATATTATAATTTCTGCTAAGTATTTGAAAGTTTTATTTTGTTATTTGAACCCTTGAGCTATTTCAGGTTGACTTATGTATATGGTGTGAGGGATGCATTATTATTATTATTTTTTAGTTTGGATAATAAGTTTTTTCTCCCCCTTTCATCACTAATTTGACATGTCACCACCCTTAACACCAAAACATCATGCTTATGTGGGCTGATATCTAAGTTTTCTATTCTATTCCATAGATCAATTTGTCTATTCTGGTGCCAATACTATATTGCTTCAATAATTATTATTTAATAAGAAGCCATATGCCATAAAGCAAGTTCCTCCTCACTGCTTGTCTTTACAAAATTGTCCTAATAATTAGTGGCTTTTTATGCTATGTAAAATGACAGAATTTTTCTTCAAATAATGACAGGTTTTCCTCCATATTTTAAAGTTTTATGCCTCAATTGTTTTTATTGCAGTGGCTAGAACCTTCAATACAATGTTGAATACTAGTGTGCATCCACGTAACATTTCTTATTTTGGAAAAATATGTCTAATGTTTTTCCATTTCATATATTTGCTGTAGGAGTTTTATGCTAATGTTTTATACATTTAAAAAGACTGTTTTTATTCCTATATAACTAGTCCTTCTTTTTTATTTCAACAGGTTTTGAATTTGTATCTTTTTTTCTGTATTCTGCATTTGTTGAGATTACAATTTTTCTCTTTGAATGTACTAATTTTTAATAATAATTTCATATAAGAAAATTTATAACTGTAGCAGTTACTGTTATAAATTTATAACTACTACAGTTATCAATTTTCTTCTATCAAATAATTATTGTGTAGACTGAGACTATTTCTACATAGTTCTAGTGCTTTATGCTTTTGTATAGTGTTGCATTGAATTACAAACTCTTTGTTTTAACTTTTTATCTAATTTGTGAATAAAATAATCCTGTAATTCTCATTTTATTTCATGTAATGTCTGTCTGGTTTTGTATTGGGATATGTCAGATTAAAAAAATGATTTGTGGAATATTCTCTGTTTTTATTTCATGTATATAATTTTCATCATTTTACCTATGATCTTTGATGTACCCTTATGCATAGATATATCTCTTATAAACAACCTGAATCTAGGTTTTATTTATTTTCAAATCTGCCAAATCTTTGGTGTTTTTAACTGATGACTTCAGTTGTTAAATAGTAATTGTTGTTATATTTGGGATTATTTCTACCAACTTAATTTATTATTTTATTCTGTTCCATTTTTCCTATGTTACTTTCAATCATTTTTACTTAATAATAAATGATGTCTATATTTCTAGCCTAGCAATCAGGAACTTTAGTACATTCTCTTATTCTCTGGTCTCTTTCCTGAATCTCTTGATATCATGTGAATGTCTAAACTTTTATTTGTAAGTTATTGTAGTAAATTTTTTTCTTCTTGGTATTAGTTTTCTTTGTTAAAAAAAGGATAAGAAATTTTATCAAGGTATTTGACCATCTTTTTGTTGTCAAATTATCTCTTGTAATATTTTTTATTGTCTATTCCCACTGTTGGAAAAAAATCATCCAGGGCCAGGCGTGGTGGCTCACACCTGTAATCCCAGCACTTTGGGAGGCCGAGGGGAGCAGAAAACCTGAGGTCAGAAGTTCAAAACCAGCCTGGCCAACATGGTGAAACCCTGTCTCTACTAAAAATACAAAAAATTAGCTGGGTGTGGTGGCAGGCACCTGTAATCCCAGCTACTCAGGAGGCTAAGGCAGGAGAATTGCTTGAACCTAGGAGGTGGAAGTTGCAGTGAGCTGAGATTGTGCCATTGAACTCCAGCCTGGGCAACAAAAGTGAAACTCCGACACAAAAAAAAAAAAAAAAAATTATCCCAAAGAGTTTTTAATGTGAGTCTCAGAAAGGCAAAGTTTCTGAGACCCTATATACCTAAGAATATTTTATATCACTACCTCTTAATTGAGTGACCATTTGGCTGGCTATAAAATTGGAGGTTCAGACATCTGCCAGATGGTAGAATAGAAGGTTCCCAGCTCACAGCCTCCCACACAAGCAGTGATTTGGCAGCCATCCATGGAAAAAAAGTACCTTTGTGGGAGCATTAGAATATAGATAGGAGGTTGAAAAACGGCAGTAAAACCAGAGACCAGGGAGAGCTGCTTTGAGAATGCAGAGCAAAGCCCTGGTGTCAGACTTGCTGAATATTATCCCAGCATCAGATCAAAAGCAGCCCCTCCTCTCTATGGACTTGATTTCAACCTCACTTGGCCATGGCCTTGCAACCAGCATATTTTCCAAGGGACCCAAGAGGAGTCATACTCGTCCATGCCTCTGGTAACAAGCCTGCTTGCCACAGACCTGACTACAGATCCTGAAGTGGCTCTGACCTGATTCCATCCCCACTATATTGCCAGTCTGGTATGAACCCTGCCCTCACAGGAAACTGGGAGAAGCCATTTATATCTGTGCTCTCAGTA
Organism: Homo sapiens; assembly: GCF_000001405.40. NCBI lineage: Eukaryota > Metazoa > Chordata > Mammalia > Primates > Hominidae > Homo > Homo sapiens. Next base: position 14,657,479 of record NC_000017.11, on the reverse strand, counting down.
ACAGGCCCACTGGGATGTGGACCTGACTGCAAATCCTGAAGCTGCCCTTTGATCTGGCTCCAGCCCTCCTCTCAGTCCTACCCACCAAAGAACCCACTGATGCCCATTGTCCCCCTGCTAATAGGCCTGCAAAACTCAGTCCTGGCTATAGACCCTGAAGTTTTCCTGAGACTCAGTTCCAGCCCTACTCTTCTGCAGTCCAAGGGCAGTCCTGTCTGTTCAGGGAACTGGTGGGACATATGCACATCTAAGCCCACAGAGCCAGGCTGCTGATGTTGGTCTTGACTCTGGGACCTGAAGCAGCTTTGTGACCCACCTCCAGCTCTGCTCTACCACAATGACAGAGGCAATCCTACCCACCGAGGGACCCACACAGGGACTTATCAGGAACCATACCCTTCTGTGCCCCTAGTAATAGGTACACTGTCTGCAGACGCAACTGTATACCTGGAAACAGCCCCATGACTGGCTCCAGCCCTGCTTGCCCATGGTCCAGGAGACAGCCCTATCCACTTGGGATCTGGAAGGAATCATGCCTGCACAAGACTTCAAATACAGGCCTGCCAAATGTGAAAGCAACTATGTACTGTGCAACAGCCATGTGGCCCAGCTTTAGCCATGTTCAATTCTGGGAGGCAGTCTCATCAGTCCAGGGACCTGGTAGAAGGAGGTTTTACTACTAAAACCAGTCTGTAAAGACAGGAAGTGGCTGTTTGTTCTCTCAAATGCATAAAAATCAAATGAAGGCTATACACACCATGAAGAATCAGGAAATCATGACACTACCAAAGGAAACTAACGAAGCTCCAGTAACCAACACCCCAAAATGGAGACCTGTGAATTGACTAACAAAGAATTTAAAATGATTGTCTGAAGAAAGATCAGAAAGCTATGAGACAGCACAGAGAGAAAACACTCAGTGAAATAAGGGAAACAATACATGAACAAAATTAGGTTCAACAAATATATAGAAATTAAAAAGAACCAATTAGAAATTCTGGAGATGAGGAATGCAGTGAATAAAATTAAAAATGCAATAAAGAACATCAGCAGCAGACTTCATCTAGCAGAAGAAAGAATTTGTGAAGTCAAAGACAGATCATTTAAAATTATCTAGTCAGAGGAGAAGAAAGAAAAAAAGAATGAAAAAATGAAGGAAGTCTATGGGATTTACGGAACACCATTAAGAGAACTAATATATGCATTACAGAATTCCTTGAAAAATCAGGGAGAGAAAGGGGTACAAAAATCTCATAATAGAAATAATGCTTGAAAAATCTCTCAAATCTGTGAAAGATGAACATCTAGGTACACGAAGCTCAAGGTTCAACAGATTTGACTCAAAAAGAACTTCACCAAAATGCATTATAATCATGTTGTCAAAAATCAAAGACAAATAATTTTGAAAGAAACAAGAGAAAAGGAAACCATCACATAAAGGAGAGCCCCCACGAAGCTATCAGCAGATTTCTCAGCAGAAATCTTGCAATAGAAAGGAGAGTGGAATGATATATTCAAAGTGCTGAGAGAAAATAAAATACCAACCAAGAATATTTTACCTGGCAAAGCTGTCCTTCAAAAATAAAAGATAAAGAATCCCAGACAAAAAAAAAAAAAAAAAAAAGCGAAGGGAGGTCATCACCTCTATACCTGACTTATAAGAAATGCTAAAGGGAGTTCTTCAAGCTAAAATGAAAGGGTGCTAATTAGTAACGTAAAAACATGTAAATATATAAAACTCACGGGTAAAGGTAAGTACATAATCAAATTCAAATAATACCGTAATTGTGGTATGTAAATCACTTTTTTTCTTTTTTTTGAGATGGAGTCTCACCCTCACCAGGCTGGAGTGCAATGGCACGATCTCGGCTCACTGCAACCTCCGCCTCCCGGGTTCAAGCATTTCTCCTGCCTCAGCCTCCTGAGTAGCTGGGATTACAGGTGTGCACCTCCACACCCAGCTAATTTTTTTTTGTATTTTTAGTAGAGATAGGGTTTCACCATGTTGGCCAGGCTGGTCTCGAACTCCTGACCTTGTGATCCACCCACCTCGGACCCCCTAAGTGCTGGGATTACAGGCGTGAGCCACCGCGCATGGCCCTGTAAATCACTTTTAACTGTGGTATAAAGATTAAACTAAATTAATAAAAGTAAAAATAACCACAACAATATGCTTATGGATACACAATGTAAAAAGATGTAAATTATGACAGCAAAACAAAGTGACAGTGTGTGTGTGTAAATAAAGTGTAGAGTCTTTTTATGTAACCAAAGTTAAGTTGTTAGCTTAAAATACTGTTATAACTATGAAATGTTTGGTGTAAACCTTATGATTACCATAAGGTTACTACAAAGAAAAAACCTATACTGGATACACAAAAGATAAATAGAAAGCAATCAAAGCATACCACAACAGAAAATCCACAACAGAAAATAGCAAGGAGGACGAAAGGAACAAAGAAACTGCAAAATATTCAGAAAATAATGAACAAAATGGCAATAATAGTCCTTATCTATTGGTAATTATTTAAAAAGAAAATCAATTAACCCTTCAATAAGAAAACATAGAGTGGCAGAATCAATTTTTTTAAAAGAAGCAAGACACAACCATATGCTGCTTACAAGACTCCCACTTCAACTTGAAGGACACACGTAGACGGAAAGTAAAGGGATAGAAAATATGCAGATAAAAAACAAAAAGGAGCAGGGTAGCAATACTTATGCAAAATAGACCTCAATCAATAATTTTCACAAGAAGCAAAGAAGGTCATTATATAATGATAAAAGAGTCCATTTATCAAGTTGATATAACAATTATAAAGATATAGGCACCCAACATTAGTCCACTTAAATATATAAAACAAATATTAACAGATCAGAAGGGAGAAATAGCAATTCAATAATATGAGGGAAATTAAATATGACACTTTCAGCAAAGGATAGATTATCCAGAAAGAAGACTAATATGGAAATATTGGACTTGAACTACATTTTAGACCAAATAAATCTAAGAGACATATACAGAACATTCTGTTCAACAGCAGAAGAATACACATTCTTCTCAATGCACATGGACCATTCTTCAAAATAGATCATATGTTAGTCCACAGAATAAGTCTTTTTTTTTTTTTCTTTTGAGATGGAGTTTTGCTCTTGTTGCCCAGGCTGGAGTGCAGTGGCCCGATCTTGGCTAACCGCAACCTCTGCCTCCTGGGTTCAAGCAATTCTCCTGCCTCAGCCTCCCAAGTAGCTGGGATTACAGCATGTGGCACCACACCCAGCTAATTTTGTAAAAATAAGTCTTAACAAATTTAAAAAGACAGAAATTTCATCAAGTATCTTTTCTTACCACATGGTATAAAACTAGAAATCAGTAACAGGAAGAAAACTGGAAAATTTATGAGTATGTTGAAATTAAACACACCTGAAGAACAAATGAATTGAAGAAAAAACTAAAAAGGAAAACTTTTCAAAATCTTAAGACAAATAAAATGGAAATGCAGCAGTCCAAAACTTATGGAATGCAGCAAAAGCAGTTCAAGGAGAGAATTTTGTAATGAAAGAATTTTATATTATGAAAAAATGAAGATCTCAAATAAACAATCTAACTTTCTACCTCAAAAAATTAGAAAAAGAAGAAGAAACTAAGTCCAAAGTTAGGAGAGGGAAAACAATAACTAAGACCAAAGAAGAAATAAATGAAAAAGAGACTAAAAAAGTAATAGAAAAGATCAGTGAAACTGAGAGTTGGCTTTCTGAAAAATTAAACTTGACAAACCTTTAGCTAGACTAATTGAGAAATAAGGGAGAAGACTAAAATAAATTAAAGCAGAAATGAGAGAGGAGACATTATAACTGATACTACAAAAATACAAAGGATCATAAGGCTACCATAAATCTTGTATTATATACATATGGATATCTATCTATCTATCTATCTATCTATCTATCTATCTATCTATCTTTCTATCTGTTTATACTAGTTTTACGTATATACACATAGTGGAATGCTATTCAGGTATAATAAAAGGAAATCTTGCCATTTGAGACGATAGAATGAACCTGAAGTCATGATGCTAAGTGAAATAAGCCAGATACAAAAATACAAACACTGCATGATCTCACTACGTGTGAAATCTTAAAAAAAAGCAGAGTAGTATAGTGGGACTGAGACTGGACAATGGGAGAAATAGATGTTGGACAAAAGGTACAAACCTTCAGTTATTAGATGAATAAGTTCTGGAGACAATGTATAGCATGACGACTTTAGTTAATAATCATAAATTTTATACTTGAAATTTTCTAAGAGTGTAGACACATACACACACAGAGGTAACTGTGTGAGGATGTGTTAATTAGCCTGACTGTGGCAATCATTTCACAATGTATATGTATATCAAAACATCACATTGTATACCTTAAATATATTCAATTCTTATTTGTCAGTCATACCTCAATTGAGCTGGAAAAAATGAAATAAAATGTGATATTCTAAGTTTTCTTTCTTTAAGTCTTTCTAAACTTCCCTCTATTGTTTTTTGTTTCTAGTGTTGCTGTTGGAAAGTCCGATGTGAATCTTTTTTTTTTTTTTTAGATAGAGTTTTGCTCTTGTTGCCCAGGCTGGAATGCAATGGCGCGATCTCAGCTCACTGCAACCTCTGCCTCCTGAATTCAAGTGATTCTCCTGCCTCAGCTTCCAGAGTAGCTAGGACTACAGGTGTGTGCCACTATGCCTGGCTAATTTTGTATTTTTAGTAGGGATGGAGTTTCACTGTGTTTGTCAGACTGGTCTCGAACTCCTGACCTCAAGTGATCCACCTGCCTTGGCTTCCCAAAGTGCTATGATTAGGGGAGTAAGCCACGGTGCCTGGCCTCTGATATCAATCTTATATCTTTATATTAATCATCTCTTTCTCTCTGTAAGAGTTTTAGGTTCTTTTTCTTTATGTTATTAGATTACCTTACAGTGTATCTAGGCATGAGGTTTCTCATATATCTACTCATTGATTCCATTCTCTTTTTAATTCAGGAAAAATTTCTTTCTCACTTTTCAAAGTTTTTGTTTTACCTCTCATTTGTTAAAAAAAAAGTCTCTCTATTTATGGGATGTCTATTATCTGGGTTTTAACAGTTCACCTCTCTCCCCCGTATATCATGGCTTTTCTTGATATTTTAAGTTTCTTTTTATTTTTCTTCTTCCATCTTGGAGATTTCCTCAATCTCTTCCTTTTTCTGCTATTTATTTAATTTGCTATTTGCCTTATTTTTGCTATTTTAGTTTTTCCATCTAATATTTCTTCTTAGTTTTGTTCTGTGTTTTCTCGTGGGTTTTTTTGTCCATGTTGCAAGCACATAGCTAAAAGGGTTGCCTATCATTTTTTTTGGTACTAAATGACTATAGTAGTTAACTATCCCCCCATCTGTTCTTTTTCGGCTTTCACGAGTGCAGGACTTTAACGTTGCCCTAATGTCACTCCTGAGGACTCCTGGATGAGAGATCAAAATATAGAAGGGGTGGTGGCAGGTACTAGTTTGTCCGAAGGCATTGGAAATGAAGAAGCAAGAGACGAGTTCTAGTAAATCTTTCCTGTTTTAACCTTTCTCAGTCAGCTACACACACACATACACACACACACACACACACACACACACACACACACACACTTCTTCCCCCAGAGTTTATTACAGCTTTGTTCCCTTTCTTGTATTTTCCCTCTTTGGTCTCTACCAGATAACTCTTGGCAAAGAGGGCCGGCAGTTGTTTGAGTCCAGCATCTTGGCTAGACACAGAACTGGACCCTCAAAGTTATTACCTTCAACTTCTTCATTTTATAGTTGAGGACGCTAAACCCTAGGGAAACCGAATGAATGACACAGAGCCTGTGAGTGGTAGATATCAGTACTACCTCCTGCCCTAGTAGTCCACTTAAGACCAAAGTCACCTGCCTTTACAATGATACTGAGAATTCATGTAATGTTCAATCAATTAATATAGCAAACTCAATATTGCAAAAATATTAATGGGCCTGACTATAATTCACTTGGTCTACTCTGAAAGTGCATGTTTCTTTTTTAAATATTTTATAGCTTTCAAGGGTATTAACTCCAGCCCAATGAAAAAAAATATGAGGAAAACTGCAACATACCACTGAAATAGATTTCTATGAAACATCCTGAGTAATAGTAACAGACTAAAGACTAGACCAGCAGCAATAGTAAGTGCTTCTGACCTTCCTAACTAGCAATGCCCTAAGCAGGCTCTCCAGTGTTCATGGGGGTACAACCAGCCATTTAGGGTCTACAGACTATTTGACAGCAAGCTGTGTTTCTCTCTGGGAAGAAAACCAAGTTTGGGATTAGCTAAGTGCTAACTGAAATGGCAAGGTTGATCTCTTTGCTAAGATCTTGAGTCCTTATGTCTGAACATTGTCCCCCTTACCTGAGAGAAGCCAAGCCACGGAGAAAAATGTGTCCCAGGAAGGGGAATATAAATATGATTCCTATTAAAAAATACCCAAGCTTGCCTGAAGGATCCAACAACGAATGCCCTATCTATGAAACTGAAAAAGAAAAGCTGGGGATCAGGCATCCATATCCGCTAAGGAGGAAACATACATTCTTGTCATAGGTAACATTCAGTCCCTTAAGAACTAAGAGATATGCCCTTAGGATTTAGTCCTTTGTTTTGCAACAGTCCCCTCTCTACACTCTCTGTGGAAACACCAATGAAGGATGAACCTCTCCCTGGTCCTGAGATGGGAACCTGCTTACCCAGCCTAGTCTCCTGTGACCTGACCTTTGGGCTCTGACCTCCTCTTACAGTAACCCAGCATTGCCCAGTGGTGACATTTCCCCATCCTGTTCACCTGCCTAATGAACAGCCCCAGACCAGAACCCCAGACAGAGAATCTAAGAAGAACATGAACTTTCTGCACATTTGCCTGGTAAAAAACAAATTCTTTCAAATAACCAGTCATCTCAGGCTTTGGTGGCAGAGTTTTGAGAGTGCATGGTAAACTTCTTTCTCTTATTCATCTATATAATATAGATTTCATAGTATCTTAAGGTTGGAAGGACTAAAGTCATCTAGTCGAATTTTGTCCTTTTATGTATGAATCAATGGAGATCGAGGGTGATTAAATCATGTATCCAAGGTAGCATCAGTATTAAGAAATGGATCAGAGACTTGGGCCTATGTCTGGAATGTTTTCCTCCAACAGATGGTCCCTCTGGTTTCTATCTTATTCACAGAGCTGCTCACCCTCTTCTCCCTGCTCTTACCAATTGCTCTGATCTCTTTCCACATTTCCTTCTGCATCCCACACTCAAGCCCATGGGCAGGCTGGATCCATAAGAAGACCCTGCCCAAGAGGAGGAGAAATATCAATAACAATTTATATGCATCTGGCATCATCTACTTGTACTGCTATTTTCTAGGCCCATCTCCGATTTGCACTTCCACAGGAGGGAGATGCAAGTATGACCAACAGAGATCCAGATGAATGTCTTCAAAGTTGTTTCCATGCATGCATTTATTCAAGACACTCTGAACACCTACTTTGTGCTAAGAACCATGTGGGGTGCAATGGCTGCTTCTGAGGAGTAAATTTAGAGGTGATTTAGATAAGTAAATGAATAATTTAAACAAATGAAGTGGTATATTCACATCAAAGAAGCAAAAAAGAAAGAAACTACAAATAAAACACACATGATTATCAAAAATAAAAAAATATACAGAGCTTAGGGATCAAACACTCACAATTGCTGAAGGGAAAACACCATAGGATTCCATTTATATGAGGTTGCAGAAAAGGCAAAACTCAATTATAATGACAGAAAATAGATCATGAGCTATCTGGGTGGAAGAAGGGGGAAGGTAGGAGACTGGCCGGGAAAGGGCCTGAAGAGAACTTTCTGGAATGATGGAGGTGATCTATATCTTGTTTGGGGTTATAGTTACATGTATGTAAACATTTGTGAAAACTCAATAAACTCTACACTTAACACATGCATTTTACTTCATGATAAAATACCTTAAAAGTCAATTATAAAAACAATTGTGAAATATGTGCTGATTGAGCACTTAGTTTTATAGATATTTATGAGTTTCCTATGATTTTTATATTAGGGAAAAGTATGGAGTGGTGAGAATGCTCTTTCTTCCATTGAATCACATGCTTTGATAAGATCTTCTATTCCTACCTCCCCAATTGACATGAAAATCAGGCAAGAGAGGTAAATGGACTTACACAAAGTCATTAGGAATGACTCAGGGAATAAGCCAGAACATCCTAAGGATCCCATTTACACCTGGTTACTTGGCACCTGTTCGCTGCAGGTCTTGCAGTGATTTGTTGCTGCTCTCTTTAGCTCAGATGCTGTTGAAACCAGCAACCCTGTGCTGTCCCAGAACACAACATACAACAGTGAAAGAAGACCTATTACATGGAAAGATCTAAATGAAGTCACATTGTCATCGTCGTCATTATTATCATCATCACCATCATGGATTCTTAAGCAAATACTATAAAAACTCAATCTAATGTGAACTGGGACTTTCAGTAATGTAAATGGGCAGAGTAAACAAAATTTATTCAATGAAAACTCCCTTTTAAAAGTCGTCATCAAATAAATTATAGAAGTAAAGGTTTCCATGCTGAAATAAGCTTAAAGCTCCAGATAACAAAGTCTCAGAATATAGCAAATGAAGTTTACAATAAGAAGAGGGTCTATCTACACATAGGCCCTCTGGTGAACTTTTTCATTTTAAGAATTACTGTGACATCAGCAAGATGGAGAAATAGAAAGCTCTAATAGAAAGTGCCTAACTTTTCCTCCTCCCCCAAAGGAAAAAATACTGTCATCAGATTTCTCCTCTTTATACTAAATTCTAGAAAATAATGAGAATAAGGGATGCATGGAGGTGGACAATAATTTAAGAATTCTATGTTCAACCTAGCTGTCATTCATTTGGAAGGAAACAAAGAGAAGTTCTCAGCAATGCAAGCTCTCAAAGGTACCCTACACTCTACCCTACCCTACCCACCCATCCCCCAAAATTATTTGGAAGAAAATTACCCAAATAACTTAATATTGAATAAAAAGAAAGAAATCAATTTTGGAGAAGACATCGCATAAAATAAATTGTGGAGAGAAATCAATCAGAAAAACAGCTGGTGATGAAATAAAATAATTATTGTTGACATGCTGATGAAACATTATGAAAGTCAAAAGAATTACTGAAAGAGAATATTTATAAACATCATCATGATGATCTGGATTTAAAAATTATTCCAACCAACAATGGATAATTTGCTAAAATGGGAAAAGTTTGAGCCAGATTTAACAGGCATTATTTTATTCTTGATGCTGTTAGAGAGGTAGATGTTTCTTTATTTTTCTAAACAAGCGTAGCCACTGTTAGAAATACAACTGGATATGTAACTTCCAGGTCACCACGGGATAAATGAATGTGCTGTTTGATGTGCTTGTCACTATCTTAAGTGCACTGTGCATGTCCATTCATTAATCATTACAGTAGTGTGAAGTAGGAGCTACTGTTATTATTCCTATTTACAGATATGGAAACTGAGGGAGGTTGACTTCCCAAGATCTTACAACTAGTAGGTGGAGAATTGGAATTCAAACCAAGCAGTCTGACTCAAAGTACGTGCCCTTAACCAATATATTGCAGATGTTTAAGCAACATTGGAAAATACAACTGAAAAAAAAAAAAAAAAGAGGAGAGAAGGAAAGGGGGGAAATCGAAAGAAAACAAAAACAAAGAAAGCTGTAAGGAGGTGTTTTTAAATGCACAAAATAAATTAGTGATTACAAAAAAGAAAGAAGGGGGGAGAAGTAGGAGAAGGAAAGGAGGGAGGATGAGGTCTTTAATTCCTCCAGTAAGAGATAAAAAAGATTGATTTATTTAAAAATTCTATCTTGGCCAGGCGTGATGGCTCACACCTGTAATCCCAGCACTTTGGGAGGCCGAGGCAGGTGGATCACGAGGTCAGGAGATAGAGACCATCCTGGTTAACATGGTGAAACTCCATCTCTACTAAAAATACAAAACATTAGCCGAGCGTGGTGGTGGGTGCCTGTAGTCCCAGACACTCAGGAGGCTGAGGCAGGACAGTAGCGTGAACCTGGGAGGCGGAGCTTGCAGTGAGCCGAGATTGCGCCACTGCACTCCAGCCTGGGCGACAGAGCCAGACTCCGTCTCAAAAAAAAAAAAAAAAAAAAAACTTAATTATATCTATGCAATTTCTACACTTTACCTGAAATGATGCAATGTTAACTCTAAGTAAACTGTGAAAGTTAAGAATCTATATTATAACTCCACAACTACCAAAAATATAATGCAAAATTTCTAAAGAGCTAATACATGAATTAAAATGGAATATTTACAAATGTATTTAAACAATCTAAAAGAAGGTATAGAGGAGAAAAAAGGAACAACAACAACAATAAAAAACTCAGAGAGGATAAACAAAAAACAAATAATGAAATGGTAGACTTCAATAAACTCCAATTAAGAGTCAGAATTTGTCAAAATGGTTAAAACAGCAAGACCCAACTAAATAGAGATTATAAAAGACATACTAAGACATGGTTAGGTTAAAACTAAATAGATGAAAATGGATGAAAGTGGCATACGGGGCACACGATAAGCACACAAAGACTGCATTGCCTGTACTAAATCAGAAATAAGACTTCAAGAAAAAGAGCATTGCCAGTAATTAAGAGAAATATTGATGATAAAAGACTTTATTCCTCAGGAAGACATAGGAATCATTAATGGTTTACACCTAATGACGAGCTTGAAACTACAAAAAACAAACATCGACAGAATTAAATTGAAGGAAGAAATAGATAATTTGGTAAAATATACCTAGGAAGTTTTAACAGCATTTCTCAGCAATTGATAGGTTACCTAGACAAAAACAAAAACAAACCAACAAAAAAAATCCCACGCAATCATAGAAAATGCATAGAAAATCTGAGCAACCACCTTTCAGTCAACATTTGTCACTCATTGGTTGCCATCTGCAGTGCCATGCTGTGAAGGATAAAGATGGTGAGTTCACACTCAAGAGGAAAGATTTTCAATTGATGCTGTCTGCCAGGGACATAGAGTACCAGGGAAGAAGAGGACCCTGACCAGTGACTTCCTTAACCCTGGTCGTGCATTAGCATCACCTGGGGAGTCTTTTTTTTTTTTTTTTTTTTTTTTTTTTTGAGACGGAGTCTTGCTCCGTCGCAGGCCCAGGCTGGAGTGCAGTGGCGCGATCTCGGCTCACTGCTAGCTCCGCCTCCTAGGGAGTCTTTTAAAAATATCAATCCCTGGGCCGGGCGCGGTGGCTCACGCCTGTAATCTCAGCACTTTGGGAGGCTGAGGCAGGCGGATCACGAGGTCAAGAGATTGAGACCATCCTGGCTAACACGGTGAAACCCCGTCTCTACTAAAAATACAAAAAAAATTAGCCAGGCGTGGTGGCGGGCACCTGTAGTCCCAGCTACTCGGGAGGCTGAGGCAGGAGAATGGCATGAACCCAGGAGGCAGAGCTTGCAGTGAGCCGAGATGGCGCCACTGCACTCCAGCCTGGGCGACAGAGCGAGACTCCACCTAAAAAAAAAAAAAAATACCAATCCCTGGACCTTTCACCTAGAGATTTTGCTGTAATTCATCTGTGGTGTGGCCCAAACATTGGTATTTTTCTAAACTCTCCAGATGATTCTAATCAGTAGTATAGGTTAGAAAGCACTGTCTTAAACTGTAGGGAGGTTAACACTCCTATATTGATTAAAGAAATGTAAATTATGTATTTTTTATGTATATATAATATATATGAACCTTAAATACATCATTTTATTAATAAATCTCATTTCTAGGGAAATAATCATTTACCCATATAATTTGTGATCAAGAGTATTTTTTGCAGCTTAATTTATAATAGAAATAAATAGATTCATATACACATAGGGTGATTGATAGAAAGCTACATGTGTACAAAAACAGATTTTTTTTCACTATTTCAATAGGTTTTTGGAGCACAGGTGGTGTTTGGTTACATAGATATAGATAAATAATTGGGTGGATGGAAGGTAAGAGAGAAGAAAGGGGGAAAACCTAATTGTTTAATAATATGGAATTGATTAAATAAATAAAATAAAGGTAAAATGAATATTTTTTAATAAATGATGTTGATGTCTACTTCACATAAAATATGGGCATAATAAGGTAAATAAAGGGAATTAGGTTGCAAAGCATACGTAAAATATTCCATTTTTGCAAAATATATGTGTACCTATAGAGAGAAAAAGTCTTAAAGACTGTGCTTCAAATTGTCAACCATATTTATCTAAAAGTGGTGGTATTTTTGTGAATTTTAATGATGTTCTTTTTGTTTCTAATTTGTGTAAAAGGCGTACTCATTTTTGTGTATGCGTAATGAAACAAAACCTGGAGGTGGGGGAGCGGAACAAGAACTCTCCCTGATTACAGTCCTCACTCTAATGCGGATAGCCTTTCATCTAGGCAGCTCTAATCCTTGAAACAGGGTCAAATGGATTATTATTCATGCTATTGAAGGAATTAAGAAATTAGCTCCCTGAAGGGTGTGGAAACTGCTCCATTATCCTAGTGAAAAACAAACAAGGGAGGTTCCCTTTGATCCATGGGTGCCCAGTTCTTTCAGCCTTTCCTGGGTGGATCTGGAAGGCACCCATTAGAGAGGGTGAGGCCAGCTTGTACCCACCTGCTGTCCTTTCCAAGGTGTGGCTGGGAGTGTGGGAGCTGTCCAGATCTACCCCCAATTATCCTTCCACTCCAAAAAAGTTGATACACCTTCTTCCACTTGGAAGGCATCTGGGCAGGACCAACTGGAAGACATGGAAAGAAAGCAAAGTCTGTTTGGGACACTCCACTCCTCCCTTTCTGCCACACCATCCCTCCACTTTGCTTTATGTTCGTTGCTTTAAGACCTCAGATCCTCAGATGTTCTCTTTTCTGTTGCAAGAAAAGTGATCTAAAAATCCTCATTCTCATTAAAGTATCGGTATTAGCATTCTGAAAGAAGAACAGAGAAATTATGTTCACGAAGAAATGACCTCTCCAATGGAAGAATTTCAAGCCCAACTTATAAGGAAGGGTGATAATGTTATGAGTCAAAGAAGCCTACAATGTCTGTGATTCTGGACTTGAAGTCTCAGCAAAAAAGAAGTGGGAAATGCCCTTGGAGTCCATTGCTATTGGGACTTCGTTCTTTTTTTTTTCTTTCTTTCACTATTTCAATAGGTTTCTGGAGCACAGGTGGTGTTTGGTTACATGGATAAGTTTTTTTAGTGGTGATTTCTGAGATTTTGGTGCACTCATCACCCAAGTAACGTACACTGTACCCAATGTGTAGTCTCTTATCCCTTACCCCCTTCCACCCTTCCCCTTAAGTCCCCAAAGTCCACTGTATCATTTTTATGCCTTTGCATCCTCATAGCTTGGCTCCTACTTATAAGTGAGAATATATGATGTTTAGTTTTCCATTTCTGAATTACTTTACTTAGAATAATGGTCTCCAACTCCATCCAGGTTGCTGCAAATACCATTATTTTGGTCCCTTTTATGGCTGAGTCGTATCCCATGATTCCATGAGGTATAAATAAATAAATATATATATATGACATTTGTGATATATATGTATACGTATATCACATTTGTGATATATATGTGTATATGTATATGACATTTTCTTTATCTGCTCTTTGATGGGCATTTGGTCTGGTTCCACATTTTTACAATTGTGAATTGTGCTGCTATAAACATACATGTGCAAGTGTCTTTTTCATACAATGACTTCTTTTCCTCTGGGTAGATACCCAGTAGTGGGATTGCTGGATTAAATGATAGATCTACTTTTAGTTCTTTAAGGAATCTCCATACTGTTTTCCACAGAGGCTGTACTAGTTTACATTCCCACCAGCAGGGTAAAAGTGTTCCCTTTTCACCACATCCACACCAACATCTATTATTTTTTGATTTTTAAATTATGGCCATTCTTGCAGGAGTAAGGTGGTATCACATTGTGATTTTGATTTGCACTTCCCTGATAATTAGTAATGTTGAGCATTTTTTCATGTTTGTTGGCCATTTGTATATCTTCTTTTGAGAATTGTCTATTCATGTCCTTAGCCCACTTTTGGATGGGATTATTTGTTTCTTTCTTACTGATTTGTTTGAGTTCCTTGTAGATTCTGGATATTAGTCATTTGTCAGACGCACAGTTTGCAAAGATTTTCTCCCAGTTTGTGGGTTGTCTGTTTACTCTGCTGATTATTTCTTTTGCTGTGCAGAAGCTTTTTAGTTTAATTACGTTCCGTCTATTTATCTTTGTTTTTGTTGCATTTGCTTTTGGGTTCTTGGTCATAAAATCTTTGCCTAAGCCAGTGTCTACAAAGGTTTTTCCGATGTTATCTTCCAGAATTTTAACGTTTTCAGGCCTTAGATGTAAATCTTTGATCCATCCTGAGTTGATTTTTTTATAAGGTGAGAGATGATGATCCAGTTTCATTCTTCTACATGTTGCTTGCCGATTATCTGAGCACCATTTGTTGAATAGGGTGTCCTTTCCCCACTTTATGTTTTTGTTTGCTTTGTCAAAAATCAACTGGCTGTAAATATTTGGCTTTATTTCTGGGTTCTTTATTCTGTTCCATTGTTCTATGTGCTTATTTTTATGCCAGTTCCATGCTGTTTAGGTGACTACAGCCTTATAGTATAGTTTGAAATTGGGTAATGTGATGCCTCCAGATTGGTTCCTTTTGCTTAGTCTTGCTTTGGCTATGTGGGCTCCTTTTTGGTTCAATATGAATTTTAGAATTTTTTTTCTAGTTCTGTGAAGAATGACAGTATTTTGATGGGAATTACATTGAATTTGTAGATTGCTTTTGGCAGTATCGTCATTTTCACAATATTGATTCTACCCATCCATGAGCATGGGATGTGTTTCCATTTGTTTGTGTCATCTATGATTTCTTTCAACAGTGTTTTGTAGTTTTCCTTGTAGAGGTCTTTCACCTCCTTGGTTAGGTATATTCCAAGTATTTGATTTGATTTGATTTTGCAGCTATTGTAAAAGGGATTGAGCTCTTGATTTGATTCTCAGCTTGGTTGCTGTTAAGTATAGCAGTGCTACTGATTTGTGTACATTGATTTTGTATTCTGTAACTTTACTGAATTCATTTATCAGATCTAGAAGCTTTTTGGATGAGTCTTTAGGGTTTTCTAGTTACATGATCACGTCATCGGCGAACAACAGCAGTTTGACTTCCTCTTTACTGATATGGGGATGTCCTTTATTTCTTTCTCTTGTATGATTGCTCTGGCTGGAACATCATTCTTTATTAAAACTCACCTCCAGGGAGTATCTTCTAATAATTTTGAGAAACTAAGTGAAGAGGACATTTTCTAATTGGACTCTGAAAGTGCAGCCTAGAGCCCGTGCATTAGGCTGTTCTTGCATTGCTATAAAGAAATACCTGAGACAGGGTTATTTAGAAATAAAAGAGGTTTAATTGGCTCATGGTTCTGCAGGCTGTATAAGCATGGTACTAGCATCTGCTTAACTCCTGGGGAGGCCTTAGGAAGATTTTACTCATTGCAGAAGGCCAAGAAAGAGCAGGCGCAAACCCATCTCCTCACAGTCAGGCAAAGTAATCGGATGTTCTCTGTTCTATTCGTAATTTATTTAACCATCTCCACAAGATGGTACTAGCACCCTGAAATGTGCTTTCCACAAGCAGTCCAGGAAATATTCCTTGATGGCAGGTCACCCAGGAAAGGTTCAAAGATGTTGGCAAATCACTACTGCCTCCTCCTCCTCCTCCTCCATCACAAGGTAACGGTCAGTTCTGAAAAGCAGCTGTAAAGCATGGGTTCCTTTAGCCCCTTCCCTGCTTCACTGCCACAGGGTGATAGCTGCTTATCAATATCATCCTCCAGTGACTGATTAGTTTAGTATCCTATCCCTGTACAGTAATCATTTATCACAGGGCAATCTCATATGACACAAAATATAGTGCTCTTGTGACTCCTCACTCTTCAGCATTCACTGACAGCAAATGAAAATGACACTGCCTGCCAGGAACAGCCATAACTCAACCTCATTTTCCAGAAAACCTTCATGGGACACTACAAAGTAATGAGATGTGCACTGCTTAGAGGTTACAGCACAGCCTAGCTATGTTATGTTCAGATAAATCAGCCCAACAAATGATCAGTCCACCCAGATAAACACCACTCTGTTGTCCTATACATTGTATTGTATAATTTAAGCAAATGAGTTCAATGAGACGTTCTTCTTTAATCATAACCAAGATGGTAACCTATATTCCCTTAGCTCGTATTGGTTTTGATTAATAAGGCAAAATAATTTTCTATTCTAATTCTCTTTTGTCTCTCTTGAAAAACTAAACAAAGTTGGCATCTGAAATAATACTTATGAGGAAGATAATAATGATGATGATGATAATGACTATGAAGATGATGATCCAGTTTATAGAATGCATTCTGCTTTACAAAATATCACATTTTTAAATTAATCTGTGCAATAAATTCTGTGAAGTAGACAATGCAGGTAAGTTCTAAATTTTTCAGGTAATGTGTCTGAATCCCAAAGGAAATAAATTACATAGTGTTGTTCAACCCGTTAAAGAGGGAGAGGAGAGAGGCAGGGCACTAAAACTAGATCTCTGGATCAACTTTCTTGCAAATTCCCAGCCCAGCTACGTTACTGGGCTACTTGAGATATGCAACCTCACTTAAATCCTTTCCATTTTACAGATCATGAAACACATTTAACATAATTAGCACTAAGGCAGGATTTACAAACAATAAACCTGTATAAAATGAAGGAAAATAAAATAAATAACTTGGCTAAGTTTATTTATACTTCTTGGGACAATAACAAGTGATGGACGAGTTATTTGTTTCTTGAGTAAAGTTTAAAAACTATTAAAGGAAAAACTGCTGTATGTTAGTCATGGAGTTAGGTGTTGGAGCACAAAGATGTTCTCCAAGAGTTGCTTCCTAGGGGAGAAACGAGTTTAATATCACGTTGTGAATGTTAAAAAATGAGGCACAGATATGACAATTTTTCATATGTAGTATGCAGTCCACGATGAAGTATAAATCCGATCATCTTCTACTTAACAGAATCAAGACAGACAAACTGAAAAGTCCAATTTCCCAAAGAAGACAAAGTTAGGACCCAAAACACAGAAACCATGGAAAATCCACAGAGGACATTCCTGCCTCTAACTGTGCTTCCACACATTAGTCTTGAGAGATTGTCTGGGTTTTAAAATAGTACCACAACCTGGTTATATGCACTTCCTCTGTGCCCCTAAATGACCAGTTATCTTCTCCACGAAATGTAAGCTCCATCTTATTGATCTAATACCCCCAACAATAGCCTACTACCTGGGCGTAATAGGTTCTTATGTAATTTGCATACCATTAAATTCACATTCTTGTAGTGTACAACTGAGCGGTCTATTCACAAGGTTGTGGAACCATCGCTGCTTCTCCATTTCCAGAATATTTTCATCACTCCGTAAAGAGACCCCATAGCTATTAAGATTAGCTCCCCTTCCTCCCTTCATCCAGCCTCTGGAAACCACTAGCTTGCTTTTGGTTTTTGATGGATCTGTATATTGTGCCAATTTCATAAAATGAAATGAAACGAGATGGGACCTTTTGTGATTGACTGGTGTCTTTCACTTAACACAATGTTTTCAAGGTTCATCATGCTATAATATATTAACATTTCATTTTTTATAGCTGAATAACATTCTGCTGTATGGATATATCACATTTGGTTTATCCATTTATCTATTGATGGACATTTGGGTTGTTTCCACATTTTTGCTATCATAATAGGATTTTAATACATACTTATTCAACAAATTGATGACCTTCTACATGATAACATCCTATGTCAAATAACTAATAAACACATGAAAACTATTCTACTTCATTAGTAATCAGAGAACTAGAAACAATGCAACATCATATTATAGTTATCAGATTAGCTCAGACTTTCCAACTCTAATAGCTATTACTAAAGCGTGTGGGATCATCATCAGTACAGTTCAATTTGGTAACATGTGGTAATATGTACCCAGAGCGCTGGCATATTCATACACTTTGAATCCCCTAATTCTATATCCAAGAGACAAGACTACATATCTAATGTAAAACATAGAAAGACAGTATTTGTGAAGATGTTTATTTATAATGATGAAATATAGGAAACAAACCTAAATACCCGGCAACAGTGAAATGTTTCAAGAAGATACAGTAGATCCATAAGATTAAATTCTATATGGTCATTACAAATTATATTTTGAAAGACTTTTAATTCCATCAAAAATATTATTAATATTCAGTGAAAATAGGCATGATACAGTTTATCTCAAATATGTAAAACTTCCAAAAAAGAGGAACATGAGAAAATGTACAAAAATGTTAATATGAATTTTTCTGATCGTCTTCTAGGTGAGATTTGTAACTCACCTTTTATGGCCATGGAGATGAAGAAAAAAGAAGAATCCTATATATTATTGCACCTATTATGTTGATTATAGATAGTTTCTATGAACATGTGACTTAGCTCCCCTTTTGAATGGTAAGGTCTGAGAGGGCAAAGAATTATCCTAAATAGCACCATTCCTGTTAGTTGTACAACAAATAGTTTTTGAATTAATTAATAAAAGCATTTTTACTTTTATTAGACCCCATTTAAATCGTTCAGTCACGTATACTTAGAATAGATTATTTCCAACAGTTATAACAGTCAAGAACAAGGTAATGGACATATAGAAAATTGACTAACATTAGTTTCTGTAATTCGTTCCAACAGAGTCATCCCAAGAGTGGGTAAAGGATTGGTGGCTTCCATTACCTGCTAGCCTGCCTGCCTTGGAGACCCTGCCAAAATAAAGGGCAGGTGGGAAACATTAGACACTCAGTAAGAATGTAAATGGATGTAGTGACAGAGGCAAATGGCTGGTAAGTCACCTACTAGTGAAATATGTCAGGCTTAGTTCTTCTGCCAATGCAAAAGGTGTGTTTTTCTCACGTGTCTGTGAGCAAAGTGACAGGTGAGAGAGGGCATTCTAGTCATTGGGGAAAAACTGAGCAGTAATGGCCTTTAAGTTTATGCAACTGTTACAAGTTGTGAGTTCGTCAAAGCTTTAAATGCGTTTGCCCCAAGCATCTTTTTTTCATTATATGTAAACGTTGAAGTCCCTTTTGCGGAAAATATATTCGCACATGGTCCTAATTCACTTCTACTCAACTTATCAAAACATTATCCCATAAGATGCATTTTAAGTTCAGAAAATTATGTGAGCTTCTTTTATGAGGCTAATATTAGTTCTTCTTATAAACAAGTCCTTTCAATTACTGGTTTTGCACGCCCTTCAACTTTGCATGTGTTTGCGTGACTTGAGTTTAAGTCAAAATTGAATACTTTTGAGTTCAAGCTGCAGATTTTATCCAGATAATTCAAATGTAAGTATCTGTGTAGTTCAAATGATCTCAAATAAAGAATGGTCTGAAATGGCATGCTTTATTTTTTGTTTATAGACAAATGAGAGTTAATACTTTAGATACACAGCAAAGTCAACTTTTATTTTTCTTTATAAAACAATAATAGATAAAATTAACTGATAAAACTTATTAAGTGCTAGGGTTCATGTTATGGTTTTATATGCAAGTTTTCATTTAATCCTCAGAAGATGGTAAGAGGTGGATATTATTTTTGGTCACACTCAGCAGATGAGAAAACTAAGGGGAAAAATGTCTACCAAAAATAATTTGCATAAAAATATTTATAGAAGATTTATTTATAGTAACTTAAAACTAGAAATAACTCAAGTGCCCACCAACAAATAAGTGAATAAATAAATTGTGATATATTCATACAAGGGAATACTACTCAGCGATGAAAAAGGAGGAGCCACTAACATATATTGCAACATGGATGAATCACAAAAGCATTATGCTTCATTTCACTTCTGATACCAACTGCAAAAAAGGAAATAAATATGTTGAGCAAAGAACCCAGCCCCCCCAAAATTACAGGTGGTATGAGTCTATGTATATAAAGTTCTAGGACAGTTCAAATTAATTTACAGTGATAGAAATCAGAAGAAAGGTAGGTTTCCATTGGAAAAAGACATGAGAAAACTTTCAGGTGTGATGGAAATATTCTATAGCTTGATTAAAGTGGAGATTCCATAGGTGTATTTGTTAAATGTTTGTTAAAACTCACTGAACTGTGCATTTTATTTTATGAAAATTATATCTAAAAAGCGATAGTGATAGATGATAGATAGATAGATGATAGATAGATAAATAGATAGACTAACAGAGTGTCGTATTTCTTGGGGTTTACAAGTTTATCCATTTACTCAAGGCTACACAGGTATAGTGAAAGTGGAACACAATATGAACACAAGGAGCCTGACTCCAGTCTGACATTTTGCCAAATAGTTCATGAAATAATCCACAAGTATATTTGGCAGCAACTACATGCAATACATTTTCCTAGCTGCTGTGAGGAATAAAGAAGTCCAATTAAATGAGTTAATACATGTGAAGTGTTTATAACAGTGCCTGACACATAGAAAGAGTTCAAAGGTGTTAAGCCTTGTTCTCAAGACAATTATAGGGTATCTGGGGAAACAAGCCATTAAATCATAAATCATGAAACAACAATATAAGGATCATGGTTTAGTGTAAGAAATGGCACCAGGAACTCCCTAAAGCCAAGGCTAGAAACCCAGTGTCTACATGTGCCAAGTAGTTTAAAAAACAAAAGTGCAGTAGAGATGTGGGGCACCAGAGAACCCAGTTCCCACCAGGTGGGAAACAACTCAGCACCAATCTACTGCTGCCATGTGGAGATACCAGCCCAATATTGCCAAATCTGTTTTAAATGGACACAGAAACCTCCCAGTTTTGGAATGTTGGCCACTACTTCAATGCTTTAAAAAGTACATGACCTTTAGGTTATAGTTATAGAATACGTCCTCAATGCATGATCTTAAGAACTCTTAGAGGCCACCTAAATATCTGTCTGTACCTTACCCTTCCTGCTCACTCTCCATCTTGATAAGGGAATCCAACCTAGAGAGGTAAAAGGATTTGCCCAAGGTCACCCAACTATTACAGGCACAGCTAGGAAATCAATCAATGCCTTGTTCAGTGTTGAACAGTTGGCAAAGCTCGTCATGTCTCTGTGGGTTCTGTCGCCTTTGAGCTGGACCACAGAGGGAAAGCTTCAGGAGGTAGTGGGCTTGGCGTGAGATTTGGACAGAAACATTACAAGTGAGGGGACTATCTTAGGAAAAGCACCGAGAGGTAAAAGTTCAAAACGTTCAATGGATACAGAGGTCATTCCAACGTCAGGTGGGAAAAATTTTGAAATGACTTACCGAGGGCCCTGGGAGCTATGAAAGCTTTGTGTTCTACCCCCACTCCACGGGGCCAGGGAAGCTTTATAGAGCAGAGTTGGATAATGAAAGGTAAAACCAAACTTTGAAAAGCACCGATGCAGTGCTCAGGATGGATTGATGGGAAGTGGCTGTGAAGTCATGGAGAGCATTTTCTATTTCTTGGGCCAGATCACATTGGATCTGTGAAAATTCGAGGAGTGCCAATTCCATGACTCTGTTTGTACTGCTTTCCTATCAAAGGACAAGGAAGATCATGTTTGCTAAATATATCCCTGTTCTTTTCTTCTTTGCAATTTCTTCAAAGACATTTATTACTTGCTAGGGGAGTGGCATTGGGACCTAAGCATTTTTACCAAGAATGAAAATAATTAATATTCTATTTATGATATTCAAAACAAAATTTTGTAGTCAAAGATAATACTGAGATTCAGGTTTCTTGAGATAGAAGATTTTTATGTTTTATTGTTTTTCTATCTTCCACATGAAGAGGTTATCCTGGTGGACTGCGTCATGATATCTTACTTAAGGGAAATTCCTGACAGACAAGAAGAGGGAGGAGAACATTGTCTGCAGTACCAGTGGATTGTGAGAAGACTAACTTAGAAGGAGGTGGCGCAGTTTGTTGCATGTGGGTCCACATTTCTTCTCCCCAGATCTAAGTCACCAGATCAAACCTCAGCTCCCCAGCATGGTTAGACATAGGGAAGGTTTGCATGAACTCTTCCAAGTTTCCCTTGGTTCCTAGGAAGCAAGGAAGGGAACCTAAAAGCCCAGTATGTCTCTTCATTAGCTGAAAGTCTGGCCAGGAAATTTGCCAGAGCTGGCTGTCATAGAATGGCTAAATGATTCTGTGGCCAAAAGCCAAAGGCAGACAGTTTGGGCCAGGAACACATGGGCTTGGCTGTAGCCAGATTTTGAAGAGTCTGCAACACACCAAGATCAACAGAAAGGTCTGGTGGCATTGACCAAACCAGTAAACATTCAGAGCTTGAATAACCCTGCAGATACTGGAATACTTAATGGCGCCAAACCAACCACTTTAACAGCCCCGAGACAACCGCTCTGTGTGGACCCTGGGATCCTGACTCACCTCTGCTGTCAAGAGACCACATAAGTCACAATCCATTCACCTTGCACCCAGATTTTTCATCTAGGGAAGGAGGAAAGGAAGGAAACAGAAATCGGAAGAACTATAATTTATCCAAAAATAAGCAGTTAATTAAAGATAATGTATGATGATGATTATTTTTTAAAATTCTGTGGGTACATAGTAGGTGTATATATTTATGGGATACATGAGATTATTTTGATACAGGTATACAATGTGAAATAACCACATCATGGAGAATAGGGTACCTATTCCCTCAAGCATTTATCCTTTAAGGTACAAACAATCCAATTACACTGAAGATAATTTATGAATCAGACTCAAGGAACAAGATTCACCCCAAATATGCTGTTTCCCCTTCCAGTAAACCAATTTAGGTTGGTGAGGAAAAGCAGATCAATTTTAAGTTTAAATTTGTAAGAAAGCGTACCTGAGTTCACTATGAGTAAATTAGTAACCTCACTCTAAACATTTTCATTCCAGATATATGTGGAAATAGGCATCAGTAAACCAAGATGCTCTCTATGTCAAAAGTCCCTTTTGACCATTCATTCAGCACATATTTATTGAGTGTTTACTATATGCCAGATAATGTGTTGAGCCCTGGGAATTCAATGTTGACCAAAAGCAGACATGTTCGTCTTACTCATGAAGCTTAAAAGTCTACTCATGGAGACAGGCATTAATCAAATCCGTCAAATAAATGTAAAAGTACACTGCAATAAGGGCCTTACACAGGCATTGCATGGGCTCCAAGAACATCTGGTGGGAGGATTTAACCTAGTCAGGGAAATCAAGGAAGGCTTCCCTGAGGAAGTGTTGATGTAGCCGGACTCTCGAAATAAGGGGGGATTTTTAGAGCAACAAGAATAGAGAATCTAGGTGAAAGAAATAGTCATCACTGTGTGCAAGACCCACCTCCATACTTACTCATAACAGCATATTATTGAATTTTCAGGAATATTTCAAGCCAGTTGGTGTCATGTTGGGAATATTACACCATAGAGAATAAAACTGCAAATTCTACAAGATAAGAATTTGGAGGAGAGGGGTAGAGAAAGATTTCTTAGTGGTTTTTTTTTTAATCTAATTTTTAAACAGTTGCCAGCATAGCATTATAAAGCATTGTGGTTGGAGGGAGGAGAGCAGGTATACAGGACAAAAAAAAAGTCAAGTATCTATAGTGCAGAGAATGAGAAGGAAAATTACGAGAAATCAAGTAGAGAATTAAGTAGAGTCTAGCCTACATATGATTAAGAAGGCCTGGTTAAGCATTTTAGTCTTCATCTGAAGAGTAATGGGAAATCATTGAAGTTCTTATGAGTAGGTTTGAACAGATAGTGGTTTTGATAGTATCTATCTGTCTGAACTTTGGAGATTGGATTGGAAGGAGTCAAGAGAAGATGAGATGATTTAGAAGGCAGTAAGCAGTCCAGGAAATAGATAATGGTAGATTAGACTAGGGTGTTGGTAGTGAAGATGAAGAGACATAACAGATTAAAGATATTAGGGAGATGAAACTCAATAGGATTTGTTGAAGAACTTGTTATGAGGGTGAGTTGATATAGATTTTATAAGAATATATGCATTTTGGGAGGCCAAGGCGGGTGGATCACTTGAGGTCAGGAGTTCTAGTCCAGCCTGGCCAACATGGTGAAACCCCATTTCTACTAAAAATACAAAAAAAAAAAAAAATAGCCAGGCATAGTGGCACATGCCTGTAATCCCAGCTACTAGGGAAGCTAAGGCAGGAGAATTGCTTGATCCCAGGAGGCGGAGGCTGCAGTGAGTGGAAATCATGCCACTGCGCTCCAGCCTAGGCAACAGAGTGAGACTTTATCTCCAAAAAAAAGAAAAGGAATATATAGTCAGGATCCTTCAAAAAATAGTAAATATTGAAAGAGAATCAAAAGATTTTTGGTGAGAGGGAGAAATACTGTATAATGAATTGTTTTGGGATATGTTTGGCTTGATGCCTTTGAGGCAGCCAAAATGGCATGAGATATGAGGGATCTGGGCTTGAAGTATAAATCTAAGAGTCATATTTAAGAGAAAATACAAAATATGGGCATGGAACAGTATAGTGAGCTTATGGAATGAGAAAGGAATTTGACTGAGTACTGATCCTTAAGGAATTCCCAATTTTAAACATATCATTGAGGAAGATAAACCTGAGAAGGAACAACCAGAATTCTGTTAGTTTCAGCAGCAAGTGATTCATAGGTTTACCAAATGCTACTACAATGACATGAAAGAGGCCAATGGCAGATGGAAGAGTATGGAGAGAGCAGAAGATGAGGAAAGAGAGAAAGTGAATATGAGCCACTCTTTCAAGAAGTTTGGCTGAGATGGATAGAGCTATGGGATCTAAAAAGCTGTGTGTGTGTGTGTGTGTGTGTGTGTGTGTGTGTGTGTGTGTGTAGAAGACACATAAGAATATTTAAAACAAAAAAACAAAAACACTGGGATAGCCCAAGTTGAGAGGGACAGCCCAAGTTGAGAGGGAGAATCTTAATATACAAGAGAAAGTAAGAGACTCAGGGAGGGGGCGTGTGGAATACACAGGAAGAGGTACCTGAACCTACACTACTGAGGAGAAAGGATGAGATGGCTACTGATGGTCAAGGTTATATGTCTCATATGGGAAAACTACAGGAGTTCCTGTCTGATGGTTTCTATTGTATCTGCAAGGTGTAGAGACTGACTTGCTATACTTTTTCATCTATGGGGAAAAAATTAGACTACATGCCTTCTATGGTTTCTCCCTGAAAAATCTGAGCCCATAATTTAATCTGCATGTGTGTGTGTGAGTGTGTGTGTTGAATTTCTCTGTTCTTGAGAATCTCAAAACATTAGAAGCAGAAATTAATGATGTTATCCAACTCCTTCATTTCAATGCATTCCCTGGATATGTAATGGGTATACACACTACTGGACACTCTGCTAAGCACTGTGAATTCAAAGATAAACAAGACAGCTTCGACCTAGAAAAAGTAATGGAATACAAATATTTACACAATTAACTATACCGTAGTTGCAAGCACAGCAACAGAAAGATGGACAAAGCTAAAAGTTCTCAGAGGAAAGAGGTTGTTTGTTACAGGGCCAGGAAAATGATCCAGGTCTCCAGATGCCAAACACAATGTCCTTCTCACTATCCATATATAAAATTACCCTTATTATTCCACAAAATGATTTTCTGTGTAAATCTATTTGAGTAACCCGCAGAGATAATATAATCTTTCAGGCTTCTTATTAATACACTGCCATCATCAATCCAAAATCAACATTCATATACAATGTTGGCTGAGAACTGTATTATTTGGACTTTGGTATAAGCCACTCATTTCCATTTAAATGTTAGTTTGGAAACCATTAAACAGTAGATGACCATCAACCTACATTCATTATTCACTAGCACAATTCTACTTAGCTGTGTCGATACAAGACCACAGAATCAACCACATTTTGTTAATTTATTTTTCTTTGTTACTGCCTCTGCCATAATTCTAACCTACTAGTCAGAAGTAGCCAAAATGACCGTTTTTAAAGTCTGTGTCTTTTATTCTCTAGGTTGAACCTATGCTAACTTTCAAAAAGTAAAAACTTTTGTCATTAATGCTTTGGCGTCATATGGAGTAAAATATGCATTTAAATGAATTCTGACCTTCCTTTACTTTTTCAGAAATTCATCAGATATTTACAGAAGACCTACAATTGCCTGGGATGAAGCCAAGTGCATCGGGCGAAAAAAATAAATGAGACAGTTCTAGTTCTCCAGGAGCTTGTAATGTAAATCCAGGCATTCCATTTTGAAGCTGATTTTAAAGCAGATATTGGCTCTTTTAGTGAGAAGGGGGTACGGAGGCAAGGGGAGTTTTAAGAACAAAGACGGTCTAACGATGAAGTTCATAGCTCTCAAGCTAACTTGATGAAAATTATTCTGAAGTGCCAAGTATTTAATTCATGCACTCTCTTTAGTGTCTTTCCCTACTCTGGGGGCTACTGCACAGTTTAAGAATGTGGTGAGGAAAGGAGTTATGACAGATTCGTTAATCTCTTCACTCCACAAACCACCACCACCTGCCAATTAACAGGCATTACACCAAGTATCATGGGAGGAATATAAAGATGAAGATGCCATTGAGAAATTTGCAGTCTTATGGAGAACACAATGATGGAAAGAGCAATGCATAATGAAATTTATGCTAAACAGGCATATAAACAACATGCTGTGGAAATTCTAAGAATGATGAGATATCCTCTGATTGGAGGTTGAAGAAAGTGTCTCAGTCGTGTTTAAGGATAAACAGGATTTCGATGTTTGGAAAAGGGGAGGATGTTCCACACTAGAGCTTCTGTCTTTGCAGAAGTTACAAAAACTGGAA
Organism: Homo sapiens; assembly: GCF_000001405.40. NCBI lineage: Eukaryota > Metazoa > Chordata > Mammalia > Primates > Hominidae > Homo > Homo sapiens. The sequence continues at coordinate 14,630,464 of NC_000017.11, read as the reverse complement.
ATCATGTAGCAAATACCACTGCATAAACCCAGATAAGAATTTTTTTTTCCATTTGAGAACCACTGAAATATGCCCATGTTTTTGACTCGATTTAAGAATAATTTGGTGTAGCAAATCAGAACCACAGACTTCCTCTAAATTTTCCCCTCCTGGTTATTATGCTTGAGGCCTCTCTTGACATCCAATCACATGGGAAGAGAACCTTGGAAGCCACAGCTCTCTGCAAGTTGACCCATGTGCCACTCAGAGTGGGAGGGAGAGGCAATTGTTCAAGTGCTAGAGGAACAGTCTTTCTTCTAAGTGCAAAGTACACAACCTTCACCTCAGTTCATATTTTAAATAGGACACAAAACCAGGCAAATCTTATCTCACTGAGGCCCAGTTCCCAAAGTCGAGGTGGGGCGAGAAACACAACCATGCATCTTACTTGGGGGAAAAGGCAACAAACCAAAGAAAGAAATTCATTTTTTTAAAACCAAGTGCTAATCCGACAGCGGTTTTTCAAGAATGCCTCAAGCATTAGTAGGTCATTAAATCTTTGTTAACAGGCCAGGAAAAAGATGTAAAAGGAGGGAAAAAGTGGGTCATGGTCCTGTTTAAGTTTACATAGTATGGAAATTTCATCAAATCACAAAATTGCAGTGATGAAAGGAACCACAGGAGCCCCAGTGAAGCTTTCTTCTACTGGTTGCCTCTCCATGGCATCCTAGGATGAAGTTCCACTCACCCTGTCTCCTAGGGAATGCAATTCACCTGAAATTGTCTGACTTGTCTCGAATGATGGAAAGTACTGCCCTATTTAACGCAGAAAGTTGTCTCATTTTGTTTCTACTTTTTTGATTTGAGAATATACAAATCAAGTTTAATTTACCTTCCATTCACCTTCAGAAACTTGAAAACTGTCTTCATAACCCTTCTGAATCTTACTTTCTTTAGACTATTCTTTTTATCACATCATTTTCTCAACATGTCTTCATATTGCATATTCTCAAGCCACGTGTAATCTTCACCAACTTTGGTCTTCTCATCTCCTGAAAAATGTCCAGCCAAGCCATAACCCCTTTGCCCTGTGAACTTAGAGGTGAAAAAATAAATGTTCCAATATAATCTGACAACAGGAAGTAAAAGGCTACTATCACCTCCATTTTAAAAAGACTTTACTTTTTTTAAGTAGCCAAAAATATTATTCAGAAAAGTAACACTTTTTTAGCCCCTTTCAATTCATGTCTTCAAATGATCAATCAGCTTTTGATCATTTGCCTCAAGTGAAAGTGAGACAAAGATGATAGAAAATGTAGGCATACGTGAAATACTTGACATGAAACTGAAGACAACATTGACATACACACACATGCACTCACACACAGATATGCATACCACACATGCACACACCACACATACATACACAGATGCACACCACACACGTACACAAGATGCACATACACTACACATGCACACGCACATATACACGCACACACAGAAGCTCAGATATTAAATTCTCTACCTTTAAGAACTCCCTCATGACAGCTATTTAGAGGCCCACGACTCAGCTGGTCCAGAGGAATAGTAGCGAGTACTATCCAGTTGCCAATTTCACCTACAGACTGATGACCATATGTAGAGGGTGTAAATGTCATGGTCATGAACTTGGGCAGAACGAAAAAAGAACTCTTAATTTCTCTATCATTGAACATAATGAAGCTCTCAAATCCCCCTTCTGATGATGATAGAAAAACAAAAACTCTTGGCCAGCCACGTTGGCTCCTGCCTGTAATCCCAGCACTTTGGGAGGACGAGGCTGACGGATCACAAGGTCAAGAGATCGAGAGTTTCCTGGCCAACATGGTGAAACCCTGTCTCTACTAAAAATACAAAAAATTAGCTGGGCGTGGTGGCATGTGCCTGTGGTCCCAGCTACTATGGAGGCTGGGGCAAGAGGATTGCTTCAATCTGGGAGGCTGAGGTTGCAGTGAGCCGAGATGGCGCCACTGCACTCTAGCCTGGTGACAGAGCAAGACTCCATTTCAAAAAACAAAAACAAAAACAAACAAACAAAAAACAGAAAAATAAAAACTCTCCAATTAAAGAGAAACTCAGTTGCTTCTAGAGTCAATGTAGTGTCTTTTGGATAAACCCCCAGCCCTGCCAGGATTTTCCGCCACCATCCTTCCTTCCCTTCTTATGGCCAGTGACCCGGTGTCAGGTGTTGGTGCACGGGGGTGTCGCACACCACAGTCCGTCCCTGTCCCGTGCACCTAGGAATCCAATGCTGATGGGACTCCTCCCATCTGGTTTTGCCTGTGGCTGTACCCCCACCACACCTGTGAAACCTAAGGCTAATCTGTTTGGATCCACAAACTTAACTTACCTCACTTGTTTTCGGTCACTTGCTTTTAGTCGATTTTAAAACCCATTTAGCTAAAAGTGATGTAGCGAAACAATATATATCTAAATTCCCACTAGCTTCCTTATAGACGACATCTCTGATGTATGAGTCACCATGGTAACAGTTGCCTAAGTTGTTTTTCAGGAACGTAGAGTCAGTTCTTACCCACTTCAAGCCTACTGAGACCACCGACCCTTCAAATAAGCCTGCATGAGTGTCCGATAGGTGACCATTTGAGATCAGAGGGCCTAAAAATATACCTTTAGATCATGCTAACCATGCTATTTTATGAACATGCATCCTATAAAGAGCCATGAAGCTTGACTATGCTTGTGAAGATCACCAATTGCCTCACTTTTCATTACCCCCAGTCACCTTTCCCTACGCTTCATACCACCTTGCTCCCCTGGCCCATAAATATCCCTAAAACCCCCATCTTCAGAGAGGTAGATTTGAGTCTTGTTCTCCAGTCTCTTCACTTGGCTGCCTTGTGAATAAACCCTTTCTGCAATGCAAAACTCATCATCTCAGTGATTGGCATACTGTGCAATAGGCAAAGCAAGTCTGGTTCAGTAACAAGCACTGCCGAAGTGTTCCCACCTCTCTCTGGCAGCAAGTGAGCTTTTTCATCTGGGTCTCCCAACCTGCCCACACTCCCTGCCACACCCATCTTGGAGGTGCGGGTAGCCCACACCCACTCTGGCACCACTCTGAGGTCATGGGAGACTCAAGAGGGAAGTGACACTGGGTGCCCCCTTCTTCTCTAAGCCGTGCCACACCATTGATTCTATTTTTTGAGGTTTTACCTCACAAGCTGGAAAAGGGAGACCCAGTAGAAGGCTCCTGGCTTTCTTGGACTTTACCTGAAATGTAAGAGACAGGTTGCTTGTGGCTTCCTCAAATTATCAGAGGATTCTCTGGTCTCTTCTGGGGCTTGATTCAGTGAAGAAGTTTATACGTGATTCCTTTTCAGGTACCTACCAGCACCTAACTGCAAATCTTATCCTCTCTAGTCTTTCTCTTATGGCCAGCTATTAGCCTATATCTGCTTTGGGTCTGGAAAAGTTCTCTCACATCATGGTGTATTATGGTTTATGGAAGGAATTCTATCCTCCAAGTTTACCAGATCCTGAGCCTCTTTGGGCTCAAGAAGCATTCCCCTATAAAGCCAGCTCTTGCCAAAGAAAGCCTCAGCTTCCAGGACCATGTCATTATTACTAACTTTTATGAACATTCAGAAACTGTCTTGACTACGTCTGCCCTCACCCTGAGGAAATGGGGCATCTGAGTCCATGGGTAGAGGCTTCTGAGACCACATAACAATTGCAAAGAGAAAAACCAAAGTACTTTCCCTACTCTACTCTCACATGCAAGTCACCCCTTATGACCAAAATGTGTGTGGGTTTTCCCCTCACACTGACCAAGCAATTCTCCAGGACACCAGCTGGGTGTCCTCTAATTTGATCCTCACACTATCTACCTGGAGATAGCAGGTCTTAGAGCTCATACTTGGCTCCCCCAAGGCCCGTGGATCCTGCTTTAAGCAGCTACTCTAGCAGAAGAACCCAAATTTCAGAAACACATTCCATCAAACAGCTGAGATGCTGAACACAGGGAACAGAAACACCTTTGTCCCTGAGAATCCATAACTGGATGAAGAAATTTCCCTAGTACCTTAGAAAAACTTAAGGTTAGGCAGAGTAGAGAGTCACCAAAAATGGAGGGATTGTTACCCTAAATAAAAAGAAGAGGAAGAAAGGAGAAGATAACATGAAGACTTCGATTGAGTTCAACAAGCAGTCACCAGGTGCCTACAGTGGCAAGGCCCTGTACTGAGACCTCCAGAAACAAAGAGTGCCCTTGAGTAAAGAAAAGACAATGGAAGGAAGGAGAGAGGAGGGGAGGACAGGGAGAAAGAAAATAAAAAGAAAAAAGAGAAAGAGAAGGAAGGAAGGAAGGAAAGAAGGAAGGAGGGAGGGAGGGAGGGAGGGAGGAAGGAGATGTAGGGTAGAGAACAGGGGGTTGTACCATCCCATCCTTGATCACTATCACCAGCGCGGCTTTGACACTCTTATGGAGGAAGAACTTAGGCACAGTAACCTAACTAGAAAGAGAGGGGACTTGGATTTCTAAAATTTTATCATGCGTAAGAGTAGACTTATGGTGAGCACTGCCCTTTATTATGTCTTGTTTGCTTCAGGTTTTCCTTTCTTCCTTGTACACATCTTTTATGGGTATAAACTCACTGGCGAGGCCAATTCTTCAGACCTGACTCTCAAGGCCGCCTACAGTTCATCCATATTCACTCTTCCAGATTCCTCGCTTGCCAGGGAACTGTGACCAGGGAATCATGACCCAATCACAACCCAGAAGCACACCCTATTCTTTCCAGCTCTCTGCCTTTACTTGTGCCGGTCCCTTGCCCTGAAATGCTTCTTCTCTCCTATTAGTCACCCACCCTCTCTCCTCTCTACACCCACCCCCAAACACTCCATGACCTATGAGGCTCCAGCCTCACGGCTACCTCTATAGAACTACTTTAGCTCCAGTAAAGGGATTTTTTTAATTATAAAAGAAGTAGCAGATAGAATACCTATATCATGCTATCTACCTTATCAGGTAATAACAACATATTTGTATGTTTTCATACTCATTATATACACATATATTAATCACTGAATTTGATTCCCTACCATCAGTTTCACCCCCAAATGACTGCCTAATTCTGGTCATTCTATTTCACTTTTTTCAGATACCGGTTTTAGCATAGGCACCTGGATCCATTGTAGCCAGTGAAAAAAGATGAAAATTTGGCTGGAATGCACCTGGAAAATGCTCTCCCACTCCCAAGGAGACACGAGAGGAGAAGACCCCTCCTCTCTGGGTATCGTGTGTCTAGGTACGATGCCTAGGGCTTTCTCAGCCATCTTGCTCCCAGCTGGGAGAGGAAGCCATCATCAAGGATGCCAGACCCTTACCTCCTGGAATATTTCAAATTTGGTATCAACGAGTCCAACATCAACCACTCCCAGCAACCATCATCCTGTGGACTTACTAAAATGTGAAGTGCTAAAGATCTGTATTTCTTAAGCAGTTTGAATTGAGTTCTGCTGTTCATGGTAAAAAATCTAACTATGCATCTAGTTTTCATACTTCTATTGTTGATCATGATGGGAAAAATAGAACAATAGTAAACAGTGAGTTCATAATAAAAAAATTAAATGAAATATACAAGTAAAAAAAAGCCACATACACAAAATAATACCCCCCCAAATAACTATATTAAATCATAAGTAAATTTCAATATTGCTAACACAAAAGAGGGTTTGAGCTGAACTCCCTTTCTGATATGACAAAGTGTTCTAAGGCAGTGTCTCAAATCAAAAAGTATAAGACTTGAAGTCATACAGCCTGTCATTGAACCCAGGTCCATCCCTGCCTAGCTCTGTGACCTTGGGCAAGTCACAGAGTATTACTGAGTCTCGGGCTTTTGTCTATGCAACAGGAACAATAATAATAGTTAAAGTAAGGCATTGTTTTGATTAAATGACATAATGTATGTTAAGTGCCTAGCAGAGCTCTTGACAGATACAGTAAGTCACTCCATAGACATCAGTTGCTGTCAGTAGTTTTAAGGGAGCTGGTGAGAAGTGTGAATTTGTCACCTAAGTTGATCACCTGCTCAACAAAGAATATAAGAGCTTTAGCAATTGGAGAGAAGATAGGAAATGGTCAGCACAAGCAAATGGAAGCTTTAAGAGGAAGATAGTGACAATTGCTACAACAGGAGACTGAATAATAATGGGCCAATATCAGTAAGACAAATAAAAGTCCAGTGCATTCCATTTGTACACAGGGTAGACAGAGTGATCAAATTGAAGTGTGTACCATACAAAGATGCTTCACCTGTATTTGTACTTACCTAGTATAGGCCACATTATGGAATATTTGTTGTCTGCATAATAAAGGTTCTTAGCCTGAAAATCCAATGTGACTTGTAGCTTGTGTCTTTGTTCCACAAACTCCTTATCTCATATTCCTGTCATGTTGTTATCATGTTGTGCTGTGAGAGGCTCAAAAGAAGAGGCCATGACGAGCAAAGGAAACTGAGCTTTCTCAGCTCACTCACACCCACGATCACCCACCATGCAACCAATTCATGCACCGACAATCTACACAACTGTTAGTTGCAGCTTTGCCGAAAACAACTCAATACTAAAGGCATGACTAATTAATAAAAAGAAAAAGGATCCAAGTGTCTAATGGATAAATAGATATGAAAAATGTGATATATATTTTCGAGAGGATATTATTCAGCCTTAAAAAGGAAGGAAATTCCAACACGTGCTAGAACATGGATGAACCAAAGACATGATGATAAGTGAAATAAGACGGTCACAGAAAGACAAATACTGTATGATTCTATTAGGTTGGTGCAAACGTAATTGTGGTTTCTACCATTACTTTTAAGTGGCAGAAACTGCTACTACTTTCGCACCAACTTAATACTTATATGAGATACCTAGAGAGAGTCAAACTCAAAGAGATAGAAGGTAGAATGGTGGTTGCCAGAGGATAAGGGATGGGAGTTGTTATTTAATGACTTTGTGAGTTGTTATTTAATGACTTTGTGAGTTGTTATTTAATGCATGCGAGTTTCAGCTTGCAAGATGAAAAGAGTTCTGTAGATGGATGGTGGTAATAATGGTTGTGTGAAAATGTGAATGTATTTAATGCTACTGAACTTGTAAACTTAAAAATGGTGGGGATGCTACATTTTATATGCATTTTATAACAAATAAAAATGAAAAATAATTTTAAAAGGGAGAAAGAAACAAAACAATTTTTTTATTGAAAAAAATGAGGAAGTAAGGAAAAAGCGAAGAAAGAAAATAACAAAATAGAAAGTTAGAACCCAACAGATTTTTAATGGTAATCTTACATCCGAAAATCCAGCTCAGGCCAAACGCTGTGCTTCTGTGGATGTGGCATTTCCAGCGTGACTTTGGTTTTCACCCTCCAAACAGAGTAGCTAGTCTGTGTCTAATTGTGTTTGTTTTTCCCCCTGCAGGGATGTTTAACAGTCCCCTAACCACTGAGATGGTCCTATAAAATTTTATGACAACAATTTCTTAAGCGAAATTTCCATTTAGTCTGTTTGTAGGACCTTCAAAAAAGCTGGAGAAAGCCAAATAGATATAACTTGGGACATTTTCCTGAGGGCTAATTTAATTATAAATCATGAGTTTATGAGCCTACCATTCAAAACTCACACAATTCCTCTGCAGCACAAAATAATTTACTGCTCTTGCAAGACAGTGAGCTCATGCCTTGAACCAAAGGGCACCCTGAACCGCATTCCTTTGGGAAACTTTACAAGTTATGTTCTGAAAGTGGGACATCTGACATTAGAGGCTGGAAAGCTCAGTCCCCCACCCCCGCGCAATGGGCCAGCATCAGCATGCACAGAACAGAGAACGTGCCCGGAGGCCTTGAGTGCTTAGTTAATGAGAAGAGAAGAGGAAAAGCAAGACACAAAAATGGCTGTGTTCATCCCTGTACAGAGACAATCTGTTATCTGTATTTTTTCACTGTTCACACCCGTGGAGGTTAGGAAACGGCTGGGCTGAACAATCACACTCTCTAATTTAAGGCAGAGAGAGCCTGAAATTATTGGGTGCGAAATGCAAATAGCTTCAGCAGCTTTACTACTATTTATGTGGCCTTCAACTAGGCCTGCTAAAGTGGTTTTTTCTTTCTTTTTTATCTGAACATCTGGACATTTGTTGAGACTATTTAGCTCTGTGAAGTTGGCCTTATAATAGTAACAGCACATGACTCCCGTTAAGGCAGATCAGAGTTACCTTCACCGGCAGGAAGGGGTAGAACTCATCACTAAGACTTTTTCAGAGTTAAGGACTCAAGGCAGGGATTTTGGATATGTGCCTTCCTCTAGGTCTCAGATGCAAATGCATTGTTTAAGCAAAACTCAAAGTGTAGACAATCGAGGGAAGGTTCTTGCCGTTGCGGCTACTGGCAGTGTGTGGCGAGGGGAGTTGTTGCGGGTTTCCTGTTCGGTATATTTCCCAACAGGATATTAACCACTCATCAGAAGAGTTGCAGGGTCAGACATTTTATGCTAATTTTGGGATACACTGTGTTTGGGAACCAGTCAGAAATGAATGTAAAGCATCTGTAAATAATTGTCAAGTAAGTCACTTCTGAAATCATAATTCAAGGCCATGAAAGAGATATGACAACATATTTTCCATTCCTTCTCTCTCTGTTTTTTTTGTTTATTTTTTGTTTATTTTTTGTTTTTTTGTTTCGTTTGTTGTTTTTTGACAGGGCCTTGCTCTGTTGCCCAGGCTGGAGTGTAGTGGCACAATCTCAGCTCATTGCAACTTTCGTCTCCTAGGCTCAAGTTATCCTCCCTCCTCAGCCTCCCACCTCAGCTGGGACTACAGGTACGCACCACCAAGCCTGGTTAATTTTTGTATTTTTTGTAAAGATGGGATTTCACCATGTTGCCCAGGTTGGTCTTGAACCCCTGAGCTCAAGTGTTCCACCCACCTTGGCCTCCCAAAATGCTGGGATTACAGGCGTGAGCTACAATGCCCCGAGACTTTTCCATTCTTGTTCAGTGGTGTGTGAATTGTCTGTGGGGTATGACAGTAAGCTAAGGCCCAGACCTGGCTCTTCCACTTGCTCTCTGTGTGACCAGAAGCAAGCTGTGGAAGCCTTTTGAACTTCATTTTCTCTTTCTTTTTAAAAAAGAGCTGATGGTGATTTTAATCATTCCTCTCCATAACACAGGGATGTTGCAACTCAAATTAACATATAAGCAGAAAGTACTTTCAAAGTGTCAAAATGCTTCTTAAACCTGAAATAAGTATAAATGTTTATACAACTCTGTGCTACACATTATATAAATAATTAACACGTTTGATCTTTTCAGGAGCCCTAAAAGATAGTCTTATTATCCCCAATCTACAGATGAAGAAACTGACGCCCAGAGAGGTTTCTTTGCCAAGGTCAAAGCACATATAAAGCACATACTTGTCAGAGTTACCATGTGTTTTTAAAATTAAAAACCAACTCCTAACAAGTATTAAGTATAGTTTTTGACAGTCCCAGAGCTATTTTTTTTAAATGCCATGGTTATTACACAATTCTGGGTTCTGAGTTAAAAGATGGTTATACGGCTGATGACTTACTCTGAACTCCCATTCTTTGTCGAGGCTGGGAAAATGGCCTATCCGTTGTCAAGCTAGCGCAGCTCCCAGCACTCCCTGCAGGCTCTGAGAAGCTTCAAGTCCACAAGGGAGAGTCTCATACCGCCTCCACTGGAAGCTGCCCAGCTCAGTGGTAATAAAAATGCCCTTGCTATTGGCTTCCATCCTCCCATGTGCCTTCGAGGCTGCTTCTGTTGCCACTGCTGTTGCTAGTTTTGCTATGGAAAGGTATAATCACATTTTTCACATGTTAAATTATGAATGGTGGTGAATATTATGAATAACCCTATAATTTCTGGGGAGTTCAGAAAATTCACATGTATAAAAAAGGCAGGGCCGTGGAATGCAAGGTTAACGAAACAGCCAAGCAGAGCCTGATGTGCAGGACTGCGAACCTTAGCCCAGCCATTTCCATCCCAATTGTTGTGGGCTTTTTCTGTATTCCAAACAGACTGAAAAATACATTAGGTAAAATGACACCCATGTACACGCCAACCAGATCAAACATATTTAAAGCTTTACCATATCTATGCAGATCTCATTTTCTCCTAGAGAAGAAATGTTACAGATTTCTGCAGCCCCTCCCTCCCACCCATCCCTTTTTCACCTCTCTCCCTGGAGTAACCATTATCCTGAATTAGTGTGGATTGTCCTGTTCTCATTACAGGGCTGCTATAACAAAAGACCGCAAACTGGGTGACTTAAACAAAAGAAACATATTGCCTCACAGCTCTGAAGTCTAGAAGCCCAAAGTCAAGGTGTTGGCAGACCTGGTTTCTTCTGAGGGCTGTGAGAGGGGAGCTGTTCCAGGCCTCTCTCCTAGCTTGAGGCAGCTCCAGGCATGCCTTGGCTTGTAGCTGCATTGCTCTAATCCTCCATCTCCATATGATGCTCTCCTGAGTGTATACATCAGTTTCTGTCTGTGTGTGTTTGTCTCTGTGTCCAAATGTTCCTTTTTCATAACGACGCAGTCGTATTAGATCAGGGCCACCTGAGTGACCTCATCTTAATTAATTTAATCATCTGCAAAGACCATCTCCAAATAAGGTCACAATCACAGGTGCTGGGGATAGAACTTCAGCAGCCTTAGGGGAACACAAAGCCCATAACACACTCCTTGTATGTTTTTGCAAGGGATGTGACCACCTTTTGGCTCATTGATGATTCCATTAACATGAAGATTTGCAGCATTTGGACTCAGTATAGTTCCTTGTGTCTGTTCAGAAAGCCATATAAAAACATACGTAATTATGTATGAAAGTATATGTCATGGGGATGAATCCTAGTTCAAAATCCAACCAACTGTCCCAGTGGGGCTGAATCTTATCCCAGAAAGGCTCAGCAATGAAGCTTTAATGCACCTCACCTCCTAGAACAGAAGATACAAACCAGAGAATTTCCTTTATAGACAGGAAGATAAAATGTATCCCTCTTGCTTCAGCAGACTGGGAAAGAGTGTTTTGTGTGGGGCGATTACCTCTACGCAGCAGTAACACACTCCAGCATCTCATGGGCTCATCACAACAAAAGTTTGTTTCTTGTTCTTTTATGGCTCTTAGTTGTATCAAGCTGGAGGTGATAATTGACCCCAAATAGGCACCTAGACCCTACAAGAGAGTGGAATGGAATGTTTGGTAAGCACTAACTGTCTCATCTACAAAGGAAAGAAAGACAGATGTGTGTGCTCTTGCCTCCCCCTTCATACAATAAAACCTCAAATAGAGGAAACAATAGAAATATCTAGAGAAATGCAGACAAATTCAAGAATGTCAGGATTCCCAGGCCATAGCCTAGAGATGTTGTTATAGAAGCCACCATCATCTGCATGTTGGCATGGTGTGGAGTCTGGAGGGCAACCTTGCTGAAGGAAGGTGGCTGGGTAGATAAACCTAATGCAGGATTTATGAGGCTTTATGGCTGCTTAGAGAAACCAAAGAATTCTGAGGCTCCATGTGGCTCCACTGTGGGGATACAAAAATGGTAGAAAGACTGGTGGACAGACAGAGGCCCACAATCAAGACAGAGACTGCAGTGTGCAGGGCATTTGCAACCAGAAGCCGATGGTCCAGACCATAGATCCTAGAGATAGCAACAGGCACAAGGTCAACAGTTTCCAGTCCTGAGAGAGGGCTGCACTCCCTCCATCCTGGGCCCCAGCTCCACACAGCCCTCCCCACACCCAGAGGCATTAATCAGGGAAGAGAGAAGCATGGAAAAAGAGAAAACAATCTGAAAGATCAAGCATTTCCTCCAAAGAGACTGAGTCATTGGAAAACCAACTTACATTGGAAACAACTGCGACACTAAACACTGGCAAATTTAATTTTTCCTCTTATTTCCAACATGGTGAGGAAATTCTGAGAAAAACCAGATACAGCATAGAAAATAAAGAAGTTAGAATTTCTGTGCACATCTAAATACAGTGTAAGTAAATTTGCAACCCGGCAACATACACTAATTTAATTACTTTGCATGGAAAATCTAGATGTAGTCATGAGCATTGATACAGAAAAATCTAGTTTCCTTGAGTTCTTCAACTAGAAGGCAACATAGATGAATGGCTTTCCTGGGCGTTGTCTGTGACAGCTGTCTCGTTTCATTTTCTAATGTGTGAGGCTTCATCGGGAAATGTGCACTGTTAACTATTTGACCCATGGCAGGGCTGAGACCCGAGAGCTGACCAGGAGGTAACAGGGCAGGAAAAGGTGTTAGAACAGGGAATACGTGCCTCGTGCCAAAGAAAAGCAAAGAAACAGAAAGTTGAAGCAGGGAAATGGCAGGCTGAAGAGTGATCGTAACATATTGGAGTCCCGCATCCCAACTAAACAAATCAGAGAGATCCGCAATGCATAAGTAAATAATATATATAAAATAATATATAACAATAAATGCATAAATAATAAATACCTAAGTTGCTCATATACAAGTTGGCAGAGATTTGGCTATCCACAAGGAAATCCAGGGGTTTTCGTTGATGATGTATCTGGGAGGATTCCAGGATATGGTTCAGCTGTATGAAAAACAAATTAAAGAATCCTAGATTATACTAAAAAGGTCGTGAATGTTTATGATTGTTTGTGCTTATCAGATTGTACAGAATACTAATAAAGGATAGGAGACTGGACAAATATCCCAGCTCCTTCACCCATAGGTGAGACAACTCTGAGAGTAAGCTCTATATAGTGTCCCAGTGATCCAAAGCATGAATGACAAGCCCCAGCCCCCCTTGCTCATAGCAGTACATGCTCAGTAACACAGCCTGTATTAGTGTCTTCCCCTTCCCTGTTCTACTTCCTCACTTCCTACACATGCTTCCTGGGATCACCTTCCAAATACCCATCCCCATTTTAATCCTCTTCCGAGGGTCGCTTCTGGGAGAGCCCAGCCTAGGACACTACCATGTGGAGTCTCAAGTACCACAGTGAACGAAGGATATTGACAGGAGAAATTGTATCCCATGGGGAGAGACCCGAATAATCAAGGGTCTGGAAATGATGTCTCATGAAGAGCAATTAAAGAAACAAGGGACATTCAACCTTAGGAAGAGGAGATTTAGGGAATGCAAAAATCTTTAAGTCTGAAAGCCTGGTAAGAGAAAAAGAGAACAGCTTGGCATGTGTTGATCCAGAAGGTGACCATTAATGTGAGGATTTGGATGAAAGTCTGTGTTGGGGTAAACTGGGTGCTTCAGCTCTGGCAAATGGATGTGAATTGGAGGCAGCAAAGACTGACTAAAAAGACATGATCGTAATAGACTTAGGCTGTTTAGAGTGCAGATTAGTGTTGAGATAACTGTTTGAAGAATGTTGATGTCTTTTTTATGAAGAATGTCGATGCTTTTAAAATTAGATTGCTAATCAGGCGGCAGTCACAAGTCTGATTTTCTTTCTTAATCACTGAAGGCTGTCTCCTTTAGCCTTCTGGATGGCTACTTTTAATGAATTTAGTGTGCCTCAGTATTTCCAAGGGGACTCACTGACTGCTTGACAGCCTCCAATTTGTGAAGATGAGTATGATAATCACCCTCCTTTCACAAGGCATAGGATAAAGAGACTGAGCTTAAAGTGAAGAAAAGACAGAGGCGTCCAGCCACATTAAAAACCACATTCTCGAGAACTAATGTGAGTGTTGGAATGTGAATCTCTTGTATTAGTCATTGCAATTTAATATTTACTGCACATGAGTTACCATCTATTAAAATTTAGAGTAAAATATCTGGATGTGACTCATGTTATATAAAAAGTCAGAAAAATTTTGACTTAAAAATACACAATAGTAAAGTCCTTTTTTACCTTAAAAGATAAATTAAAATGTGCTATAGAAAATAAAATATGCTAACCAGATAAATCATGGCATGGACTAGCCCTTTCATTGGTTAGGATAATTTCTGTTGCAACTCACAGAAAATTTTACTAATAGTAGCCTACTTCATGGAGACACTTAGTGCTTACCTGACAAGGAATCCTGGGATTGGCCCACTGGCTCCCACGTGTCCTCAAGGATGTAGTTCTTCCTTTCCTTCCACTCTGCATCCTTCGCATATTCACTTTTCATCCTCAGATTTTCACCCCATGATAAAAAGATGGCTGCCTTGGTTCCATGCATCGCCTTCTCACAATAGAACATCCAACACTCCACATGAATGTTATAACCACATGATTCACCATTGCCTAAAGCTGGAAGCAACCAAGATGTCCTTCAACAGGCCAATGGATAAACAAAATATGGTATATCCATGTAATGGGTAAAAAGAAGTGAGCTACCTTTGGGAGGCCCAGGTGGGCGGATCACCTGAGGTCGGGAATTCGAGACCAGCCTGACCAACATGGAGAAACCCTGTCTCTGCTAAAGATACAAAAATTAGCCCGGCATGGTGGCGCATGCCTGTAATCCCAGTTACTTGGGAGGCTGAAGCAGGAGAATCGCTTGAACTTGGGAGGCAGATGTTGCGGTGAGCTGAGATCATGCCACTGCACTCCGGCCTGGGCAACAAGGGAGAAACTCCATCTCAAAAAAAAAAAAAAAAAAAAAAAAAAAAACCGAAGTGAGCTACCAAAAAAGAAATAAAGAAATGAGCTACCAAGCCACAGAAAGACATAGAAGAACTTTAAGTAATATTTTTACATTAAAAAGGGCATTCCGAAAAGCTCATTTACTGTGTAATTCCAACTATATGACATTCTGAAAAGAAAAAAAAGCAAAACTATGGAGACTGTAAAAGAATCAGTGTGGTCAGGAGTTCAGGAGGAGCTAGAGGGGTTGAATAGGTGGACCACACAGGATTTTAGGACAGTGAACCTATTCTGTATGATACTGTAATAGTGGATACATGACATTATGCATTTGGCAAGAATTCACAAGACGGAGTGCATCCTAATGTGAACTTTGGACTTTATTTAATAATAATGTATCAATATTGGCTCATCAATCTTAACAAATGTACCACATTAATGGACGATGTTAATGATAAAAGGATGGCAAGACACAGGCTTGGGGTGGGATAAGTATATGGAGTTCTTTGTACTATGCGCTCGATTTTTTTGTAAATCTAAAACTATACTAGAAAATGAAGTTTGTTAACTATAAAAAAATTAAATACAGAAAAGGAGGTAATGAGGTCAGAAATCCCACTCTATATTTCCTTCATTTTATTAGAGAGGAAAATCTTTGCCAGAAACTGCAAATGCATGTTCCTTAACATCTCATTGGCCAGCTGTGGGTCAATTCTAGCTGCTGGGGAGTGTGGGGGAGAGATTGGGAATGGCTGTTGAGTTGATAAACAAAGAGTCTGACACTGAACTTATCCCTGAAGGTGAGGAAATAATGCGGTAAGTACTCTAAGATTCTGCTGTTAATAACGTTAGTATGAAAAGAGGATTTTGGAATTCCAGTTTAAGTTAAATTTCAATAGAAGTTCACAAGTGAGCATCTTTTATTTTCTGATCAAAATAATGAAAACTAGATTTTTAAAAATAAAAAAACTTCGTAAAACATAAGAAACTTAGCTGAAAATAAAACTATCATGAGATTTTTAGAAAAATTCCACAATTAGTGCTCACTTTGGCAGCACATATACTAGAAAAATTTCACAATTAATAAGACATGTGGAGCAAAGATGAAATTGCAACCTGTCACTTGCAGAAATATTTTCTTATTTAAGAATGAATGAATGAATTTGGCTAGACACAGAGGCTCACATCTGTAATCCCAGCCCCTTGGGAGGCCAAGACAGAAGGATACCTTGAGCCCAGGAGTTCGAGACCAGCCTGCACAACATGGCAAAACTATGTCTCTACAAAAAAATACAAAAATTAGCCAGGCATGGTGGCATGCAATTGCAGTCCCAGCTTCTCGGGAGGCTGAGGTGGGAGGATTATCTGAGCCTGGGGAGGTTGAGGCTGAAGTGAGTCATGATCACACCACTGTACTCCAGCCTGGACTGCAGAGCAAGACTCTGTCTCAAAAAACAAAAAAAAATTATTAGTAAAGATGAGACTAATTTTCCCCCACTATCTACTGCCAAGTTCAGTGATAGAAGGTCTGTACTAACCAGAAAACTGAAAACCTGTTTCTCTCCACAAGACAGACGTTATCTAAGGTAAGTCCTATTTCAGCCATCCCATCATCCACCCCAATAACATCTTTCTACCTTTGTTTTGGAATTATGATACTCAATAATGGACTATGGCTAGCGAAGAAGGGATAAGCACCAACGTTCTCACTTCTGAGTGCTACAGACAGATAAGAAGGAACAGAAACATAAAGAAGTAACAGATCAGCACTTTGGGAAATCTCAGATTTTAAATCATTCTTTCTAGCAAGGAAAGAACTATAAACATTTGCCAGCCCTTACCTTATTATTTGAGAGAATTCTAACAACTAGGTGGGAGTAAAAGAATTAAAAAAAAAATCCATCCACATGATTTATGGAACACACCAGTCCTCAATAAACATTTCTTCATTCAAGGAACCGGCTAAATATGGGACCTATAAAAATATTCAGCTATCCTGTGGTCCCAGCTACTTGGGAGGCTGAGGCAGGAGAAAGGCGTGAACCAGGGAGGCGGAGCTTGCAGTGAGCCGAAATCGCGCCACTGCACTCCAGCCTGGGCGACAGAGCGAGACTCCGTCTCAAAAAAAAAAAAAAAACAAATATTCAGCTATATAGGAAAAAGAGTTCAGGCCTTTACACATCACGAGGAACAATAAATTTTAACAAATACTTATTGTAGGAAATGAGTACATTTTAGAAATCACCTGATGTGTGTTCTAAATAAATTCCCCCCAAAAAACAAACAAAAAACCCATAAATACCAGTACAAAAGATGATACACTATGATAACAGACTTTAAAGCAAACAAAGGAGAAATTGACAAGATAAAGAAAGACAAGAAAAATTAAAGTGTGGTAGCATTAAAAATTAAAAATTAAAATGGCACCATCGGCCGGGCCCAGTGGCTCATACCTGTAATCCCAGCACTTTGGGAGGCCGAGACGGGCGGATCACCTGAGGTCAGGAGTTCAAGACCAGCCCGGCCAACATGGTAAAACCCCGTCTCTACTAAAAATACAAAAAAAAAAAAAAAAAAAAAAAAAAAAAATTAGCTGGGCCTTGTGGTGGGCACCTGTAATCCCACCTAGTTGGGAGGCTGAGGCAGCGGAATCGCTTTAACCCAGGAGGCGGAGGTTGCAGTGAGCCAAGATCACACCATTGCACTCCAGCCTGGGCAACAAGAGTGAAACTCTGTCTCAACAAAATAAATAAATAAAATGGTACCATCTATGTGCTATTGCTTTTAAAAACCATCAAGATATAAACCAATAATCAAATGATATATTAAAATGTAGAATGGGAACATTGTGGTATTACAGAAATGGTGGGAGAACATAAAAACCAATAAAATATGGAATTAAAAGTAGACTACAAATATAAAACAATTTTGCAATAAAAGCATAGGGGTTACATAAGAATACACAATGGTTTTATAATAATTATCTGTGTTGAAAATCAGAGATTATAAATTGAAAAATCATGAAAGATTTTCAGGCAAGATGAATTGAAGTGGAAACATTCAAAAAGTCTATTTGTCCTGGCTGGGCACAGTGACATGCATGCCTATGTTCCCAGCTTCTCTGGAGACTAAAATGGAAGGATCACCTGAGGCCAGGCATTCAAGACTAGCCCGGACAACATAGTGAGACCCTATCTCTACCAAAAAAAAAAAAAAAAAGAAAAGAAAAAAAGTCAATTTTTCATAGAGGGAAACAGTAAATTCTGCCATTTATGATGCACATCATTAGAGAAATATAAATTTAAAAAGAATCTTTCAAACATAAAGTATCCTATAGAATCAGGATGTCATATAACAGTTTAGCAAAATATATATAAAAAATCAAAATAGGGAAAGAAAAAATAAGAAAGAATAAAATCAAACATAGGTTGTTACAATAAATAGGTACAGACTAACCTCTTTTCATTTGTCAAAAGAAATGCAATCCAACTGTATAGAGAGTGCAGGATTCAAGATTAAACAAAGCAACACAGAAACAATAAAGGACAAAAAATGAGTACAGATACATCAGGCAAATGCAAACTGAGACAAGTCAGATGACCCAAAATTAATATCACACAAATTATAACAAAAGGAAAAAAGCATTAAATGCAACAATTTATTCACAGTGAAGATATATTGCAGAAAACGCATACATTTTAGAAATCACCTGATTTGTCTTCTAAATAAATATCCTCCCCAAAACAAAAAAAAAAATCCATGAATAATAGCACAAAAAATGATCTAATACAATAACAGACTTTAAAGAAAAAAAGGCGAAATGGACAAGATAATGAAAGACAACAGGAAAAATTAAAGTGTCCTGAGTCTTTATTCAGAAAGGTGCAGCAGCTCTATGAAATAAATACTATATAAAACTCTTCCAAGGGACAGCCAAGAAAACTGGATTAAATATTCGGTAGGTTGATATGGTTTGAGTGTCTCCACCCAAATCTCATCTTGAATTGTATCTCCCCAAATCCCCACATATTGTGAAAGGGACCTGCTGGGAGGTAATTAAATCATGGGGGCAGGTTTCCCCATGCTCTTCTTGTGATAGTGAATAAGTCTCAGAGGCCTGATGGTTTTATAAAAGGCAGTTTCCCTGCACACACTCTCTTGCTTGCCTCCATGTAAGATGTGCCTTTGCTCCTCCTTCACCTTCCTCCATGATTGTGAGGCCTCCCCAGCCATGTGGAACTGTGAGTCCATTAAACCTCTTTTTCTTTATAAATTACCCAGTCTTGGGTATTTCTTCATAGCAGTATTAAAATGGACTAATACAGAGGTGTATTCCTGGGGTAGAGGGATTAGTATTGTAGAGACATCAATTCTCTCCAGAATAATACATTAATTTAATGCAAACTCCATCAACTCCCCCCGACCTCAAAATATTGTTTCTGGAACTTGACAAAATTATTTGAAAGTTCCTATGGAAGAACAAAATAGATGAGAACAACAAAGTAATATTTAACAAAAAGATTAAGCAGCAGGTTTTGTGCTGCCACATAATTAACATAGGCACACTTGGCAGTGCTTCCCATTGCCATTTTCTCTCATTGTGGTTCCCTCCCACTCTCCACAGTGGCTACCTTGACCCTCAAGCCAGCATCCTCCCCACCCACTCTAGCCCATTCCCAGACTTCCCTCATACTTCATAGAGAAGAAGAGAAGAAAGAAGCCTACAGGTGGACATTCCCGTATCTTTGCTTCCATTCCTTTTTTCTCTTACTGTGGAGAAATTTTAACTCCACTTATCAAAGGCATCATGTTCTGGATCCCACATTCACTTTAATTCTCAAGGATTTCCTTACTCTCTCTGTCTCTTTCTTTCTCCTGGATTATTACCATCAGTTGAGAAACATTCTTTAATGTCTCTAATAACAACAACAACGACAACAACAAAAAATCTTTAAGTGGATTCCTAGGATACCACCTTATTCTTTCTCCCAATGGCCAACATTCTTCAAATGAGAACAAGATTTCGTTTTCTTTAAAAATCAGGTTTTACTTTTACCCTAATCTGATTTCTACCTCCCACATGGCCACCAAAATTGCTATTGCCTGTGTTCCAGGGACATTTTTTTTTTTTTTTTTTTTTTTTGAGATGGAGTCTCACTCTGTCGCTCAGGCTGGAGTGCAGTGGTGTGATTTCGGCTCACTGCAACCTCTGCTTCCCGAGTTCAAGTGATTCTCCTGCCTCAGCCTCCTGAGTAGTTGGGATTACAGGCACCTGCCACCGTGCCTGGCTAATTTTTGTATTTTTAGTAGAGACGGGGTTTCATCATGTTGGCCAGGCTGGTTTTGAACTCCTGACCTCAGGTGATCCACCCACCTCGGCCTCTCAAAGTGCTGGGATTACAGGCATGAGCAACTGTGCCCAGCTCTGTACTCCAGGGACATATTGATGCCAATCGATTCTCTTTCATTTTTCTCTTACCAAAGGTCTCAGCAATGTTCTACTCAACACCTTCCTCCATGAAATACCTCACCCTTTGGTCTGGTGACTCCATTCTTTGCTGTTTTCATTCCACTTCTTGGTGCTATTTTTCCATTCTCCTGAGGTCCCTGGTCCTAATCTCTAAAGGTTGGAATTATTTATTCAGGGCTTGGTCTTGTGTTTGCTTCTCTTTTTACTAGTCTCCTATAAGATCTAATCACTTTGCTCTTCCCAATATCTCCCAGCCCACAATTCTCTTCTAAACTGGACTAGCACCATCAACTGCAGTAGCTCAGCACATTTCACAGCCATCTGCATGTGCTTCTGTTTAAAACAGAACTTCCATTTCCACCCTACTCATGATCTGGTTCCATCTTTTGTCTACTTTTTCTTTGCACTTGACACCACAATATTGCTGTTTCTCAGACTAGAAAACTTCAAGTCACTCCTTGCACCTGTCTTTTCTTCACCTCCACATTTAATCAGTCACTAATATTGCTAGTTCTACCTTCTAAAGAGTTCATGAATTGATCAATCTATTTCCTTTCTATTAACAACCACCTTATATCATGTAGTCATCATTTCTCTGCAGACTGGTCTTTCCTTTGCTCTTGACCACCTGCAAACTTGTCTTCACTCAATAGCCACGGTTATTTTAAACAAAAACAGAAAGGAGAAGAAGTCTGATCACTGAGCTCTTCTGATTAGAGCTCTTTAATGGTTTGCTTAGACACAGAATCCGAGGCCTTTGGTTCATTGTGGCTGTCACTATTTGTAATGATATAGTTATTGCTGTGCTTCCTCGGTTAGCGTCTGTCTCCCCCGCTCAGCTGTAAGATCCATGAGGTCAGGGGCTGTGTCTTTTGGTTTATTCATATGTCTCAATCTTTAGCTAAGATAGGGCATAGAAAGGGCAGGTGCTCGCTAAACAGTTTGATTCATTGAAGTGCTAACACTGGCATAATTTCAACAGTGTGGTATTTCAGCAATAAGAGACTGTACATCAAACGGAATATAAAATCAAGAATTACAGCCACATACGTGAAATTATTTACTATTAGATGGAAATAGCATATACAAATAATTTACAATGACTAAATTATTCAATAATCCCTTCCAGAAAAAAACTGAATAATTGAGGGAAAAAATCAATCTCTATATCATGCCACATGTAAAAATGATAAATGTTAAAGTACATTATAAAATAATTAGAAGAAAACATAGGTGAATATCTTATAATTATTATACAGGGCAATTCGAAGCATAATTCTGAAGAAATCATTTTTTAAAAAAGAAAAACATAAACGTGTAAGAAGAGCCTTAAAAGGTTTTTATACTCTCACACTATTCTTTTATATTCTGGAAATCTATACTAAAGAATTGTGAAAAATTGGTGCTAAAATGTATATTTGAAGATATTTGTGCACTAGATTTAATAACAGAAAGAAATTAGAAATGATTTAAATATAGAATACTGGGAACATAGTTAAATAATTATGACACACACACAAACAAAACAATACTACACAGACATTCTAGATTGAATCTTTTTTTTTTTTTTTTTTTTGAGACAGAGTTTCTGCTCTTGTTGCCCAGGCTGGAGTTCGGTGGCGCAATCTTGGCTCACTGCAACCTCCGCCTCCCGGGTTCAAGTGATTCTCCTGACTCAGCCTCCCAAGTAGCTGGGATTACAGGCAGGTGCCACCATGCCCAGCTAATTTTTGTAGTTTTAGTAGAGATGGGTTTTCACCATGTTAGTCAGGCTGGTCTCGAACTCCTGACCTCAGGTGATCCACCTGCCTTGGCCTCCCAAAATGCTGGGATTAGAGGCATGAGCCACCACGTCCATCTTCTAGATTGAATCTTGAGGAATGAGAAATGAAAAAGAAATGTTCCCAAGGAAGTGTTAAGTGAAGAAAATGTGCTCCAAACAAAAAATAAAGTACAAGTTTATTGTTCAAATTTAAAAATATATAAACACTTAAAGAAAATACACTAAAATATTTCCCAAACTATATAAATTGACTATGCATTAATTTTACAATCAGAAAACAGCAGATGTTCTTTTTTAAGATCTAAATAGCTCAGTAGAGACATAGCAGGTGAATATTAAATCACAAAAGTTAAGTTCTAAAACATCTTTTTCATATTTTCCAAATGCACTTTAAAATAATGTTTGTCAAGCTATGAAAATTGAAAATGGAAAACATGTAAGAGAAAATTCACAAATTTGGCCTGCTGTCATTGAAAATTTTATGTTAAAAGAAATATAAGTTGAATAGAAAACAATAGGATACTTGGGAAGCTACATCCAAAAAAGATTGTCTTTACCAACATTCAGTGATGGCAAAGTAAGTATGATGAATGCAGAATCCCTGTATTTTTATTGATCTATTAAAATCCTATTAAACATCTAGCATGTTCAAGACACTGCAGAGGACATTACGAAGGTAAAAGCCAAGTCCCTTGAAGAGTTTCTAAGGATTTTAAACAGTTGCTTAGATGTTAGGACAGTCAGGCATCTGTTTATTATTTTATGTGAATAACCTCCTTCATCCAACAGAGTTGGGTTTTTTCCTTACTTTTCCATTTTCTGCAACATCTCAATGTACTCATTTTCTAGAAGGAACCCAAGACCCAAACAGCCACAAATGTTTGCTGGGCTCACTGGTTAAGAATGGTTGGTGGTTTGCAAAATATAAATAGAAGAAAAACTATAACCAGTTTCAGCCAGTCTGACGCCACTGAAAAACTGATGAATAAATAATGAGAGTGTCCTATATCTTTCATTAATTCAGATATGGAGCCCTTAACTGGTGGGGCTCACAGAGTTCTGCCCCCATCACAGGCATTTTCATCCAACATCAAATGCAAGAAATCCTGGCTGCTCTATTTGCGGCTTTGGGGGAATTCAGTGTTTCAAAATGGTGCCTTCCAGGAAAGAAACTCCCAAAAGCTGTTATTTTTCCTCAGTGGAAATTGTTCTCATGTGCCTAAAGTTATTAAATTAGCACCATCTTTTTCTATTTCATCCTTTCTTTCTCTCTCTCTCTCTTGGAAAGCTTGCCCACTTCTCTCTTATTTGCAACCCTGAACGAGGCACTGAAGGTTCCAGGGGATTCTGAATGGCTCTGTGGATGGAATCCCAGTTACAGGCCAAAGAGATCTGCTTTATTTGGTACGAAAGAAACTGTGGTCCAGGTCATTAAAAGTTATTCATCAATTTAGAGCTGATAACGTACGTTGCTACTTTGCTTAGTAGGACATTTTCACATCACATCCATTGGCCAACCTAAACTTCACAGGAACCCACTAAGTTAAGGGCAAGGCAAATTCTTATTACCATTTTGCATAAGCATCAAGAATTTAAAAATTTTCATCAAAGCCGCACAGCTTAGTAAATGTCAGATACCATGACAAAATTCAGAATGTCTGTTCTAAAAGTAGGTAGTTCTTCCACTCTCTCATACTGTCAATAGTAGATGCGTTCATTCCTAGGCAACTCTTTACTGAGCATCTACTATAAGCCAGGTCCTCCTTAGACCCAACAGTGAATGGCACAGAAAAGCCCCTTGTCCTTGGGAAGCTCAAATTCCAGTGAGGGAAAGAAAACAAAAAAGCAAAAATATAAATAAAATTACAGGAAGTGCTATGTGGGATAAAGCATGGCTAGGGAAGGAGGACTACTTTAATGAACGTGGTGAGAAATTCAGGATTTTTTGAGGGGTAACATTTGAGCTCACCTCCAGATGACAAGCAGCAGCCAGCCATGTGAAGACCCAGGGGAAGAATGTTCCAGGCAGAGGGAACAGCAAATGAAAAGGCCCTGAGACAAGAACAAACTTAGCATGTCTCTGGGACAATAAAATAACCAGTGTAACACAGGGATAAGAAAATAGGGAATGTTGATTATTTTTTAAAGTAAGTTGGAAATGTAGGCAAGATCAGACAGGTTAGGGTAAGGGGTTTGCGCTTTATTCCTGGTGCAGTGGAAAGCCATGGAAAGATCTGAGACAGAAACTACTATCTGATTAACAAACTTTAAGGATTCCTCTGACTGCTATGTGAAGAATAGAATGGATTCTGTTAATACAAGAGTGGAGGCAGGGCGCGGTGGCTCACGCCTGTAATCCCAGCACTTTCTGAGGCTGAGGCGGGTGGATCACCTGAGGTCAGGAGATCGAGAACAGCCTGGCCAAGATGGTGAAATCTCATCTCTACTAAAAATACAAAAAAATTAGCTAGACGTGGTGGTGGGTGCCTGTAGTCCCAGCTACTCAGGAGGCTGAGGCAAGAGAATCTCTTGAACCCGGGCGGCGGAGGTTGGCAGTGAGCCGAGATTGCACCACTGCACTCCAGCCTGGGTGACAGAGCAAGACTCTGTCTCTATTAAACAAACAAACAAACAAACAAACAAACAAAAAAACAAGAGTGGAAACATAAAGACCAGCTAGGAGAACACCCCAGTGACCCAAGAAAGGGATATGGTACTTGGACCAGGGTGGAAATTGTAGGGGTGGGGAGATGTGAGTTGATTTGGGGTGCATTTTGGAAGGAGAGCTGACTAGCATTTCTGATAGGTTAGATAGTAATGGGAGGAGGTGGGGAAGAAAGAATACAGGGTAATTCCTAAATATTTGACCTTTGTAATGGATGATCTGTTTATTATTCATTAATCCTTTTATTTATTCAAGTATTTGAGTACCTACTACACACCTATTACAAGTTAAGTACTATGCAGTACTTAACCTCCCGAAAAGACGTGATCCATGCCCTCACAGAGCTTGTAGACTAGCAGGCAACGTGGACAATTGAGGTATAACCCAATGTGATAGGTTCTATGATGCAGCAGGGGGTCTGGCCAACCAAACTGGGCCTGGAGAAGGGGGAAGTGACATTTTGGCTGAGTCCCCAAAGAGAAGTGGGAGGAAGCCAGGCTAACAGCCATTCTACTCAGGGGAAACCACATTAGCAGAAGTGGGAGACCCGGGCACTCAGGGAACAGAAAGCCACTCAGTACTGCCAGAGTCAGTGTGCAAGAGGGACTGGCAGTAAGCTGGAGACATGAGCAAGAAGCAGGCGACAAAAAGGAGTTTGGCCTTTGGAAAGTGTTAAAAGAAAAACTTCATCTGAGTTAGATTTAAAGGAGCTTAATTGAGCAATGAACGATGCACGAATTCGGCAGCCCTCAGAATCACAGCAGATTCAGAGAAACTCCAGCGCGGCCACATGGTGGAAGATTTATAGACAAAAAAAGGGAAGTGACGTGCAGAAATAGGAAGTGAGGTACAGAAACAGCTGGATTAGTTACAGGTTGGCGTTTGCCTTATTTGAACACAGTTTGAACACTCAACAGTGTGTGAGTGGTTGAAGCATGGCTGCTGGGGTTGGTCAAGACTCAGCTATCGTTACTGGTGCATACTCCTTAGTTAGGTTTTCAATCTTTTCTATCAAGTTAGGTTATGGTTCATCCACAAGGACTCAAATATAGAAGTACAGAGTCCTTCTCAGGTCATATTTAGTTTGCTTTAACAAAGGGAAAGGGAAAGCAAAACATGGTTATAGCCAGGACAGAGATGATGTGATTTGTGTTTCAGAACCATGTGTTCGATCTGAAGAGAGCAAACTGCAGAGTATTGTCTACAGCATGACCTCATGTTTGTTAAAACTAGAAAAAAAAATCTGTGTATACACATAAAACACACACACACACACACACACACACACAACCTGTATGTGTGTTCACATACAGCTATATTATATTATGAACCCAAAATATCTGAGACAGGTCTCAATGAATGTTTCAGGAGGTCCTGACAACAAGTGCGCAAGGTGATCAGCGTACAGCTTGATGTTATACATTTTAGGGAGACATAATACATTCGGGACAACTCAAAGTGGGAGGAGTTTCAGGTTATAGGTAGATTTAAAATTTTCTGATTGGCAATTTGAAAGAGTTATTATCAGTAGAAAGGAATGTCTGGGTTAGGATAAGGGGTTATGGAGACCAAGGTTTTATCAGATGAAGCCTCCAGGTAGCAGTCTTCAGAGAGAATAGATAGTAAATGTTTCTTATCAAACTTACGGTCTGCGTTGATATTACTGCCGGAAAGGTATAATGACCCCCTCTTTCATCAGGGCCTAAACTAGATTTTCAGGTTAACTCCACAATGCTCCTGGCCGAGAGGAGGGGTCATTCAAATGGATGCCAGGCTTAGAATTTCATTTTTGATTATATACAATTTGTAAAAGTATTTAAATAGGTGAAGAAAAAAAGGTGGAAAGATACACAATAAATATAACATTAGTGGCCACAGAGGTGTGGAAAGAGAAGGAGGAGCTTATTTTTTTTTAATGTAACTTCTTATGTTCAAAAGCACATATTTCCTGGTTAATTATTTTTTTTTTCTGATTTTTTAAAATACACTTTAAGTTCTGGGATGCATGTGCAGAATGTGCAGGTTTGTTACATAGGTATACATGTGTCCCGGTGGTTTGCTGCACCTATCGACCGGATATCTAGATTTTAAGCGCCGCATGCAGTAGGTATTTTTTCTAATGCTCTCCCACCCCTTGCTCCGGATTCCCTGACAGGCCCCGGTGTGTGATGTTCCCCTCCCTGTGTCCATTTTTTCTCATTGTTCAACTCCCACCTATGAATGAGAGCATGCAGTGCTTGGTTTTCTGTTCCTGTGTTAGTTTGCTGAGAATGATGGTTTCCAGCTTCATCCATGTCCCCGCAAAAGACATGAACTCATTTTTCTTGTGGGTGCATAGTATTTCATGGTGTATATGTGCTAAGTTGTATCAGTCTATCATTGATGGGCATTTGGGTTGGTTCCAAGTCTTTGCTATTGGAAATAGTGCTGCAATAAACATACATGTGCATGTGTCTTTATAGTAGAATGATTCATAATCCTTTGGGTACATACCCCTGTAATGGGATTGCTGGGTCAAATTGTATTTCTGGTTCTAGATCCTTGAGGAGTCGCCACACTATCTTCCACAATAGTTGAACTAATTTACATTCCCACCAACAGTGTAGAAACATTCCTGTTTCTCCACAGCCTTGCCAGCATCTGTTGTTTCCTAACTTTTTAATGATTGCCATTTTAACTGGCATGAGATGCTATCTCATTGTGGTTTTCATTTGCATTTCTCTAATGACCAGTGATAATGAGCTTTTTTTCATATGTTTGTTGGCTGCATAAACATCTTCTTTTGAGACATGTCTGTTCATATGTGTCACCCACTTTTTGATGGGGTTGTTTTTTTTCTTGTAAATTTGTTAAAGTTCCTTGTAGATTCTGGATATTAGACCTTTGTCAGATGGATAGATTGCAAAAATTTTCTCCCATTCTGTAGGTTGCCTGTTGACTCTGATGGTAGCTTCTTTGGCTGGGCAGAAGCCCCTTAGTTTATCCCACTTGTGAATTTTGGCTTTTGTTGCCATTGCTTTTGGTGTTTTAGTCATGAAGTCTTTGCCCATGCCTATGTCCTGAATGGTATTGCCTAGGTTTTCTTCTAGGGTTTTTATGGTTTTAGGTTTTACGTTTAAGTCTTTAATCCATCTTGAGTTAATTTTTGTAAAAGGTATAGGGAAGGGGTCCAGTTTCAGTTTTCTGCATATGGCTAGACAGTTTTCCCAGCACCATTTATTAAATATGGAATCCTTTCCCCATTGCTTGTTTTTGTCAGGTTTTTTGAAGATCAGATGGTTGTAGATGTGTGGTTTTATTTCTGAGGCCTCTGTTCTGTTCCATTGGTCTATATATCTTTTTTGGTACCAGTACCATGCTGGTTTGGTTACTGCAGCCTTGTAGTATAGTTTGAAGTCAGGTAGCATGATGCCTCCAGCTTTGTTCTTTTTGCTTAGGATTTTCTTGGCTATGTGGACTTTTTTTGGTTCCATATGAAATTTAAAGTAGTTTTTTCTAATTCTGTGAAGAAAGTCAATGGAAGCTTGATGGGAATAGCATTGAATATATAAATTACTTTGGGCAATATGGCCATTTTCACAATATTGATTCTTCCTATCTATGAGCATGGAATGTTTTTCCATTTGTTTGTGTCCTCTCTTATTTCCTTTAGCAGTGGTTTGTAGTTCTCCTTGAAGAGGTCCTTCAAGTCCCTTGTAAGTTGTATTCCAGGGTATTTTATTCTCTTTGTAGCAATTGTGAATGGGAGTTCACTCAGGATTTGGCTCTCTGTTTGTCTATTATTGGTGTATAGAAATGCTTGTGATTTTTGCACATTGATTTTGTATCCTGAGACTTTGATGAATTTGCTTATCAGCTTAAGGAGTTTTTGGGCTGAGATAGTGGGGTTTTCTAAATATACAATCATGTCATTGGCAAACAGAGACAATTTGGCTTCCTCCTTTCCTATTTGAATACCCTTTGTTTCTTTCTCCTGCCTGCTTGCCCTGGCCAGAACTTCCAATACTATGTTGAATAGGAGTGGTGAGAAAGGGCATCCTTGTCTTGTGCCAGTTTTCAAAGGGAATGCTTCTAGCTTTTGCCCATTCAGTGATATTGGGTATGGGTTTGTCATAAATAGTTCTTATTATTTTGAGATATGTTCCATCAATACCTAGTTTATTGAGCGTTTTTAGCATGAATGGGTGTTGAATTCTGTCAAAGGCCTTTTCTGTGTCTATTGAGATAATCGTGGTTTTTGTCATTGGTTCTGTTTATGTGATGGGTTACGTTTATTGATTTGTGTATGTTGAACCAGCTTTGAATCCCAGGGATGAAGCTGACTCAATTTTGGTGGATAAGCTTTTTGATGTGCTGCTGGATTCAGTTTGCCAGTATTTTATTGAGGATTTTTGCATCGATGTTCATCAGGGATATTGGCCTGAAATTTTCTTTTTCTGTTGTGTCTCTGCCAGGTTTTGGTATCAGGATGAGGCTGGCCTCATAAAATGAGTTAGGGAGGAGTCCCTCTTTTTCTATTGTTTGGAATAGTTTCAGAAGGAATGGTACCAGCTCCTCTTTCTACCTCTGGTAGAATTTGGCTGAGTCCCTGTGGTCCTGGACTTTTTTGGTTGGTAGGCTATTAATTACTGCCTCAATTTCAGAACTTATTATTGATCTATTCAGGGTTTGACTTCTTCCTAGTTTAGTCTTGAGAGGGTGTGTGTCCAGGAATTTATCCATTCTTCTAGATTTTATTCTTCTAGATTTTCTAGTTTGTTTGCATAGAGGTGTTTATAGTATTCTCTGATGGTAATTTGTACTTCTGTGGGATCAGTGGTGATATCTCCTTTATCATTTTTTATTGTGTCTATTTGATTCTTCTTTCTTTTCTTCTTTATTAGTCTGGCTAGCAGTCTATCTATTTTGTTAATCTTTTCAAAAAACCAGCTCCTGGATTCATTGATTTTTTGAAGGGTTTTTTTGTGTCTCTATCTCCTTCAGTTCTGCTCTGATCTTAGTTATTTTTTGTCTTCTGCTAGCTTTTGAACTGGTTTGCTCTTGCTTCTCTAGTTCTTTTGTGATGTTGGGGTGTCAATTTTAGATCTTTCCTGCTTTCTCCTGTGGGCATTTAGTGCTATAAATTTCCCTGTAAACACTGCTTTACCTGTGTCCCAGAGATTCTGGTATATTGTCTCTTTGTTCTCACTGGTTTCAAAAAACTTATTTATTTCTCCCTTAATTTCATTACTTACTCAGTAGTCATTCAGGAACAGTTTGTCCAGTTTCCATGCAGTTGTGCGGTTTTGAGTGAATTCCTTAATTCTGAGTTCTAGTTTGGTTGCACTGTGGTCTGAGAGACTGTTTGTTATGATTTCTGTTCTTTTGCATTTACTGAGGAGAGTTTTACTTCCAATTATGTGGTCAATTTTAGAATAAGTGCTATGTGGTGCTGAGAAGAATGTATATTCTATTGATTTGGGGTGGAGAGTTCTGTAGGTGTCTGTTAGTTCTGCTTGGTCCAGAGCTGAGTTCAAGTCCTGAATATTCTTGTTAATTTTCTGTCTTGTTGATCTGTCTAATATTGACAGTGGGGTGTTAAAAGTCTCCAACTATTATTGTGTGCAAGTCTAAGTCTCTTTGTAGGTCTCTAGGAACTTGCTTTATGAATCTGGGTGCTCCTGTGTTGGATGCATATATATTTAGGATAGTTAGCTCTTCTTGTTGCATTGATCCCTTTACCATTATGTAATGCCCTTCTTTGTCTTTTTTGATCTTTCTTGGTTCAAAGTCTGTTTTATCAGAGACTAAGATTGCAACCCCTGTTTTTTTTTTTTTTTTCTTTCCATTTGCTTGGTAAGTATTCCTCCATCCTTTTATTTTGAGCCCATGTGTGTCTTTGCACGTGAGATGGGTCTCCTGAATACAGCACACTGATGAGTCTTGACTCTTTATCCAATTTGCCAGTCTGTGTCTTTTAATTGTGACATTTAGCCCTTTTACATTTAAGGTTAATATTGTTACATGTGAATTTAATCCTGTCATCATGCTGCTAGCTGGTTATTTTTGCACATTAATTGATGCAGTTTTTTCACAGTGTTGTTGGTCTTTATATTTTGGTATGTTTTTGCAGTGGCTGGTACCGGTTTTTCCTTTCCATATTTAGTGCTTCTTTCAGGAGCTCTTGTAAGGCAGGCCTGGTGGTGACAAAATCCCTCAGCATTTGCTTGTCTGCAAAGGATTTTATTTCTCCTTCACTTATGAAGCTTAGTTTGGCTGAATATGAAATTCTGAGTTGAAAATTCTTTTCTTTAAGAATGTTGAATATTGGCCTCCACTCTCTTCTGGCTTGTAGGGTTTTTGGGGAGAGATCCATTGTTAGACTGATGGGCTTCCCTTTGGGGGTAACATGAGCTTTCTGTCTGGCTGCACTTAACATTTTTCCTTCGTTTCAACCTTGGAGAATCTGACCATTATGTGTCTTGGGGTTGCTCTTCTTGAGGAGTATCTTAGTGGTGTTCTCTGTATTTCCTGAATTTGAATGTTGGCCTGTCTTTCTAGGTTGGGGAAAGTCTCCTGGATAAATACCCTGAAGTGTGTTTTCCAACTTGGTTCCATCCTCCCCATCACTTTCAGGTACACCAATCAAGCATAGGTTTGGTCATTTCACATAGTCCCATATTTCTTGGAAGCTTTGTTTGTTCCTTTTCATTCTTTTTTCTCTAATCTTGTCTTCACACTTTATTTCATTAAGTTGATCTTCAATCTCTGATATCCTTTCTTCTGCTTGATCAATTCAGTTATTCATACTTGTGTATGCCTCACAAAGTTCTCGTGCTGTGCTGTTTTTCAGCTCCATCAGGTCATTTATGTTCTTCTCTAAACTGCTTATTCTAGTTAGCAGTTCCTGTAACATTTTATGAAGGTTCTTAACTTCCTTGCATTGGGTTAGAACAGGCTCCTTTAGCTCAGAGAAATTTGTTATTACCTAATCTCTGAAGCCTACTTCTGATAATTCATCAAACTCATTCTCCATCCAGTTTTGTGTCCTTGCTGGAGAGGAGCTGCGATCATTTGGAGGAAAAGAAGCATTCTGGTTTTTGGAGTTTTCACCCTTTTTGAGCTAGTTTTTCCTCATCTTTGTGGATTTATCTACCTTTGATCTTTGATGCTGAAGACCTTTGGATGGGGTTTTTGTGTGGGTGTCCTTTTTGCTGATGTTGATGGTCATTGCTTTCTGTTTGTTAGTTTTCCTTCTAACAGTCAGGCCCCTCTTCTGCAGGTCTGCTGGAGTTTGCTGGGGGTCCAGTCCAGATCCTGTTTGCCTGCATATCACCAGTGGAGGCTGCAGAACAGCAAAGATTGCTGCCTGCTTCTTCTTCAAGAAGCTTCATCCGAGAGGGGCACCCACCTGATGCCAGCTGGAGCTCTCCTGTATGAGGTGTCTGTCAACCCCTGCTGGAAGTTGTCTCCCAGTCAGGAGGCATGGGGTGAGGGAGGAGGCAGTCTGTCCCTTAGCAGAGCTCAAGTGCTGTGCTGGGAGATCCACTGCTCCCTTCAGAGCTGACAGGCAGGAATGTTTAAGTCTGTTGAAGCTGCTCCCACAGCCACCCCTTCCCCCAGGTGCTCTGTCCCAGGGAGATAGGGGTTTTATCTATAAGCCTCTGACTGGGGCTGCTGCCTTTCTTTCAGAGATGCCCTGCCCAGTGAGGAAGAATCTAGAGAGGCAGTCTGGCCACAGCTGCTTTGCCATGCTGTGGTAAGTTCCGCCCAGTCTGAACTTTCTGGCAGCTTCTTTAATACTGTGAGGGGAAAACCACCTACTCAAGCCTCGGTAATGGCAGATGCACCTCCCCTCACCAAGCTTGATCATCCCAGGTCAACTTCAGACTGCTGTGCTGGCAGGCAAGAATTTCAAGCCACTGGTTCTTAGCTTGCTGGGCTCTGGGAGTGGGACCTACTGAACAAGACCACTTGGCTCCCTGGCTTCAGCCGTCTTTCCAGAGGAGCAAAAGGTTCTGTCTCCCTGGGGTTCCAGGCATCAATCGGGTATGAAAAAACACTTCTGCAGCTAGCTCAGTGTCTGCCTGAATGACCGCCTAGTTTTGTGCTTGAAACCCAGGGCCCTGGTGATGTAGGCACAAGAGGGAATCTCCTGGTCTGTGGATTGCAAAAACCATGGGAAAAGCAGAGTGTCTGGGCTGGATAGCACAGTCCCTCACAGCATCCCTTGGCTAGGAGAGGTAGGTCTGTAGCCCCTTGCACTTCCTGGGTGAGGCAATGCCCCACTCTACTTCTGGTCACCCTCCATGGTCATCCACTGTCTAACCAGTCCCAGTGAGATGAACCAGGTACCTTGGTTGGAAAAGCAGAAGTCATCCACCTTCTGTGTTGTTCTCACTGGGAGCTGCAGACTGGAGCTGCTGCTATTCAGCTGTCTTGCCAGATTAAAAAAAAAAAGTTAATTATTTTAATATTATAAAGGAATCATTTTAAAAGCACAACTCTATGTTAGAATTAATTGAAAAATCACTTTGAAGAACAAATAAATTGAAAGTGGGTCAACCAGGTAAGGAGTTATTGCAGCAACAAAGGCCAGAGAAGACAGTGGGGTCAACTACTTTGGGAAAGAACACTGGGAAAAGACTGAAAGGAGAAAAGTCACTTAAATTCAGGGTGTGATGTGTAGAATCTTCAGGACTGGGAGACTAATCAGCTGTTGAGAGTACAAGGTGGTGCTTTTCACTGAAATAGAAACACTCATGTCGAGAGGAGTTAGCAAGTTAACTGTTACATGGTATATTGTGAGCACTGAGCTCAGAGAGGTGTCTAAGCTGTTGTTGCATAAATTTGAGAGACACCAGTCACTGATATTCACCACAGCAGGGAGTGTGGAGCCAGGAGAGGAGAGGGCAGGGAGTGTGGAGCCAGGAGAGGAGAGGGTTTGGTGGCAAGTCTTGGAAAATCTCAAATAAGAAGTGGGCAAGGGTGCGGCCACCATAGAGGAGTCTGCTATCTCTCCAGAGAAGAAGCCAGGATCCTCCCCAGGAAGAATTGCCCAGACTCCTAAAATAGTTACTCCACAACTGGTTTTGTCTTTGTAACAAAAAAATAAGTTTTTCAACAACACATGAGCCCAGATTAGAATAAACTTGAGCTCTACACAATGATCAAATGAGTGTGGTCGACTGATAAGCCTAGAGCCTCCTTGACTTGAATGAGTGATGACTATCTGGGCTGGTGGTATGGGAGTAAATGAATTTACCAAGATAATTGTCGGCAAAGAAAAGCAGATTCATTAGAGAAAGTAGGAAAATGTTTTGTGAGGAGTCAATGGGCAGACCAGCAGAGAAGCTGACTGCAAAGAAGCAGAGACTTACTAGAGATTTTATAGTGCAGAGTTTATGCTGTATGCTGAGGGGGGCTTTGTGCAGTACTGATAATGCCAAGGTTGCAGTGAGCTAACTTGCAGGTGTCTGGTGATATTTGGGCGCAGAAGAGCTTATGTGTTTTGGACCACGAAGAAAGGCAGACTTGTGGCTTTTCTGCTTCTTTTTGTTTGTTTCTTTTCCCCTCCTCCCACCAGCTTGACTCCTAATGACAGAGAAGATGTGCAGGAGGCAGGAACGCACCATGGCACTGAAAAGTAAAAAGTGATGTGGTTGATGGGTCAGGAATTATGGAGATTCCTAGGAAAAAGTTAGGCGACTAGAGAAAACAGGAGCAAAAACATGCACATGGAGGACCAAAGGAGGACAAAGTCGCTCAGAGCACAAAGGTGGGAGTGTTGTGGCCCTAAGAGGACCTGCGATAACCCTTGGGAGGTGAGGGGTCTCCAGCTGGTTGGTGGCTTCTCTCCTATGCATTAGGGAGTCAGTCACAAGTAGCACCCTGGGTGGTCAAGAGTGACCCATAACCAGAAGACTGACCCGCATTGGGAACTCCATGAGCTATTGCAACAGCCACTATTTCGCATCCCCGACCCCGTCCCCCATCACTGAGTGCCATGCCCCACTCCATCTCCAGGCCTCTCTCTTCACCCCTACTCCGCAGTCCCTGGAGGCACTGATGCCACACAGATCATAGATAAGCCTTCACAGGGTGTTTGATGTGGAATTTAAACACAGAAATTAAACAACAAACCTGAATTTACTTAGAAATGGCAACACTGAGAACGCTCCAGGTTAAAATCCAAGTGTGGCCAAAGTTGTAGAGAAGTACTTATCCCTAAATGCATTTATTAGGAGAAACAGAAAACAAAAACTCCAGAAGATAAAGAAATCTCTCTTTTCTAGAAGGAGCCAGAGCCCAGCATTGAAGAGAGGAGCAAGATGGTTATTAAGTAAAATGTCAAAGCATATCTCATATCTCACTGGCTTTTTCTCCATGGGAGAACTCTCATCCAGTGTCCTCAGACTGTCCTCTGATGCCCAATAGGACCTCCTGCTTCCCTGTTCCCTCTACAAGCACTTCTTGCTCCTCCTCTTCCTCCTCTGAACACGGCTTTTCAATCTTAGCTAGGCACTGAGAGATAGGTCTTTTTTTTTTTAACTGTAGTACAATATACATAACACAAAATTTACCATTGTAACCATTTTTTAGTGTGCAGTTTAGTGGTATTAAGTACATTCACCTTGTGCAAGAATCACCACCATCCATCTACAGAGCTCTTTTCATCTTGCAAAACTGAAACTCTGTACCCATTAAACTCCACATTCCTTCCTCCCCCAGTCCTGGCAACCACCATTCCATTTTCTGTCTCTATGAACTTGACCATGTCAGTTAGGTCCATCATATAAATGAAATCATACAGCATTTGTCATTCTGTGCTTGGCTTATTTCACTTAGCGTACATCCTAGCAGAAGTCATAATTAGCAGAATTTCTTTCTTTTTAAAGGTGAAATGAGAGACTTTTCTGATCTCCCTCACAGGACATGTGACAGGGATGTGACTCACCTGTTCAAGTTGCCACTGCTGCTCAAACCCCTGAGGGGAGGGGAAGCATGCAGACAGACAGGTACAGGAGTGCAAGTGGGCATGGGATACAGCGTGCCCTTTTAGCCTTGCCGTCCACAGACAGCTTGAGTGTTAACCAGCTCAGTGGATCCTCTGCCTTTCTGCAAGGGCAGAGGGCCAGTATGACAGCTTTCTGTATCCTGAGCTCTTGTCCTGCATCCTGGAAGAACTGAGTCACATACGGACTCAAAGCATGAATGCGGGAGTTTTATTGAGTGGTAGAGATGGCTCTCAGTGGGATGGATGGGGAGCCAGAAGAGGAGATGAAGTAGAAAGGTGATCTTTCTCTGGAGGCTGGCAGTCCAGCGGCCGAACTCCTCTCCAAGTGCCACCAGCTGAACTCCTCTCAGTGTTCAGACGTTCCCAGAGTTACTCCTTTTCTCTCTTTCTCTGCCACATCATTCTCCCATCTGCCTGCTCGTCTCCTCATCTCATCTGCTCATCTGCTTCTGGAGACTGGGGCTCGAGATTTATATGGGTAAAGGATGGGGGGATGTGGTGGGCCCAAAGCCAACTTTTTGGGCGTGAAAACAGGAATGCCTGTCCCAGTTTAGGGTGGTGGGTCTCCAGGCTTGAGGGTAGGGCCTTTCTCAGGGAACTGCCCTCTTCTATCCATATCTCCTGTTCGTATCAAAGGCTGAATAATACGTCATTGTATGCATACTTTAAGAGCATTCTTTTATCTGAATTTTAAAACAGAACCCTGACTCACTGCACTCGAAGAATTTCAGGTATCATGGAGGAGAAACTCAGGGGCAGGAACATATCCTGCCTGAGAAACATGTTTGGGATTCTCTAAGAGCTTGAAGCAGCTTCCAGGCCAACCCCGTTTCCAATCTTTAACCTCACCCTGGAATGCTGTTCCAGTCTCGGCTTTTGGAATCTCCATTGTTCTTCCTCACGTTCAGGGTTCTTCAGATTTTTTGTTCTTCTAAGGGGACTGTACCTCCCTGGATGACCTTGCTCCCCAGGGAAGAGCCTTGGGTGAGGACCACCTCCTCCGGAGCCCTGGGCTCCTCCTCCCAGGTGGTAGGTCAAGATCAGAGGGCTGGGCTGTCTGCACAGCACCCCCATGGCATACACACCACGCCCCATGCAGGGGAACGCAGCCTCAGGACTTTGCTACTCTCAGCTCAAGACATTTGAAGAGAGAACATCCTGGAATAATCAGCCCCATTGTTCATGGAACACTTTGAAGATGAAGACAAGACACAATGTGTATATTAGATGTGCCAAGTTAAACCAATTAGTAAAGTAGTTTTCATGCAAAAGACCTCTGCAACAGGGAACAAATTATTTCTGCTTATCTCATACCTTTCTCCGTTTCTAAATTGCCCTAAACAGGCTCACTTTGAACGTTTTCCATGGAGTGTCATAATCGACGTCTAAGCCTTCTGCTGTTGTTTTTGTTGAAGGTGTTTTCTGATCCAAATAAAGTGTCACAATGAACAGCAGCAGAAAAAAAAAAACCAACACTATAGCTTTGTTTTGTGTGTTTTTTAGAGCCAATCAAGTGTGAAGTGTTGCCTCTAATGGCTTTGGGAGGGGAAATTTGGAAGGAAATGAAGATATCATGAATTAGATCCTACTAATTTGATGTGCCTTATTTTCCAAACCTTTCAAGTTCCTAGTTTAAGAATACAGCCCTGCACTTAATCCTTCAGCACAGGCAAATGCATCTTATTCCCTCATTGATCCAGTGCATATGGGGTGAGTAATAGAAATTCTGTTTGTTATTTGGCCACAGATCTGCCCACTTATTCCCACTAACCAGGTTTTTCACTACAAATAGAGCCCTGGAAACACTCACCAAGTGTGCAGGATGAGACTATAGCAGATCTCTGGCTCTCACAAAGCATCTTTTGTTGATTAATTCTTTGGTTATTTCAGGGGTAATATGGGAGCCCATAAACCACTGAAGTATGAAGTTAGTTATACGTTTTTCCTTTTCTCATTGCTTTCACATAATTCACACTTGGCCAAAAGGCTGTATTTCTTATATGGAACTCAAAAACTACACATAACTGAAAGAAGAGCCTCCCCAAAATTAGAGCTCTATAGTAGAGCACTCAGGGATTTAATATGTGTGGTTTTGGTTATTTGAGAGTAACCTTGAAGAGGCATGCCATATAGCAATTTGTAATCTTTCCCAGCCAAAAATTTGGATCACACAGGCTGAAGATGGACAAGCTGGAAGAATGGTCTTGGTGCAGCCTGGCCCAGGGCCCAGCACCTACCTCTCCTGGGTCATTGTTGGGTTCTGCTGGTCAGCAGCCACTAAGTAACTCCTGAGAAATTAAAAACAAACAAACAAACAAACAAAAATCTTATCTCTCCTTGAACCATAGATGGCAACTTGAATCTCAAGGAAATCACATGCAGCTGCTACTGCTGGTGATCAATATGAAGAAAATGAAAAGAAGAATGCTGTAGGTTGCCTTTAGGAAGACTTCACTGAGGAATATTCCTCAGTGATATTTGTGAATATCAAAATTTCAGTGTAAATCCTTTTTGAGTAGCAAGAGCCTCCTGCGTTTCCTCTTTGTAAAATTTTGTTCATTTACCAGATATTTACGGAGAGCTGAAGTGGAGACCAAGCGCTCGCCACGTTGATCTTCATTTCCTACCTAGGTTTGCTTCCCAGACCCCTGGGAGTTAGGTGGGAGACTGTCATACATTTCAGAGGATGAGGTGTGATCGCAAGTGACATATTTACCTTCTGATTTGAGGCATTTAATGTGGGAGGGCTTCCTCCAAACACTCTTTTTGGTGGTAGCCATGGAGACCACGTGGAGTGAGTGTAACACTTCCCAGCTGGAAGTAGCAGGAATTCTTTTTTTGCTTGTTTGTTTGTTTGTTGTTCGTTTGTTTTGAGACAGAGTCTCGCTCTGTCGCCCAGGCTGGAGTGCAGTGGCGCGATCTCGGCTCACTCCAAGCTCTGCCTCCCGGGTTCACGCCATTCTCCTGCCTCAGCCTCCCCAGTAGCTGGGACTACAGGCGCCCGCCACCACGCCCGGCTAATTTTTTGTATTTTTAGTAGAGACAGGGTTTCACCGTGTTAGCCAGGATGGTCTCGATCTCCTGACCTTGTGATCTGCCCGCCTCGGCCTCCCAAAGTGCTGGGATTACAGGCGTGAGCCAACGTGCCTGGCCGGAAGTAGCAGGAATTCTTAAGAGCTCCCAGACCCACACTGGACTTTGTGTGGCCTAGAAATAAACCATTGTCTATGAATCCCCCAAGATTTCAGGGTTTATGTGTTACTGTGGCATTATCTGTACCTTCTCTTGCTAATTAAAGTGCCAGCTTATACTGTGGACCATAAAGCTATTAAAAATAAATAGCAAAAATTACTTCATGGAACAAAGAAATGTTTGTAAGGAAAACTATATTTATAGATTAAAATCTAAATATATGTGTAAAATATACATATATGCATATATATATTTCATTAATTTGTTGAGAGATGACAGGGTTGCAATAACTGCTGTTCCAGCCATAATCCTTTCCCACTCCAATCTACCCTCTACAGCACTGCCATAGAGGAATCTCTAACAAAAAGAAATGAACTGGACCTTGTTATCCCACTATTAAACTCATCTATGACCCACAGGGTAAAGTACTAATTCCTTAGCGTGAATGAGTTGTATCTACTTATTGACATCCCATCTTACTTCTAGAAAGAATTGAGGCAGCATCTCTGATAAACACTATTTAATTGAAGAACATCAAAGGACAGACATAGAGAAATGGCATTAGTAGCACTGGCTGGGCACTTTCTGGCCTGCAGGGACACATACAGCTGCTGTAAGGGAGGCTTTAGATCACACTGAGGCAGCTAGACATCTGTGCAAAAATGAGTGGTGTAGGCTGTCATTAACACAGGTCATAGAGAGAGGAGGTAGCAGTTCACAGAAGCTGGATGAGTTTGGAGCTAGACATTGGCCCTGAGGCCACCTCTCCCTTTTACAGTTTATTTCTCTGTAAAATGGGAATCATAATGAGACCTCAGTCATAAGTTTTTACCGGGGGGATTACATGAGATAAGGCATGGAAGGCATTTAGAATAGTGTCTGCATTCCACAGCATTCAACACATAGTAGTGATTATTATTTTATTTAGTTTGTTATTTATTGGCTTTTAAAAAGACAGAACTGAAAATACATTGGAAAGGTCAACACAGAACTGGTAAGCAAAACAGGGTTTGAGTTGGGCAGCCAAGGGAGGGCATGCATTGCTCACTGCTGTGCTGGAAACACTATTTGCATAGAGACTCAGAGATGTGATGTGGGTATAGGGGCAGGACCGGGTTAGGAGATTAGGAGATGAGTCTGCCATGAGAGTATCTGGCCACAACAACAGTTCTGTTTTTTTTTTTTTTCTTTTTTTGAGATGGAATTTAACTCTTTCTGCCCAGGCTGGAGTGCAAAGGCGCAATCTCGGCTCACTGCAACCTCCGCCTCCCAGTTTCAAGTGGTTCTCCTGCCTCGGCCTCCTAAGTAGCTGGGA
This sequence comes from Homo sapiens, assembly GCF_000001405.40. NCBI lineage: Eukaryota > Metazoa > Chordata > Mammalia > Primates > Hominidae > Homo > Homo sapiens. The sequence goes on along the minus strand of NC_000017.11, from coordinate 14,590,410 downwards.
TTACAGGAATGTGCTACCACGCCCTGCTAGTTTTAAATTTTTTAGTAGAGATGGGGTTTCATTATGTTGGACAGGCTGGTCTCGAACTCCTGACCTCCGATGATCCTCCCGCCTCGGCTTCACAAAGTGCTGGGATTACAGGCGTGAGCCACAGCGCCCAGCCCATATCAATAGTTTTAAGTGATTAGGAGAAGAGAGCTCACAGGTTAGAGGGAGTCCGATGGGAGCTCACTTTAAAAAACAGTAAAGCCATGAGTAGGTGAGATGTCTGCTGTTACGAATACTATTTTGTTATCTACTTTGCCACGAAACACAAGTATTTGGATTTGTTCTGTACTGATGCGAAGCCATTGTAAGATTTTGGACAGGAGGTAGCATGATGAATTTGCTGCAATGGGCAGGTTCTACAAATGGAGAAGAGGGACCAGGCAAGTAAACTAGCTAAGAAAATTGTCAAAATGCAGTGTAGACATGGTGAAGACTTTGAAAAAGATGGAGTCATGAGGAATGAAGGAAGAGCAGGTGGGAGAACAAATGACAATGAAGAGGGAAGATAAGAAATGAAGAAAACAGAGAACCCAAAGATGTATTCAGGTATCTGGCTTTATGATGATCACAGACTGTCCTAAACAAAAGTAGGAAAGACCTATTTCTCTCCCTGAACACAGAAATGTTCATGCAAAAACCAAGTATATGCACAAATTTATCACACTGGTAAACATCCTCACCTCTCCTCTTTGGATGCTGATCCCTGCCCTAGGCTTCCACTCCAACCCCAACCTCTAAAGAACCCAATGCTTTTGTTTGTGTCCTTGGGGCTCAGCCCTAAGGCACTCTCCTGATTCTCTTCTCTGGGACCGGCATTCCCAGACAATAGGACATGCTAACGAAATAGTCAAAACTGACCCTCCTGGTGAACCTTTCCCTCAGGCCTGGTCTCTGCTAGGTAACAGCAAGCCAATCTAATAAAGATAATTCTGTTAATGCATTAATGATCCTGGCAAGTTCATGCATTTTCTTTCTAATGTAATTTATTTGCATACTAATTGGTTATCTAGAGACAATCACTCATTCCCAAAGACACTGGGGGATTTGACATGCCTCTAATAACCTTCATAACCTTATTATTTTCTCTCTCCAGGACTCAGTTTCTTCATTTGTTAAAACCACATTATGCAGAAGATTCCATTCACAAATTGGACCATTCTGATCTCCACTGTGAGTAGAATAGGTCATTTCTGGTACCTCCTTCCTATAAGGGACTTGAAGGTTATAGAAATATTTCTGTTCCCTCTAGGTCACCTGGACAGCCACATCAAAACCCCAAAGTGTAAGGACCAATGACACAGAGTTGAAGCCTGACATACAAATTAGTAGCAGAAACCATCTGGAATGGCATGAAGTTTGGGGGAGAATAAAACACGCTCATTTCGATTATACAACCCCTGAGGCCAGAGGGATGCTGTCAAATAGAAAGTCATAAAGTATTTGAAGGTTTAATGTTGATACTTTTATGTAATTCTCTGTTTTTAAATATTGTTTAAATTGTAAGTTTACACAATATATTTTGTTTCCAAAACTGATGAGATTAGAACAACAAAAACAAAAAACAGACCAGATTAAACATCTAGATGATGGTGGATAAGTTGTAATACATTCCCACAATAGAATATAACACAGAGAGAAAATGAATGAACAAAACTACAGCAAAAACATAGATGTATATTAGAAGTGTAACGCTGAATGAAAAAAAAAAAAGCAAATCCCAAATTTATGTATGGTATAATTCATTTTTTTTTTTTATTTTTGAGACGGATCTCACTCTGTCACCCAGACTAGAGTGCACTGGTGCAATCTCAGCTCACTGCAAAATATCTGAGGATTTTTCAGCTATTGTTTTGTTTTTGATTTCTAATTTCATTCCATTGTAGTAAAAGAAGATACTATGTATAATCCAATACTATTTGTTTATTTGATTTAATTACTATTTATATTTTAAGACTTGCTTTATGGCCCAGTATATGGTCTATCTTGCTGAATGTTTCATATTCACCAGAAAAGAATGTGTATTCTATTATGGTTGGGTATAGTTCTATAAATGACAATAAGGTTAATTTTAATTATAATATTGTTAACATTTTCTATGTTCTTTCTTATCATGTATCATCTGCTTGTTCTAGCAATTTTTTAAAGAGAATTGTTAAAATATTGAAATGTAATTGTCCATTTGTCTATTTCTCATTTTAATTCTGTCAGATTTTGTTTTTATTATTTTGAAGTTATCTCTGATAATATTCCTTAAGTCTATTTTTTAAGTATACTAACATAGTCACTCATGCTTTCCCATGATTGATGGTTGCATGGTTTATATTTAAGGTGAGTCTCTCTTAAAAAGTTATAATTGGGTCTGTTGCTATGTATTTTTGAGGGAACTTTATCTCACAGGCCCTAAGAACATTGACAAGGATAAATTTTAACTGCAAAAAGCCAACAAAGAATATTGGCCTTCTTTTCCTACATTAGTACCTCTCAATCAAGTGCTGCCAGCAAACTTCATTAGCACAGCGAGGTAATATACTGAGGCTGTATTTGATCCAAAGAATAATCAATTACACATGTCTATGTCTAGCATGGATTGATATGAGATCTATAGGACCCACTGTTTGACTAAAATTACATATCACTAAAATTAAACAAGTATTCAACTCAGGTTAGATGTATCAAATCAAAATATTTAGCCATTGTATAAAAATTGTCAGCAAGCCAACTATATGGTTATTCTATCCAATTTTAGACATCACTTGACTACCATTCTGAATGAAATGGCTGCTTTGAAGGAATTTCAGACTTTTTATCATTTGAATTGCAAATTTATCTCAAGACATTGAGCTACATCCAAGGGTGAACAGACCACTCAATTGTAAATTCTGTTTAACTCTCCCATAGACACCACTGACAGACTCTCATGTAATTATTTCAAAAATATAACTGGGGTGAAGGTCATGTACACTACAGAGAGCAGTAATTTACTCTTCCCCAGTGGCCAGATTAGATTATTGTAGCTCTCATCCCCCAGATCTTCCTGCAAACCCTCAAAAGAGTGTGTTCAAATGGTGTTCCCACGAGCTATGACCGAGTTCAAATGTCGTTTTACTTTGTACAAGAAATTGGTCTTCCAGGGACCTACCAGAAAAAGTGGTGAGACATACTTAGTAAACAAGACCGTTACAGTGAACAAACTTCAATGTCTAAACCTAGGAGAACTTAGTGATCAATCTTGGCTCAACTGGATGGAAAATTGAACTGCCAAAATCGTTAGAAATAAAGCTTGTAGGAAATAAAATATTATTGAAAATGACTCTGAGTCTCTGATATTTTTTTAAAGGGAGAATAAATCATAAACATTCTACATACAGGTTTCAGGTTATATTAGAAGGGTATGAAGAAACAGACTCTTCTGAGCAGTACTAGTTGATGTCAATGAATATTCACAGTCTCCATCTAAGGTCTGTGGACTCCTGTGGAATTCTAGTGAGACAATCAAGTGCAGTCTTTGATTTCTTATTCTGATGCTTCCTAAAACAGTCAGAAATCTCTTGGTTGGTGGCTGCCCAGGACACCAAATCTATCTCAAATTTCGTCCAAAATATTTTGGCCCAGAACTCCTAAGGTGGATATAGGAGAAGAACATTACTTGTCATAATTTTTTAAAACAAATCAACCTGAAATAAGAGAAAAGTTTTCTCTCTCTGTCTCTCTCTCTCTCTATATATATATACACACACACACATATATATAATATATAAAATATAGTAGTAACTTTATATATTTTATATACGTACTACTATTATATTATATATGTATTATATATAACATATATATTTATTAGGGGTTGAATGGGAGTCCAGTGGTCCTTGACTCCCAAAATTGAAAACTCAGTCTCAAACAGGTTTAGCTAAGCCATCTTAACTCAGTCCACTTTTTCCAATAAATATAAGCAATTTAGAGCAAGCTCTAATGCATGCCAGTCTAAGGCTCTATTTACAGTATTACAATAGCCCACCAAAAAAGAATACATTTAGTCAATCAACAAGGGGTTTAGATGCTATAACTCCAGCAAATAACAACTTAAGACTCTGTTTTTCTTTTTAACTGAATTGATCTGTTGAACAGCCTGAAGAAGGCGGATTATATTGAGAAAAGGGCACAAAGTTGGAAATCAAGATTGGAAGCAAGTTCCACTTTTAATTCCCTGCAATCCATTCTCCACGTAGCAGTGAGGATGTTTGCTTTAAAATACAAACCAGAGGATATCACCCATCTGCTTAGACCCCTCAAGGGATTTCCCTTTGCTCTTAAAATCTAAACTCTTCCTCCTGATTTCTTTCTGTTATTTGAACATGCAGTCTTTGCAGCAGCTGGTTCCACTTTCCCTGGAATGTCTTTCTTGGGCTGGCTATTTGAATAACTAGTTCCATCTTATCACTCAAGTCTCAACTCAATTGTCACCTTCTCAAAGAGAAAGTCTTTAACACACCTTGACATTCTGCTACCATCACATCATTTTAATTTAATTCCATCTCTATCTGACATTATAATTTATTTGTTATTTTATTTCTATATTATCTGTCTCCCAAACTAGAATGCAAGCCCCATGAAGGCAGGAAACTTGCCGTCCTGTTCCCCAAACCTAGCACAATATCTATCACACAGTAGGTGCTCAATTAACACATGTTCATGGAATGAATAAAATATTTTTATTCTATTCCCAGCCTTTGTCACAAACCATACGACTATAATCATGTCTGTTTTCTTACCTGGAAATGAGGGGAAATATAACCTTTTCTGGAACTGTAATAACTTATCATTCCCTCTTCTTTATCACCTCCCACCTCCTACAGAAAAAATGAATCAGGAAATGAGGAGAAGTTGCTTGTGAGAATAACATTTTAAGAGTACTGCATGATAGATTGAATCACAAATATAAAATCTACTGGGGCAGAAAAAAATAGCTTCCAGCTATTTATAATTTATTTGAATATATTTACATATCTAAACAAGTTCCAATCAGCAGTAGGGTTGGTTGGTTTTGAAAACATAGCAAAAGGAGGGAGCTGGAGACATATGTTGGCATTTCCCATGCCAGCACACAGAAATCAGATTGATGCCTGGAACCAACTGATTCATCGACTTCCCAGTTTTGGGTCCACTTTGGAGCCTTCTGATTATAACTTGATCTAATTGTATTTGGTTTTGCCTATTGGGAGAGAATGTGCCGATCACACATACTCTGCGTTTTCCAGTCGTTGTGACAATCGTTTGTCATTGTAAATTCCTAGATTTGCATTCTGGTGTTTTTCTTGGTCTTGTGTGCTTTTAAGTTCCAGTGAGTCAGCTCCTCAATCCCCTGTTACCTCTGATCAGTGAGAGGAGTACTGGGGCTCAAAAAACTACACCCCAAAGTATGGTGCTTGGGCATGCTGAGTACACTGAGTACTTTGAACTAAGAGGGATTGGAAAGTCTCAGAAGCGGCCTCGTATATAAACTCCCTCTCTGACCTTCTTCTGCCTTCCTGCCTCCCACTCCTTTCTTCCCCGAAGTGAGTCACAGAAACCAGAATTCTTCCTCAAGGCAGGTTATGGAAACTAGAACTCTTCTCTCCAAAAGTAAGCCATAAACCCTATAAACGCCACCTTCTCTCGCTTCTTCCTTCCCCCTTGAAGACCCTCTTTCTAAAGGGTCCTGTCCCATACCCAGGAGGAAGGAACACTACACAGGGAGGCCAGGAAGAATCTGAGCAGACAGACCATGCTGGGCTCCTGCTTAGTCTATTACCATTAGATCACAACCTTTGTCCAATTGCATTTCCACAAGGCTGTCTATTCTGCATCAAGTCTAAGCATAAAAATAGACAGTTGGCTGGGTGCGGTGGCTCACGCCTGTAATCCAAGCACTTTGGGAGGCCGAGGCAGGAGGATCACAAGGTCAGGAGTTCGAGACCAGCCTGGCCAATATGGTGAAACCCCATCTCTACTAAAAATACAAAAATTAGCTAAGCATGGTGGTGCACGCCTGTAATCCCAGCTACTCAGGAGGCTGAGGCAGAAGAATCACTTGAATCTGAGAGGCGGAAGTTGCAGTGAGCCGAGATTGAGCCATTGCACTCCAGCCTGGGCCAAAGAGCGAGACTCCATCTCAAAAAAAAAAAAAAAGGTTTTCCCTGGGTCTTCATTTCCAAAGGCTCCCATGTCACATAAAACTTTGATTAAATAAATTTGTTATGCATTTCTCCTGTTCACCTCTTTTGTTACAGGAGTGTTGGCCTTGACCCTTATGATGGGTGAGGAAAGGTATCACAACTTTTCCACCCATAAGGAGCCAGCTTTTGGCCCTTGGAGTGGAGTACAGGATCCTGGGCCTTGGTTACTGAGTTTAGGGATAGCTTGGCCTCTCTGGGGCAGGGCCAACAACTCAGTTCCAGAAAATCCATTAAGCAGCCCAAGCATGTGCTTAGAGCACGGCAAAGAGAAAGGGAACACACACGTGCACGCACACATGCCAATTGAAGTAATTTAGTATTTCAAAATATGCTCAAAATATGGAAAAAATCATAACACTGTTGGAATTTCTTCCAATTATTTTACAGTTTACAGCGGTTTGAATTTTGAATGGGTGAGGGTGTGGAAGAGTAGAGGAGGAATGGCTTCTTCATAATTTTAGGGCTTAGACACACTAAAGATCCTAATTCAGCCCCAGGAAAATATTTTCTTGTGACCCTCAGTGAGCTCAGCAGCCTTTCTGGGACAGGGGAGGACAGTGACTCCAATCTACGTATCCTCAGAGAGCTGGAACGGGAATCTATTGAGGAAGGTCGGGAATCCTTCACACCCTACATCTGACATCCTCCTGGAATCTCTTTCATCTCCCCTCTTACCCGCACTCAACAGAGGACTGCTCTTAGAAGAATCCTAAGGTAGCAACCAGGTCTAGCATTCAGTGATTCAGGAGAATAAGAAGGAAATGAATTAAATATTACGCTCTCCAAGGGTACTCTCAAGCTTATATGTAAGTGTCAGAAAAGAAGGAAAAATCTACTTTTTCTCCACTCCTCTCTAGCCCTAGACTACATTCCACTTTGCTTGGGGACAGAAAAAACTCAGGGTTGAAAGTACAGTTATGCATCACTTAACAACAGGAATTTGTTCAGAAAAATGCTTACACAAACCCAGATGGTACAGCCTGGGCTATGTGGTCTAGCCTGTTACTCCTAGGCTACAAACCTACTGTAATAGCCTACAGTAACTAATTCAGTTACTGTACTGAATACTGTAGGCAGTATAACACAGTGATAGGCATTCGTGTATCTAAACATAGAAAAGATACAGCAAAAATAGGATATAAAGGATAAAAAATGGTATACTTGTATAGGATCCTTGCCATGAATGGAGCTTGCAGGACTGGACATAGTTCTGGGTGAGTTAGTGAGTGAGTGGTGAGAGAATGTGAAGGCCTAGGACATTACTGTACATGACTGCACTGCAGACTCTTTTTTTTTTTTTTTAATTTTGAGACGGAGTCTCGCTCTGTCGCCAGGCTAGAGTGCAATGGCACGATCTCGGCTCGCTGCGACCTGCCTCCCAGGTTCAAGTGATTCTTCTGCCTCAGCCTCTCAAGTAGCTGGGACTATAGCTGCGTGCCACCACGCCCAACTAATTTTTGTATTTTTAGAGTAGAGATGGGGTTTCGCCATGTTGGCCAGGATGGTCTCGATCTGTTGACCTCGTGATCCACCTGCCTCGGCCTCCTAAAGTGCAGGATTACAGGCATGAGCCACCGCGCCGGGCTGACTACAGACTTTATAAGCACTATACACTTATACTACGCTAGATTTATTTAAAATTTTTTCTTTCTTTAATAGTAAATTAACTTTAGCTTACTGTAACTTTTTAATGTTAATGCCATTTTGACTCTTTTGTACTTTACCTTAAAATACAAACACATTGTATGGGTGTGCAAAAATATTTTCTTTCTTTACATCCTTATTCTAGAAGCTTCCTTCTATTATTTTATTTTTTTACTTTTCAAACTTTTTAAAAGATAAAACGCAAACACATACATTAGCCCAGACCTACACGGGATCGGAATCATCGTTATCACTGTTTTCCACCTTTGCGTCTTGTCCCACTGGAAGGTCTTCAGGGGCAGTAATGTGCATGGAGCTGTTATCTCCTATGATAAAAATGTCTTCTTCTGGACACCTACTGAAGGGCCTGCCTGAGGTCCTTCCAAACTTCCAAGTAAGAGAGGGAGAATGCCTTGAGAGAGACCCTGGAAGATCAACTACCTTAATAAACTGTGTGTGTGTGTGTGTGTGTGTGTGTGTGTTACAGTTGACTTTTTGCATGTTCTATACTTTTTGTTTTTTGAGACAGAGTTTCGCTGTTGTTGCTCAGGCTGGAGTGCAATGGCACGATCTCGGCTCACCGTAACCTCTGCCTCCTGGATTCAAGCGATTCTCCTGCTTCAGCATCCCAAGTAGCTGGGATTACAGGCGCACGCCACCACTTCCAGCTAACTTTGTATTTTTAGTAGAGACGGAGTTTCGCTGATGGAGTTTCACTGTGTTAGTCAGGCTGGTCTCAAACTCCTGACCTCAGGTGATCCGCCTGCCTCAGACTCCCAAAGTGCTGGGATTACAGGCATGAGCCACCACACCCGGCAGCATGTACTATACTTTTATATATGACTGGCAGCACAGTAGGTTTGTTGATACCAGCATCACCACAAAGACATGAGTAATGCATTGTGCTCTGAAATCTTTGGGCAATAGGAAATTTTCCAGCTCCGTTATAATCTTAGAGGTCTACCGTTGTACATGCAGTCTGTCAGTGACTGAAACGTCGTTATGGGGCACATGACTGTATAAATACTCTGTAATTTTTTAGGACCTGCTGCAGCTACTCAGTTGGGTGCCTGATTTCAGTTTTCTAAGCTGCTTTTAGAGCAACCTAAGTGCCTGCATTATTTACAGGCTCTGCAGGGAACCTACTGAAGGCAGAGCTATTAGTGATTGATCCAATTAGAGCATACACATAATCAATGAAGAAGTGCTTGGTGGGCCCCAAGTATGCAGAGTGCTGGTGATAATGATGTGAGTAGAAAAGCGTAGGGGGTCGAGGGGATGGAAAAGAGAAAACAAAATCCTAGATTAAGGCATAGGAGAGCCATTCCTCTTTCTGCAACATCTCAGATGGGGTTGTGTGTCCTTCAGGGGCTTAGGACAGTACTAGCACACATCAGGTACTCAATAAATGTTTATTAATTGAATGAACAGGACAAACGGAATTAAACCAAGAGATAAACCCATTGTTATTTGTTTTAAAAACACCAATGGTCTGTTGAAGAAAAGAAAAAATTTCATATCTGGATCTTTTTGCTGAGATTTTTGGAGGATTCCTCCTAAATAATTGACAAACATGTAAGTCACAAAGAAATATAACCTGTATCTTTTGTTTTCTACCAGGATTGTGAGATCCTTGCCTTCAGAGCGGCAAGCCAGTGAGGAGTAAGCCATACCCTTCCTTGAGTATGGAAGGAAATCCTGATGCTGCTTGCAGGATCCCCTCTTGGTCCCAATCTCTTAAGAACACAGATACGACACACCGAGTCTATTGGCACTCAGCCTTCCACACCAGGGAACCAAGTCATCTGGGCAAACTTCCACACTTGTGAGTAAGAGAGGGAGAACAGCTTGGGAGAAATCCTGGAAGATCGACTGCCTTAATAAACTGTGTGTGTGTGTGTGTGTGTGTGTGTTATTATAACTTTTCAGAAGTGCATTTTCCTTCTATCGTCAAATGCTTGTATCCATGAGAAAGATAAGCTGTCTATGTGACCATACCACAATAATCACTTTATGTGATGGTCAAAAGAACTTTTTTGCCGGATAGTGACACCTGTAGGATTAATTATTCCATGCTTGTACTCATTACAAGCCTCTGTGGTATTCCTCATCCCACAAGATTGCAATTATGTGTTTTTATTTGTCTTTCCTTAGTGAGTGTTTTGGAAGAAAATACCATGTCTTATTCATCTTTGTGTCACCAGAGCCAGCTAGAGCTCTGGACACGTACAGGCGGGTCAGCAAGTGTTTATAAAGCTGAGTGCCAGAAAACATGGAAGAAAAATGAGGGAAAACATGGAGGAAAATGAATGAATGAGTATTTAGAAGAGAGTGTGAACGAAGGAATGAGCAACGGAATGAACCAACCTGTTGAAGCAGCTAACTTTGGCAGGTGATCCTTTTCAATCTGGAAAACATCCTCTTCATTCAAACCCCCAGGGAGAATGGGAAAGGCGTTGAGAGAGAAGATGTATTTATTTCATTTTCACCTTTCAGACTCAACTGTCCTGCAAAGTAACCCACCCCATCTGGAACGAAAGCCTATATTGTGAGCTTAACCTTTCACTTCTGTTCTCAGGGCTTCTAGCCACAATCACTCTCTACCAAGGAAGGGCTATACGAATGCAGCCAGCAAGGCTGTTACAGCAAGATGTTGAGCTTTATTGTGCAAATACAAGCCAGCACTCAAGAAGTTAAAAAAAAGGATTTTTTAGTTCTTAGGCTCTGTCTGGGCAGCAAAAAACAAAGTATCAATTTGGCAGCTGGCCACTTGATGAGAGCATAAGTTTGAGGGCCAAACTGGCATTTCAGAGTAGCATTAAAAATCTAATATATTTACATATATCTACATATCTCTGATTGATGCCCCATTGCATTTCATTTTGAACTGTGAGTCCCAGGTTCAGCCTTTACCAAAGCCCACCAGTGCTCCCTGCCACATTTTTTTTTTTGTTTTATGTTTTATTTTTTTGAGATGGAGTCTTGCTCTGTTGCCCAGGTTGGAGTGCAGTGGCACCATCTTGGCTCACTGCAACCTCTGCCTCCTGAGTTTAAGAGATTCTCCTGCCTCAGCCTCCCCAGTAGCCAGATTATAGGCATGTGGCTAATCACCAGGCCTGGCTAATTTTTGTATTTTTTTTAGTAGAGACAGAGTTTCGCCATGTTGGCCAGGCTGGTCTCGAACTCCTGACCTCAAGTGATCTGCCCACCTCGGTCTCCGAAAGTGTTGGGATTACAGGTGTGAGCCACCACACCCGCCCCCCCGCCACATTTTCACAGATGATGAAATGGCTGCACTGTCAACATGAAGCACCAACTCCAAGAACCATATACCTGCTTGGCGGTGTCCATTCTGGAAGGGCCTTGTGAAGAATGACATATGAAACCTGTGGGGTATGGCAAGAGAACAGACTTGTTCTGCAGGCTCACAGAGAAGCAAAACCTGAGCATTGTGGAGCACTTGTTTGTACCAACCATTTGCTTTCTGGAATTCTTTACCCCTTTTAGGTACTCAGTTAAGATCCTTCAACTTGCTCTTCTTGTTGTTGTTTTCTTCTACTTTGCAATGAGGATATTATTAATGTTCATGTATGTGGAGAGAACTTTTGTTTTAAAGATCAGGTCAAAAAATTAGCAAAACTTGGCTGGGTGCGGCCAGTGCCTGTAATCCCAGCACTTTGGGAGGCTGAGGTAGGCAGATCACCTGACATCAGGAGTTCGAGACCAGCCTAATCAACATGGAGAAACACCATCTCTACTAAAAATACAAAATTAGCCGGGCATGGTGGCACATGCCTGTTATCCCAGCTACTCGGGAGGCTGAGGCAGGAGAATCCCTTGAACCTGGGAGCTGGAGGTTGCAGTGAGCCGAGATTGTGCCATTGCACTCCAGCCTGGGCAACAAGAGCAAAACTTCGTCTCAAAAAAAAAAAAAAAAAAAAAATCAGCAAAACTCAGCCCAACCAAGTCCAGCCGATGACAACCATTTCTCCAACATTAGGAGGTACGTTTTTGGAAGAATATTAAAGGTTGACTTGGGAGGAAGTCAGGATAATGCCTTGTGCTAACCATTTTACATCCCCAGAGATATAGGTGTTGTTTTTTGTCAGCAAATCTCTTTCAGGTCTATTATTCCATTTAATCTTACAATATACTCATGACTTACAGTTGTTCTTGAGCACAATAGAGACTAGAAAATTGGCTATAAAAATGTGTTAATAATCGTTTACAAAGCAGGAATCATGAAGTTAGAGGAATATTAAAACTCAACAGGCCTTTGAGAGCCAGTCATCATCTCTCACTCTCAGACATGGTATCCAAGTCCCGGGAAGGTTAAGCGACTCACCCAAACTCACATAGCCAGCAAAAATCAAAGCCTAATCTAATTTTAGATGGCCAATCTTTGTCCCTAAAGATAAAATTACTGCTGGACAAAGATGGAAAATGACAAGCCATTTGCGAGGAAAAAAAAAGCTAGGACAAAAGTTTGTCTTAGGGCAATTCCAGCTATATTCAGTTGGCTGGGGTACAGCTTTCTATGCCTGACACCACATGGATGGGATCTACTGTGCAGGCCGCCATCTTGCTTTTCACAAGTCTTTCCGGGTTTCTCAACTTGCATCTATTCAATGCTCAAAAAAGGGTCTATTTTCTTTGTTTCACACTAGATTTTTTTTTTAAGCTAGATGTTTTTAGCTCTATTTTTAATAGCTTTATTGGAAGTATATTTTACATATGATAATGTTTAATTCAATAATTTTTGGTAACCTTATTAAGAAGTACATCATGACCACAAATCAGATTTAGAACATTTGCATTTCCCCCAACAAACTCCCCCAGGCCCCTTTACATGTAATCCCCATTCCAACCCCCCAGGAAGGATTGGATCTTTCTAATACAGCTATGAAAAGAAAGTAAAACAGAAGCAGTCGATGTTTTACATTGAAGTAGATTTGACCTGCTATAGTCTCTCCCTCCAGAGAATATCTTACATCCGCGAAGGCAATTTTATCACCATATTGGTTTATCTCTTAGGGTAGGTCATGATTGTCTGTGCTGGGACAATAACTCCCACTTAAGCTCTGAGATGTGGGTGAGACCCTCCACTGCCCCATGAGGCTGGGTGGGCAAGACTGCTAATTCTTCAGGCTGTTGCCCTTCCCTCACCCCCTCTAGGTCATCTCTGTTTATTCGGCTAAAGGGTTAAGGTCTAGACACAAGGAAGATTGCTCCATACCCCTTTCTCAGCTCACTTAAAAAGCTGTTTCTGGCTGGGTTCGGTGGCTCACGCCTGTAATCCCAGCACTTTAGGAGGCTGAGGTAGGCGGATCACGAGGTCAGGAGATCGAGACCATCCTGGCTAACACAGTGAAACCCCATCTCTACTAAAAATACAAAAAACTAGCGGGTGTGGTGGCGGGTGCCTGTAGTCCCAGCTACCAGGGAGGCTGAGGCAGGAAAATGGTGTGAACCTGGGAGGCGGAGCTTGCAGTGAGCCGAGATTGTGCCACTGCACTCCAGCCTGGGCAACAGAGCGAGACTCTGCCTCAAAAAAAAAAAAAAAAAAAATAAAATGGTGTTTCCTTCCCACCTGACTGGCTCAGTGCTTATACATTCCCCATTTTCCTGGCAAGTGAGAACTGAGTGTGTGGGAATTGAGCTTGCTGCCAGCTCTTGTCCCGATGACAGGCTATTTCTGTGGGTCACTTTCACTTGCTCTGTCCCATGCTTCTTCCCCACAGTATTTTCATAATGACAGAGTCCACAAGTCCACCCATAAAGAAATGGCCAAACACATCACTCAGTATACATTTCTATATAACCATTTAAAATATGCTATAGAAGAATATCTAATGATAAAGAAAAATCTTTTTGATATGGTATTAGGGAAAGAGGATACAAAATTAAATATACAGCTTGAAATCCATCTGCAACCATTGTATTTTTCTGCGTGAGTCTGCAAGTGTGTGTAGCAAACATATCTAAACACAAAACACCAAAGTAGTTACAGAACAGTGGTTATCTCTGCATGGCAGGATTATAGGTAATTGATATTGATATATTTATGTTTTCCTGAATTTTTCAAATGTTCACAAAGAATGAATGTTACTGGCATAATGAGAAAAAGAATTATAAATGTTACAATAAAAAGAATGAAAGATCATCTCCCTGGGCTAAAACAACGTCTTCCTCTTGTTTGCTATAGTCCAGGTGCATTGTCAGCACTGAGTTCTTATTATTATTAACATCACGGTTATTACTGTGCTAATCACAGTGTACATAACTCCTTCCTCTGTACTAATCATCCACCACACCTGGGAGACTGATCTTGGTTGGGGAGACAAGGAATCCTGAGTAGACAGACAGCTTGGACGAAGTTCAGAGATGAGTTAGCCAAATGATCAAGGGAGCGGGGAGGATTGTTGCTGGCGAAGAGATGAAAGGATCCATTTTTATAGCCCTGCTGAGCAGAGACTAGGGGGTGGAGGGAGACTTGAAAATGGACCCAAAACATATGAAAATCATGAGCAATAAAGTGTGAGGAGGGAGCCGAACAGAGCCTGGTCCACATCGGTAATCGGATGCTCCACTGAACAGAAACATGGAGCATGAACAGCAAGGAACATCAAGGAATCTCCCGTTGGCACAGCCCGTTCAGGTTCAGAGCCAATCCCCATGTGAAGGGAAAGCCCCACCATTCGGTAAGTAGAACATGATGTTGCATTGTACTGAAAAGCCCTCTGGCTTCACATAGCAATGTGAGCCTTCAATTTCACATTCCTTAAAGTGAGGAGAGGCTCTTCTGGTTAGAAGCCCAGATGCAAAATGCATCCATCAATTCCAGACTAGGCACTTCGCTGCAGCAAAGCTCCCAGGGTCTTTCGCAGCTTCAGAGAGCTGCCTAGCTCTGCTGCTTTGACCAAGGGACCTCTGTTATTTATTTATCTTTCTCACACCTACTCATTCAGAAGGATTTCCTCAGAGGCTTCTGTTGCCCGGTTTTGTGCTAACTTTAGCTGACAAGTGTGGCTAAGCAAAAGATTTGATCTTTGCCCTTAATGAGAGTACGCAATAATGATGAGGTCAAAAAGATGACCTTTCTTAGGTGTTGCCGGCGATGCTCTGGCACCTCCTGAAAAACTCAGGGGCCCAGAGTCTGAGGAGTATGAAGAAACAGGGCAGCCCCAGGGAAGACGAGGGGGGCCCATGAAACAAAGCAAGTCGGCATGACCAAGTTGAAACGTCGCTTCATTTTCCAAGCTTGCAGCAAATATCCGTTACTATCGCCAAAGGAGGAGAAGCTAAATGCAAGTTTGGGAGGTTATAAGGAAGGTAATTTTCTTATCTGATTCTTCTCTCAAGAAGATAATTCTGGTAATATGGAGCTTGAATGCAAAGGTAAGAGACAGGAATCAAGGGACATCTATCGGTATCCTATTACAAGGGTGGGTGAAGACAGTGACAATGTGAATAAAGCAGTGGCAATGAATTTGGGGAAATCAATGGGTGAAATGCCACTCTAGCATGGACCCCAGAAAGTTGGCGATGGCCTCGCTGCTGTGCCTAGCTGTCTAGAATTACTGACTGATTAGTAGTGGTTCTAATTAGCGCCTGGGAAGTCAGAAAGGAAAAGCTAGGGCTTCAGGGAAGGTGAAAGTTTTATTTCATATATGTTGGTTTTAGAGTCTGAGCAAACCATCCATTTACTCTTGGAGGCCATTAGAAATGTAGTTCTGGAGCTCAAGGGAAGGGTTGGGTCAAGAAATGTGGATTTATGAGTCAATCCACACACCAGTGCAAATTAATGAAATCATTCAGGGAGATAATATATTGGGAATAAAGGAGTGCTGGCTGGGCACAGTGGCTCATGATGGTAACCCAGCACTTTGGGAGGCTAAGCTGGGAGGATTGCTTGAGCCCGGGAGTTCAAGACCAGCCTGGGTAACATGGTGAGACCTAATCTCTACCAAAAAAAAAAAAAAACAAAAAAAAAAACAAAAAAAAAAAAACAGGGGGTAGTACTGAGAAGAAAACCTAGAAGAGAATCTAGTTTTAATGGATTATATTTGGCATATGTAGTGTATTCAGAGGAAGAACTGACAATAAAAAATCCCAGAAGTGCTGAAGAGGTGGCCTACAAAGAATAGCCATAGAATGAACTCATTTCATTCAATATGCACACAAAGAGCTTTCTCTGTGTTTCTGGAGATTTAAAAAAAAAAGAATAATAAATGGGTACTGACATCAAGATGCTCATGGTCTAGTAAAAGAGAAAATAATCGCAATTATAAACATAAGAAGTGCTAAGAGAGGTAAGAATTTCTTAGAACAAAGGGGGCAGTGATAATTCAACTTGGGAGGGGCAGAAAGGGATTTTGAAGGATAAATAAGTGTTAACCAGGTAAATGAAGAGGGGAAATTATTATTATCATTATTATTTTTTTGAGACAGAGTCTCGCTCTGTCGCCCAGGCTGGAGTGCAGTGGCGCAATCTTGGCTCACTGCAAGCTCTGCCTCCCAGGTTCACGCCATTCTCCTGCCTCAGCCTCCCGAGTAACTGGGACTACAGGTGCCCGCCACCACCCCGGCTAATTTTTTGTATCTTTTTTAGTAGAGACGGGGTTTCACCGTATTAGCCAGGAAGGGCTCCATCTCCTAACCTCGTGATCCACCCGCCTGAGCCTCCTAAAGTGCTGGGATTACAGGCCTGAGCCACCGCGCCTGGCCGAAGAGGGGAAATTATTCTAGACCACAGGAACAGCACATGAGAAGGCAAATCTCCTGTGTCAAAGGCACGAACAAGGTCTTGATGGATGGGTACGAAGATAAAAGTATTCGATCGGGTGAACAAAATTTCATATTGATTTGGTTGACCTCAATGGTTGTGTCAATTTTTATTATTTCCAAGTGCTGTTCTCACACACAGTGTCAAATTGAAGCAAATTACTTTCTAGATTAAGTCCCTCTAGAAAAGGGGTCTTCAAATTTGGCTGCATATTAGAATCACCTGGAGAGGTTTTGAAGCACTTAAATAGGATCTGGGGGAAGGGAGGTGTGGAACTTAGGCTTCTTCTATGTCTTGTGAATGCCCACTAGATGATTCTATTGCATGGAGAGCACTAGATCTCAAACTTTACTGGGTGTTAAAATCACCTGGAAGGCTAGTTAAAATATGGACGCTGGGTCCCCGATCCCAGAGTGTCTGATTCAGTAAATCTGGGAGTAAGTCTTAGAATTTACATTTCCAACAAATTCCCAGGGGACGTTGAATTTTAAAAAGTAAGGTAACTAACAAAGTAAAAGGTGCGTAAAGTAATCATGCCTCAAAAGAGCACCCTGGAATAGCAGCCACAGGTAAATCAAAAGTAACTGCATTTTTTTTCTCCTAACCCTCTGAATCATATTCCTTTTATCCTATATCATTACTATGGCCAAAGTAATGCTATATAACAAATTACCCCAGAATTCAGTGACTTGAAGCAACAATAATTTATTCTCAAAGATCTGTGAGTTGGTGGGGATCAGCTGAATTCAGTGGGTCTTAACACGGTTTCACGTAACTCTAAACATTTTCCTTGGACCATTCAGCCCAAGCATATTCTTATGTTAATGACATAAACACAAATATTGAACAAAACGTATGTGGAGTCTCTTGATGCATACACTCAGAAGTGGCACAGTATGGGTATGGGTCCTTCTTTTGGCCAAATCAAGTCACATTTTCTAGTGTCGTGGCAACTGCAAAGCCACAGGGCAAAACATGTGCAAAGCAGGAGTAGCAAAAAATTGGGGCCATAATGCTATCCACTCTGTTCCTCTCCTTCACCATGAAATGTTTTACATTTTAACTTCAATTCAAAGTTCAGTGTCCTGCCTCTCAACCAGCCTCTAATAAGAGCCTGTTTGATCTTGGATTATGTAAAGAATCCTAATCACCTGAATATCCTATCTTGGAAATCAGTTCAAAAGATTTATTTTCTTTTCCTCCCTCGACAAGTAGTTAAAGCAATTTTCTATGTGTCTTATAGACAAACCCACAAGTATACATACAACATTTATAACAATGACTGTATACTTAAAAAACCCTAGAGAAAAGGTGCTGTATAAAATTAAATGATCCTTTTATTTTCCACCATAGCATTTTCTTTTCTTTCTACATTTTGCCTTAACCCTGTACAGAGTTGAAAACATCCATGCACCAAGAAATGCATGGAAGAAGTACGTGTTGTTCTTATTCCTTTTTCTGTTGGATTTATTCTTCCTTCTATCTTTCATTTTATTTGGTGTTATAAGTTGAATTGTGATATGATTTCGATGTTCGTCCCTTCTAAATCTCATGTTGAAATGTGACCTCTGATGTTGGAGATGGGCTTAGTGGGGACTTTTTAGGCCATAGCGGTGGATCCCTCTTGAATGGCTTGGTGTTGTACTTTCAATAATGAGTAAGTTCTCACTCTCACTCTATTAATTCATGTGAGATCTGGTTGTTTAAAAGAGTGTGGCACACCACCATCCTCACTCCTACTCTCACCATGTGACACACTTGCTCCCCCTTTGCCTTCTGCCATGATTGTAGGTTTCCTGAGGCCCTCACCAGGAACAGATGCTGGCACCAGGCTTTCTGTACACTCTGTAGAACTGTGAGCCAATTTTTATTGGCTCTTTTATTTATAAATTATCTAGCCTCAGGTATTCCTTTATAGCAATGCACAATCAGACTAATACAGAAAGTTAGTACTGAGGGGTGGGGTGTTGCTGTAAAGATACCTGAAGATGTGGAAGAAGCTTTGGAACTGGGTAATGGGGAGATGTGGGAAGGGTTTCAAGGGCTCAGAAGAAAATAGGAAGATGAGGGAAACTTTGGAACTTATTACACACTTGTTAAATTGTTGTGACCAAAATGTTGATAGAAATATGAACAATGAAGTCCAGGCTGATGAGGTCTGAAATGAAAATGAGGAAGTTATTGGGAACTGGAGTAAAGGTCACCTCACCTGTGTTATGCCCTAGCAAAGAGCTTGGCTGCATTGTCCATGTCCTTAGCATCTGTAGAAGGTTGAAATTAAGAGTAGCCAGGTGCGGTGGCTCACTCCTGTAATCCCAGCACTTTGGGAGGCCAGGGCGGGCAGATCATAAGGTCAGGAGATTGAGACCATCCTGGCTAACAAGGTGAAACCCCATCTCTACTAAAAATACAAAAAATTAGCCAGGTGTGGCAGCGTGCACCTGTAGTCCCAGCTGCTGTGGAGGCTGAGGCAGGAGAATGGTGTGAACCCAGGAGACGGAGCTTGCAGTGAGCCAAGATCACTCCACTGCACTGCAGCCTGGGTGACAGAGCAAGATTCTGTCTCTGAAAAAGAAAAAAAAAAAAAAGAAATTAAGAATGATATCTTAGGGTAACTGGAAGAAGAAATTTCTAAGCAACAAAGCATTCAAGATATGACTTGGTTGCTTCAAACAACCTACAATCAAATGTGGGGGCAAAGAAATGACCTGAAATTGGAACTTATGTTGAAAAAGGAAGCAGAGCATTAAAGTTTGGAAAATTTGCAGCCTGGCCATGTGACAAAGAAAGAAAAAGCATTTTCTGGAGAGGAATACAAGCAGGCTGTGGAGCAATCACTTGCTAGAGAGATTAGAATGACTAAAAGGAAGCCAAGCGCTAAGATCCAAAACAATGGGAAATAGATCTTTAAGGCATTTCAGAAATCTTTGAAGCAGCCCCTTCCATCCTAGGCCCCAGAGGCTTAGGAGAAAAGAATGGTTTCGGAGGCCAGGCCCAGGGCCCTGCTGCCCTGTGAAGCCTTGAGACACTGCTTCCTGCATCCTGGCTGCTCTAGTGCCAGCTACAGCTCAAAGGTCCTCAGGTACAGCTCAGTCTACTGCTCCAGAGGGTGCAAGCCATATGCCTTGGAGGCTACCACATGGTGTTAAACCTGCAGGTCCTCAGAATGCAAGAGTAAATGAGGCTTGGAAGCTTCTCCCTAGATTTCAGAAAATGTATGTGAAAGTCTGGGTGCCCAGGAAGAAGCCTGCTGCAGGGGCAGAACTCCCACCAAGAGACTCTACTAGGGCAGTGCCAAGGGGTAATGTGAGGTTGTGGCCCCCACAGAGTCCTTACTGTGGCACTGCCTAGTGAGTGGAGCTGTGGGAATGGGAACACTGCCTTCCAGACCTGAGAATGGTAGAGCCATTGGAAGTTGCTGATGATAAAAGGTACAGGCACTCAACTCAAAACCGTGAGAGTCTGAGTGTGGAAAAGCTACAGGCAATCAACTCAAACCCATAAGAGCAGCCACAGGGGTGGTGCTCTGGAAGACCACAGGGTCAGAGCTGCTCAAGGCCTCGGAAGCCCACCCCTTGCTCAGTGTGTCCTGCAGGCAAGACACAGAGTCAAAGGAGATTATTTTGGAGCCTTAAGGTTTAATGCCTGCCCTGCTGGGTTTCAGAATTGTTGGGGGCCTGTTGCCTCCTTTTTTTTTTTGGCCAATTTCTCCCTTTTGGAATGGGAATGTTGACCCAATACCTGTACCATCAATTTATCTTAGAAATAAATAACTTGTTTTGGATTTTACAGGCTCATAGGTGGAAGGAACATGCCTCATGTCTTAATGAGACTTTGGACTTTGGACTTTTGGTTTAGTTGGTGCTGGAGAGAGTTAAGACTCTGGGGGATGTTGGGAAGAGATTATTATATTTTGCAATGTGAGAAGGACATGAGATTAGGGGGACCATGGGCCGAATGATATGGTTTGGATGTTTGTCCCCTCCAAATCTCATGTTGAAATGTGACCTCCAATGTTGGAGGTGGGGCTTAGTGAGAGGTGTGTGGGACATGGGGGCAGATACCTCATGAATGACTTGGTGCTGTCCTCTTGATAATGAGTGAGTTCTCACTCTATTAGATCATGCAAGATCTGGTCGTTTAAAGGTATGTGGCACCCCCCGCTCCTCCCGCTCTGACCATGTGATGCACCTGCTCCTCGTTTGCTTTCTACCATGATTGTAAGCTTTCTGAGGCCCTCACAGGAATATATACTGGTGCCTTGCTTCCTGTACAGCTTGCAGAACTGTGAGCTAATTAAACCTCTTTTTAAAAATAAATTATCCAGCCTGTTCTTCCTTTACAGCAATGCAAAAACAGGGAAACACAAATTGTGTCCTCCAAAAAGATGTGTTGAAATCCTAACCCTAGTGCCTCAGAATGTGATCTTATTTGAATATAGGGTCATTGCAACAGTAACTGAGTTAGGAGGAGGCCATACTGGGGTGGGGTAGGCTTTTAATCCAATATGACTGGTGTTATTAGAAGACAATGTAAAGACACAGGAAGAGACTGCCACGTGATGACAAGAGCAGAGACTGGAGTGATGCAGCTGCAAACCAAGGAATGCCAAGGGTTGACAGCCACTGGCAACATCTAGGAAGAGGCCAGGGAAGATTCCACGTGGAGTCTCAGAGAAGGCATTGGCCTCAGTAATACCTTGATGTAGGACTTCTGGGCTTCAGAACTGTGAGAGAATAAATTATGTTGCTCTAAGCCACCCAGTTTGTGGCGTTTTATTACAGCAGCCCCAGAAGACTAATATAATTGGGTAAACAATTCAGTTTCCAGCTGTAGGTTCTTTTTTTTTTTTTTTCTTTTTTTTGAGGTGGAATCTTGCTCTTTCCCCAGGCTGGAGTGCAGTGGTGTGATCTCAACTCACTGCAACCTCCGACTCCCTGGTTCAAGCTATTCTCTTGTCTTAGCCTCCCAAGTAGCTGAGATTACAGGCATGCATAACCACGCC
This sequence comes from Homo sapiens, assembly GCF_000001405.40. Lineage (NCBI taxonomy): Eukaryota > Metazoa > Chordata > Mammalia > Primates > Hominidae > Homo > Homo sapiens. The sequence goes on along the minus strand of NC_000017.11, from coordinate 14,568,716 downwards.
CAGCTAATTTTTGTATTTTTAGTAGAGATGGGGTTTATCCATGTTGGCCAGGATGGTCTCGAACTCCTGACCGCAAGTGATCCACCTGCCTCGGCCTCCCGAATTGCTGGGATTACAGGTGTGAGCCGCCACGCCCGGCCACTGGCTCTAGGTTCCAACGTAGCAGGAAAGTCTTCAGTGGGAGTTGTACAAGTGTTGTAGGACGGAGGGACTATGGTTTTGCCCATTTTTCAGGTGCCCGCCATGCATATCAGGGCCCCAGAAAGTAGAAGTGGGCAGGGTGTAGCCACCTTGTCATACCCCAGCCTGCTGGGCTGAAATAAATGGCTACAGAACTGCCTTGATGTTCATGCTTCTCTGATCTTTGCTTTCTCCTAACAGTCTGGGTTTATTTCTAAATATAAAAAAGGAGAAAGAATTAGATATAAAAGAATTCAGAGACCACCTAGTCCAAACTCATCCCATGCATGAAACTCTCTACAGGAGACTGAAGAGATGGTCAAACAGATTCTGTTTGAATAAAACACTCTGTTCTTACATAGTCACCCTGTTCATTGTTTAACAGTCCAATTTCTTGGAAAGCACATCTTCATAGAAAGCAAAAATCTACCTCCGGGACCCCTCATCCATCATGAAAAGACAATGAGCAGATCCATATAATGGTTTTCAACTAGTCAAAACAGTTACCACATAAAATCCCCTTGGGGACAAATGGTCCCTTGCGAGGATATGAATTCCAGAGTCTTCCTTTGCCACATTGTCTTTTCCACTCTGGAAAAACTGTTCATATTATATATAAGCTAGCAATCTGCTCTGTTCAAGATGTGTGTGGGGTACTTTGTCTAATCCTGGGCATTCCCTTTTAAACAGAACTATACAAGTAAAAGTCTTGCTGAATGAGTATATTTGGCTTGTTTGACTCACGGGAGTTCCATCAGAAAGGAAATGTAGAACTTTCTGGCAAACTCATTTTACCTATCTACAAGGAGGACAGCTGTCTGATAACGAAACGGGCTTCCTCTCAGAAGTAATGCTTCCCTCCCAGATCTACAATTCCCTGTTTACAGGACTCTGTGGCTCTTAGACTATGGAGGGGGAGGTTGTTCAAGGTCCCCTTTGTGCCTGCTCCTCTTTATTCACCAGTCCTCACATTTGTGGGCACAGAAAGTTAGTGATAGGAAGAGAGATTTGGGGTATAGAGAAGAGTGGCTAAAGTTCTGAGCCTTCTTGTCATGGTCCCTTGGAAGTCTTTTCTACGTGGCTGAAGAGGTCAAAGGGATCTGGGATGAGAATTCTTACTTTGGACCTATGTTCAGGCCTAGGCATTTCAGGCAAAGGCTCTTCTCACTGGCAGGTGTGCCTTCAAGGAAGGGACTGTTTCTGAACGATTAGAGGAGGGAAATACAAAAAAGACTAAGATTCCAGGGTAGGGTAAGAGATAAGGAAAAGCTGCCCCCCTTTTCCTGGTCAAAAAAGTTTTCCCCATGGTCCAGGGTACCTCACTGGGTCTGGGGCACAATCATCATTTGAATCAAGAGTATGGACTTGCGCCGGGCATGGTGGCTCACACCTGTAATCCCAACACTTCGGGAGGCAGTGGCAGGAGGATCTCTTGAGCCCGGGAATTCAAGACCAGCCTGGGCAATATAGGGAGACCTCGTCTCTACAAAAAATGTTTTAGAAATTAGCTGGGCATGGTGGCATGCATCTGTAGTCCCAGCTATTTGGGAGGCTGAAATGGGAGGATCACTAGTACCCAGGAGGTCAAGGCTGCAGTGAGCCGAGATCGCACCACTGCACTCCAGCCTAGACAACAGAGCAAGACCCTGTTTTCTTTTGGAAAAAAAAAAAAAAAAAGAGTATGGCCTTGTGGCCTTGTCTCCTGTACATGTGTATCCTATACCCTTGTAGAAGGGTGGCTATGGCAAGAAGAGCTTCATGTTTCATGACCCCAGGTTCTCTCATATCTCACTATCACCCGCCAGCCATGAAAACAACTTTAAGACTCTAAGACAAGACATGAGAAAGGTAAAATGTACAGTAAAACTGAAGAACTTAAGAAAGTGATTGTCATAAATGGAGCTGACTCTTTGAGCTCTACTATTCAAAGCTTCCTGCCTTGAGGTGTCATGGTTTCTTTCATTCATTCATTCAGTGAACAAATTTTTATTGAGCACCTACTATAAACTGGGCACTTCTTCTAAAAGCTGGGGAGAAAAGCAGTGAACAAGAAGATAGATTAAAATCTCTGCTCTCGTGGAGCTTATAGGCTGGTGGAAGAGACAAAAAATAAATAAGATAAATATGTAAAGTATATTGCATATTTAGTGATTAAGTGCTAATGAGAGAAATAAAACCAGGAAGTCAGGGGGAGAATCTGGAGACAGGAGAAGGGATTTATTGACATTTTAGATAAAATGGCTGGAAAGGCTTCATTGAAAAGGTGACTTTTTAGAAAAAAAAAAAGGAAAGAAAATGCAGGTGTGAGCTGTTAGGGGAGGGCCCAGCAATGAAAGGTGTATGGGGCAAGGAGGCTCCAACATCTGATACTAAAATGGACTTGAGAGAATAGAAGAATAACTCAAGAAGACAAGCAGGAAGAAAGCAGTAAATATTAACTAATAAATGAGTAAGACCAAAAAATCATAATTAAAAAAAATCCCAGAACAGATTTCTTAAAATTCTGCAGCTGATTCCTTAAGGGGACTAATAAAATGGACAAACTCCAAGCCAAAGTCAAGGAAATCAATTTCACTATCAGAATTAAGAAAGGGCATACACGACAGACATAAAGGAGACTGCAAATGTTTTTATAGAGTAATTGTTAAAACTGTATTCCAGCACTTTGGGAGGCCAAGGCAGGCAGATCGCTTGAGCTCAGGAGTTCGAGACCAGCCTAGACAACATGGTGAAACCCCATCTCTACTAAAAATACAAAAACTAGTCGAGCATAGTGGCATGCACCTGTAGTCCCAGCTACTTGGAAGGCTGAGGCAGGAGAATCACTTCAACCCGGGAGGCAGAGGTTGCAGTGGGCCAAGATCGCGCCACTGCACTCCAGCATGGGTGACAGAGCAAGACTCCTTCTCCAAAAACAACACAAACAACAACAACAAAAATGCAATATTAATTATTTTGAAATCTGAATAAAATGAATGATTTTCTATAAAAGTGAAAGTTATTAAAATTGACTAACCAAGTAAAAATGCTGAAGAAGAAATTTAAAATATTGTCAAAATACATCTCCAAATACAGATCAGTCCAAGAAAATATACATGTAGTCTAGTTAATAGTATTGTAGTTTAATTAATAGTATCATTTATAGCTTAATAATGGTATTATACAAAAATAAGCACCAATCTACAGTTAAAATGAATGTTTTCAACATATGAGAGAAAGCATAGAATTGCTATACTTACTATGCAAAAATTAAATTAACAAATTTTTTTTAAGTATGTCTTACTATTGATAACCAGGCAAAGCACATGAATGTAAATGGCAATATTTTACTTGAAAATATTCAACTCTTGGCTGGGCGCGGTGGCTTAAGCCTGTAATCCCAGCACTTTGGGAGCCCGGGGCAGGTGGATCACGAGGTCAGGAGATTGAGACCACCCTGGCTAACACGGTGAAACCATGTCTTTACTAAAAATACAAAAAAATTAGCCGGGCGTGGTGGCGGGCACCTGTAGTCCCAGCTACCTGGGAGGCTGAGGCAGGAGACTGGCATGAACCCAGGAGGCAGAGCTGGCAGTGAGCCAAGATCGTGCACTGCCTGGGTGACAGAGCGAGACTCCATCTCAAAAAAAAAAAAGAAAATACTCAACTCCTTAATAATCAAATAAAACCCATGAGCTATTATTTTATCTATAAATTAGAAATTTTAATTAAAATATACTGAATTTGTGTGATGAAACATTTATACCTTGCTGGTGGGTTTAGTCTTCCTGGAGATTTATATTTAAAAGCTCTACAATTTTGCATCTCCTTGACCCAGTAATTTAACTTCTAGAAATACATCGAAATACATAGAAATAGAAAAGATGTTGGCTCGGCATAAAGATTTAGTTCCAGAGATGTTTGTTTATGAAAGCATGATTTATGGTAGCCAGAAAAAAAAAAACAAAAACTTTTAGAGATATGATCTAACTTTATAACTCAGACATCAAATAATATTCTGTTTAAGAATAATTCTTATCATGAAAGAAGTAAGTTACAACACAATATATTCAGCATGATTTCAATTTTTAGTTTTTGAGAGAAAGAAAAAGAATCATAATAAAAATCAAGCACTAGAGACTTATAAAAAACTATTATATGTCTCCATGTGATAAGATTATGAAAAATTTTTAATTTTCTTGTTTTCATTTCTTCCATTTTTTTCAAAATGTTCCCCATGATTAACATGTCTACTTTTGAACTAGTAAATTGTTTTCCCTTAAAAAAAATGTATAGACTAGTGTATATGACAGGAAATAGCTGGTTGTCAGCATCTAATATTAAGAGTTTTCCAGTGTTATGTTCTTTTCAAAAGAGTAAATGAAATGTTTTTCTCTCTTCCTCATGGGGGTCAGCAATAGACAAGAAACTCCCTTCCAAGGATGAGGCCTCTTCCACATTCGGCTTTCGTCTGATTTAACAGCTCAATTTCTTCATCCTGCCACCTCCCTCATGGTTTTTATGAGACCTGGGAACTATTAAAGAATGCCAAATACAATTCAAGCCTTTCAGTTGTCTTATTTCCCTGATTTGTATGTAGTATTTTAGTTAAATCAACATCCAACCTACTGTGAGATGTTTCCATGAATAAGATTGCTTTAACTGAGTTATACCAAGTATGGCAATAAAACTAAACTAATTTAAGATTTCTCCCAAGCCTGCAGGGAAAGGGTGAGCCCAAGAAGTTACCTTGGTAATTTCCAGAAATCTCCCTAAAGCTGAAACTCAGAGAGGAAATAGGTAGGTGTCAGTATCTTGTGGCTGGTCATTCATTGTCTGCCCCATAGGAATCGCCAGAGAGGGAGCAAAGATAGTGGGAACTGGGAAGATAGTTACAGTGTCAAAAAATCAGAACTGCAAGAAAAGTGATGATTACTTAATTCCAAAAGGAGAAGGTTTTCCTAAACACCACTTCCAAATATTCAAAGAATTATGATGAAGAAAAAGAGTAAATGGGATTTTTTTTATTTTTTATTTTATTTATTTATTTATTTATTTATTTATTTATTTATTTAGAGACAGAGTCTCACCCTATCTCGCAGGCTGGAATGCAGTGGCATGATCTTGGCTCACTGCAACCTCTGCCTCCTGGGTTCAGGCGATTCTCCTGCCTCAGCCTCCCGAGTAGCTGGGATTACAGGCGCACGCCACCAAGCCTGGCTAATTTTTGTATTTTTAGTAGAGACGGGGTTTCACCATGTTGATCAGGCTTCAGGCTGGTCTTGAGCTCCTGACCTCGTGATCTGCCCACCTCGGCCTCCCAAAGTGCTGGGATTATAGGCATGAGCCACCGCACCCAGCAAGCAAATGGGATTTTAAGAAATTGTAATGTGGAAGAAAACCTCCTGGGAGCATCAGGTTTATGGAAAAATAGAATAGGCTATTGAAGGGTGTATTAGCATTTCTTTCCTCAGAGAATTCTAAGTGTAAGACAGAAAAGGATCTGCTCAAGGTCATTCCTGATGATGGAAAAAGATAAATAAGAAGACTTACAAGAAGACATGGGCCAGAAACATAACAGGTTGCCCGGTGAATTGCCATTCAGTCACCCTAATGCTTCCTTGATGAGTTTACTTGCACTGAGTGGGCTGGGGATTTGTCTGGGTAGATAAATGCATACTTGGGGGTCTTGAAGATCCAGGAGGCCACAAAAATGTTGAGCAATTTTGCAGATGTCTTGGGATCCGCAAGAAGTGTTCAATCATTTTTCAATTGTTTTGAAATCTGCTAACATCCAACTGTGGTTTGCCCCTGAGAATTTTTTTCTGTAAATTGTTTATGCTTGTTTATTTTAAGAAAAACATAAGCTTGGTGTTTCTGGGTTCATTTACACTTTGCTCATGAGATGGGTTCGTGAGCCTGTTCAGTGTCCAAAATACCTTGTGGGATTCAAAGGAAGTTGCCTCTCTGCTAAAGAGATGCATTTGGTTAGCGTGAAACAGAAGCCAAACTTTAAAAACTCTTCAGGCTCCATGCATTCTTCACCAAAGAAGAAATTTGAGCAGGGTCTAAATTTGACAATCATCCAATAGCCTCCAGGTTGTTAAACTGCATTTGTGTTTGAGTATCAATGTTTCTCTCTCGTAGTCTAGGCTGAAACCCATAGGTTTGCTTGAACATGGAGGGGGTGTTAGAACCAGCATTGGTGCCAGATAAATGGTCTTGCTAGATGAAGTTTTGCCAGGGAACACACAGAGGTAAAAGGTTCAGAGCATCAGCTTGCATAAGCCCTCATCTCCTGACTGTCTTATCTAATTCTTATCCAATGCTAAGCTAAATGGCCTAAATGTTTAACTCTGGAAAATTTTAGAGATTCAACATGTATACCTTTGTTCCTTCTATGGGTACTGAACTGTACTGGCTAGAAAGTTTATGAAATAGATATAATAAATATATGGCCCATGCAACCTGAGGAGGCAGAGTTCAGGTAAGGCTTGATCCGGTAACTCAATGCTAGCACCTACATCCTAGTTTCCATTTCTTTCTCTCTCTTCTCTGCTTTCAACCTGTCTCCCGGAAAAGCTGGCTTCTCTCTCATGGGGAGAGTGGGGATATGGGGACAGAAAATTACAGATCTTGGCTGGGTGCAGTGGCTCACGCCTGTAATCTCAGCACTTTGGGAAGCCAAGGCGGGTGGATCACTTGAGGTCAGGAGTTTGAGACTAGCCTGGTCAACATGGTGAAACCCCGTCTCTACTAAAAATACAAAAATTAGCCAGGTGTGGTGGCGTGCACCGGTAATCCCAGCTACTTGGGAGGCTGAGGCAGGAGAATCACTTGAACCTGGGAGGCAGAGGCTGCAGTGAGCCGAGATTGCACCACTGCACTCTAGCCTGGACGACAGAGCGAGAGTCTGTCTAAAAGAAAAAAAAAAAGAAAGAAAATTATAGATCTTTTGAGAAAAAAAGAGAGAAATATCTTTACTAGAAGTTCTAGTAAATGTCTCCATTTGGCTTCTTGGCCTGAAATGAGACGTTCACCACTGAATCAAAGACAATGGTCGGGGAATAGAATGAAGGAGCTGAATTGTATTAAGCCAATTAGGTCTCACCTTAGAGCTGAGGATGGGCTCAATCTCACCCCAAGTCATAGTGCTTTAAAATTTGAGGTCCCAATGGAAAAAGGAGAAGAGGCAATGGCTGTGGAAAAGTAACCAACAAATGTCCACTACATCGCTTAACTATTGTGTTTACCTTCTCCTGCTACCTTGCTGCTCCTTGAGGCATGGAGGCAGGAAGAAGACAGCAATAGGAGACCGCGTAGCCGAGGGAGCTCTGCCAAACCCCATAGATCAGAGACTCAGTCTGGGAGAAAGATCAGGTTATTACACAGGTAAGGAGAGGTCAGGCTTTGGGAGGACAACCGAGGCAAGAAAAGCAGTCAGATAGTACTGGTCTAAGAAATAGCCATCCAAGACCTAAGAAACAAAGAGGGGAGAAAGCCAGCTCCGTGCTCAATGCAGAGGCCTGATCTATATCTCTGACTGGTTGAGGACATTTGGGTACAATGCAATTTGGAAACAGACGGAAGCACAGATGTGAACCAAATTCTGATTCAGGAAAGAGTAAGATCACCAGAAGGTCCTGATAATTAGGTCATCATTAAAATGAGACAAATAAAACCTCTATAGACTTGCAGATCTTAGGCTGGGCGCGCTGGCTCACGCCTGTAATCCCAGCACTTTGGGAGGCCAAGGCAGGTGGATCACCTAAGGTCAGGAGTTCAAGACCAGCCTGGCCAACATGGTGAAACCCCATCTCTACTAAAAAAAAAAAAATACAAAAATTAGCCGAGCGCGGTGGCGGACACCTGTAATCCCAGCTATTCAGGTGGCTGAGGCAGGAGAATCGCTTAAGCCCAGGAGGCGGAGGTTGCAGTGAGCCAAGATCATGCCACTGCACTTCAGCCTGGGTGACAGAGCGAGACTCTGTCTCAAAAATAAAATAAATAAATAAATAAATAAATAAATAAATAAATAAATAAATAATTTAAGAAAAGAAAGTAAAAAAAAAAGAAAAAAATAAGAATTACAGATCTTGTGGACAATGGTAGAAGATCTCCAACTTGTCACCGATATTCATTTGGTGCCACACAATATTTTCATAGTAGTTCTGACAGCACATAGTAGATTATCCCTAAAACCCAACCCAATTTTGCCAGACCTCTTTTTCAGATTGTAACCAATACCCCACAGCCCATTCTCTGTCCCCAGTAATTATTTTTGCCTTAGTTCATTACCAGATACTTCATCTCACTGAAACTCATCTGCCACATTCCTGCCCATTCACTCAAACTCCAAAACTCTTCCTGCCATTTATGACCATCAGTGTGGCAAGGCACTTTCTGGATAATTTTGTGCCATCTGCCAATTTAAAGATTTCATGGTGCCTGTTTGTCTGGATCATTTATTTGGGGAAAAAAAGGTTAAATAAGAACAGTGCCCACACCCGTCTCTGGAGAGAATCGTATTTTCCACTCACTGGGTATCAAAGCTAATCTTTGGTGACTTATAGCTGCTTTCTCTCTGGTGCTCTATTTAGATCCTGTGGGTGCTATTGCACCTGGAGGTGTTACAAATTCTGCTTTTGTTTTTAGGTCACAGGGCAGTCAATATAAAATGAGACAGGTGTTTGCATCATAAAACAAGCCAATGGCCTCAGGGGGACCTGGTGGCTTTCCTTTTTTTTTTTATTTCTTCAAATGCCTGGGCCCCAGCAGGAATCATGCACTGCACCACGGGGACAGCTGACTGCACAAGACCAAAGACAGCCATCAGCTGGACGTTGATTTTATGATGACTCAACAGCTCAACAATAAATAATAAAAAATCAACTTTAACCACTCTTTCTAAAGGTGTCCCAGCCTGTGACTCGTTTGCACAGTTTTCATGTGAGTGTGTAGATCCCCAGGCAGGCTTTTCCTCCAAATGCCCAAAGAACAATTAAGAAGTAAATAGGGTTGACAGATGCTGGTAAAATACAAGCCAGCCAGGGAAATACGAATCTAACCAGATGTGTGGGCGGATTGGGAGCGATCTCAGCATCTGTAAAACTGAATAGATTAAGATCTAAAATGAGGGTAGGGGTGGTCAGGAAGAGGAAGAAGATAAGAGGATGCTGAGCTCAGCAAGTTTCCCGCTCAATCACCCACCTAGCATTTGCCAGCACTAAGCAAGAGTGTGCCATGTTTAGAAAAACAGCATCTTATTTGTAACGTCATTCCAAACATTTCCATCCCTGTAAAAAGGGGGCTTTTCATACACAAAGACTCCACGATTATTTCTTGTAACCGATGGTCTTAAGCTTACATCCTGCTAAGACATAGCTTGGTTCAGATAAACTCATGTATTTATTTATTAGTAATATTAATACAAACACTAATGCAGGAAGAATTTATTCTTTCTAGTGAAAAAATGCAAAATAAGGCAATAAAATACCGTCTTTCACCTGTTAAATAGACTATTTTTTTTAATGGTCACATTCAATGTCAGAAAGGATATGATGTAAACTGGTATAGCTTCTGAAAAACAATTTGGCAAAACATGTTTAGAGTTTTAAAAATATGATTTTTGGCCAGGTATGGTGGCTCACGCCTGTAATCCCAGCACTTTGGGAGGCCGAGGCAGGTGGATCATGAGGTCAGGAGATCGAGGCCATACTGGCTAACACAGTGAAACCCTGTCTCCACTAAAAATACAAAAAATTAGCCGGGCGTGGTGGCAGGCGCCTGTAGTCCCAGCTACTCGGGAGGCTGAAGCAGGAGAATGGCGTGAACCCAGGAGGCAGAGCTTGCAGTGAGCCAAGATTATGCCACTGCACTCCAGCCTGGGTGACAGAGCAAGACTGCATCTCAAAAACAAAAAACAAACAAACAAACAAAATATGACTTTTGACCTACTAATTCCAATTTCAAATAGTATTCTACAAAAACAATCAAAGCCACCAATTGTAGTAATATGATATTGGTGAACAGGGAAAAACACCCTAAATTAAATATTTATATTACATCCATATATTAAAATACTATACAGCCACTATGCTTTCTATTTTATGTGGTCTTATAAATGCTTAATAAGTAATAATAATTAAATAAAGCAGAATGCATATACTCCAAGTGGACACACATTAAGAAGCTCAGTATTTATGTATGAGAGTATGTGTATGCTTTTCGAAGTAAAAAGACTTTTCTCTAAGTATTTTCTCATTTTTCTAAATTTTCTGAAATAAGAATGTGTTTCTTGAAGAAAAAATTATTTCAAAAGTTCCTCTTCCTTACTGCCTTTAAACTACAAAATGTATAAAGCCAATAACTTACGCCCCCTTGAAAATATTCTATCAATCAAAACAAACCTGTAAAATGCTCTATCCTGAGGTTTTTTTCTTTAAAGATATATGCTGAAGGTGGCCAGAGTGTGGGATAAAGTCCTTGCTCACCTGGCCACGTCTAGTAAAGAAAGTGCCCCCTTAGTTTCTAGGGCTGTTCCGGCTTTAGGAGGGGGGATTTGAAGCACTTCTTGTCTGATGCCCTGTATCTCTAAGCAAACCTCTGTGTTCCTGACTTGCTAACTGGTGTTAAATGAAGTTTGGCTCAAAACTGCCTCCTTACCTATTTTAAGTTCTGCCTAAAGGTTTCTATGTACATTGTGAACTATAACCTAAATGGAGTTGTATACAGACTATAGCCTCCTTTTGTGCCAATCACAAAAGTTTTAGCCAATAAAAGGTGGCCAATTGTTCAACTAAGGCAACACAGAGCTATAACCAATCCAACTGTTTCTGTACCTCACTTCCATTTTCTGCACATCACTTCCCTTTTTCTGTCCATAAATCTTCCACCACGTGGCTGTGCTGGAGTCCCTGAGCCTACTCTGGCTCTGAAGACTGCCTGATTCGTGAATCCTTCATTGCTGAATTAAACTCTGTGAAACTTAATTTGGCTAAGGTTTTTCTTTTCTTTTTCTTTTTTTTTTTTTGAGGCGGAGTCTCATTCTGTCGTGAGGCTGGAGTGCAGTGGATCTTGGCTCACTGCAACCTCCCTCTCCCAGGTTCAAGTGATTCTCCTGCCTCAGCCTCCCAAGTAGCTGGGACTAAAGGCACATGCCACCATGCCCAGCTAATTTTGGCATTTTTAGTGGAGACGGGGTTTTACTATGTTGGCCAGGCTGGTCTCGATCTCCTGACCTCATGATCCACCCACCTCAGCCTCCCAAAGCTCTGGGATTACAGGCGTGAGCCACTGCGCCCGGCCACATTTTTCTTTTGACACTGAGTTTCTGCTTCATTCCTGAGGTCTACTCCCTCCTCCCTATCCTAGGTCCCATTTGCGCCTTTGCTCAATGAACCAAAGCCTTTGTATTCTTGTGTCTCCAGAACTATGGGTCCTGCCTTGTTCTGCTGGTTAGTAATCCCTGGCTAGTGATCCAGTTATATATCTTTTTAATATCTTTTATATTTTTAGAAAATTTTATTTAGTGATCTACTATGGCCCATGACTTTCTGCTACCAATTGTCTGCCTGGATTGACAAGGATTTTGCACCCCTGCTCACTCCTAGAGAATTTTTGTGGCTGCTCTCTGTGAGGTTGTTTCACGACCTCAGCTGATGAAATGTTCATTCCTTCTCTGGAATCCCCCCTACCTGCAGCCTTGCTAGACTTCCGCTAGGTGCCTAAAGTAGGGTAGGAAGCTCTTGAGCCATCCTGGCCAACTCAGCTCTTACCAGGCTGCATACTATACTGCAGGCAAGCAGGGAAGACCCGATATTTTCTTTTTTCAATGCCCCTTGAGTTGTAAGTCCCCGGCATTTTCCTAAGACATGATACTCGTTGCCATTCTACCCGAGTCAATTCTGGAAGTAGGTTTCCTTTTGGATCCATTCTAAGTGCACTTACTGTTTTTTTGTTGTTGTTATTTTGTTTTGTTTTGTTTTTGTTTTAAGACAGTTTCACTCTTGTTGCCCAGGCTGCAGTACAACAGCGTGATTTCAGCTCACTGCAACCTCCGCCTCCCGGGTTCAAGTGATTCTCCTGCCTCAGCCTCCCAAGTAGCTGGGATTACAGGCAAGTGCTACCACGCTTGGCTAATTTTGTATTTTTAGAAGAGATTGGGTTTCACAATGTAGGCCAGGCTGGTGGTTTCAAACCCCTGACCTCAGGTGATTCACCTGCCTTGGCCTCCCAAAGTGCTGGGATTATAGGCATGAGCCACCATGCCTGACCACTTCTTTTTTAATAAAAGGACATCCTTTAATAATTCACAATTGCAGTTCAGCTTACTGGACACTTGGTTAAACCTCCCCATCAGATTTTCCTGAAATAAATTGCCTGAGTTTCCCAAAATATATTTTATAAGGAACAAGCAGGATTCAGACCAATTATGTCTCTGTCTTTGGATGAAAGATACAAGGACACTATGCTTTCCTTACATGGCATTGAAATTGCACGGGAAGCTTTGTCCAAAAGCAGAATAGACTACTTCCCACATGGTGTGTCCACTGGTATCAGTATGTCCAGGCAGAGTAACCTCCAGGATCGGGGGAGCACATCTAGGATGAGGGGGAGCAGGTAATGCAAACCACAGAATAGAGAACGGAATGGGGAATTAGATGAGAACCTTTCTCTGAGATTCTATGGTTTCCTTGTCAGAACTCAACCAGTATGTGCACTTTAGGTTTGTTAAACTCCTCCAGAACCTGTATCAACTACATTCAACAACTATTTATTGAGTACCTACCATGGACTAGACACCATGTGAAGAAGTTATGGATGTAAGAGATGATCATTTGAAGCTATTACTAAGCTTGGTTTCCAAGAAAAATATCTACTGAGGGGTGTAATCCCAATACATGGCATTAAACAGGGCAATATTAACTCTTCCCTCTTGCTAATGTTTACCTTCAATACTGGCATAGCTAATAGATGCATGATGAGAAAGGTCAAGGTGAAAAGAAAACTGTTTTACTCAGTCCTTACTATGTACGGGACTCTGGACTGGACACTTTATGTACATCATTACTGCAATCCAGTGTCCCCAAGGCTCCTCCATATATAGATAAGTAGAGTGGCGTTAACATTAACAACTCAATGCCCCCAGCGTTAAGGTATTTCTACTCCACGTGCGAATTCTAGTCTGTTACAAATACTTATCTCTGTAACTCAAAGATTTCTGAGAGCGTCCAAGGTGAGTCTTACCTGGTCCCACAACCCAGTCCCGGCTGGCCTGTCCCATGCAGCTTCAATCTCATCCCCATCCTCATATGGCTCCTGACATCCTAAAGCCCAGGAAGACTAGCTTCTACCACTGCACCCAGCCAATCTCTCCCCAGCCTCTTTAAGGGGCAGCTGTTTGCTGGTTACTCTTGCCATCATTCTCCCAGCACCCTCAGTAGCAGGACAGCTGGACGGGGCTCTGGAAAGCAAGTAAAATGCTTCCACCTTCTACCTAGATAGAAGCCACAGCAGAGATGCTTATACCACAAAATGTCTAATAAAATGTCTCAGTTCACACACACAGTACTTTTTCTCCATGAAATGTTGACATACCACCAAAGTTTCTGGCTTGGGATAGTTTTAAGCAGTGGTGTGCTGGTAATCTAGTTCTCAAAATTAAAAAAAAAAGAAAGAAAGAAAGAAAAGAAAAGAAAAGAAAAGAAAAGAAAAGAAAAGAAAAGAAAAACCCCTAGTACCTAGAAACAAACAATCAGCAAAACAAAAATAATCTCTCTCCTACATTCCATGAGGTTAGCTCCTGTTTACTCCCTGGATAGAAACAAGGGCAGCTCCCATGGCTTACCTGGTCACTTTCAGATGATGAAAAAGACTTTCAAGTTATCTCTGATCACAAAACAAAGTTATCTCTGATCACAAAACATAGTCCTCATTTCAGTAGTTAAAACCTCCAGATTTTTTGAATAATCAAAATTCTGAATTTTACTTGACGATAAATCCTCTCCCATCCCCCAGTCTATACCTGTTACAGTCTTTAATGGCGAGAGGAGGTAGGCCTTTTCTCAAGTCTATTAATTCCTTCCTCCCACTCAGCTATCTCTGCTCTTTTCAAGCTTGAAGTAGGGAAAGGAAGAACAGATAATGGACGCTGGAAGCCCTTTCTTGCCTGGCACCGGTTAATCTGTTTTTTCTTTCCTCTGGCCCTACAAGGTGTTTAAGCCACCTCTTTGCCTCCTGGTTTTCTTTGTAGTTCGTAGCATGCATCCCCAAACGGCCTACAGATCCCCTGGTGCAGGCATACACATCCTTCAGCTGGGCACTAGATGGGTATTTGAAGCTATGCCCAACCTCCTTCTTCTGAGACCTGCTCTCTTCTCCAAGTGGCCCCCTTGGGCAGAGCCTAAATCTTTCCCAGGATTCAGCCCAGCAGATGACCTTATTTCAAGCCATTTAATTGTACCTACAAGGTAGGTGGCAGTATTGCCATTTCACAAAGCAGGAAGTTTGGACCCAGGAATGACAAGAAGAGCTCCCATTTACTGAGCACCTACTGTATGCAAAGCAGTGGGCCGAGGCATTTGTGGGCAACGGTTTATTTACTTTACACCAAAGCTGACATGTTGGGTCAAGGAAATTGCTCTACTCATTTAAAATAAAGAAAGAAATAGAAACTGAAAGAATCTAGGTAACTTGCCCAGGGTCAGTCTAAGGCCTGAGGCTCTCTCCAGTCTTCTTGATCTCTTAGTTTGGCAAAAAGGAAGGCAAATAACCTCCCCTTTACGAAAGACAAAAATGACTTTAGTCAAAGACAATACAAACATTAGAAATATTTTGATATATTGTTGATATACAATATATTGTTTGATATATTGTCTTTAGGCCAAGACAGACAAGTCAATGAAAACTTAATTCTTAGGGATCTAGGAAATACTTATCCCAACCAAAATTATTGTCCCTACAGATTTTTAGGGGATTTTTTAGTTAATCATCCTGGCAAGCTTTTTAGAATAAAGTGGGTCTTAACACTAAATATACAGTCCCAAATTTAAATCTCTTTAAACAGATGTACAAGTGATGAGGTGATAGCTATCCTGAAAGATGCTCAAGCTGAAATCCTCCCCCTCCATGTTACATCAGAACTTGAGAGTCCCAGTTACTGCGAACTCCATGAGCACAGGAAGTATGGCTTCTCTTCCCCTCTGTTCTCAGGGCCCAGCGGTGAGCCTGGTGGACAGTAAGTGCTGAAGATGTATCTGTTGAATGCATGTTGAAAGAATTTGCTCAAGGCTGGGCGCAGTGGCTCACACCTGTAATCCCAGCACTTTGGGAGGCCGAGGCAGGTGGATCATGAGGTTCAAGACCTGCCTGACCAACATGGTAAAACCCTGTCTCTACTAAAAATACAAAAATTAGCTGGGCATGGTGGCATGCACCTGTAATCTCAGCTACTCAGGAGGCTGAGGCAGGAGAATCGCTTGAACCTGGGAGGCAGAGGTTGCAGTGAGCCAAGATCATGCCACTGCACTCCAGCCTGGGCAACAAAGCGAGATTCTGTCTCACAAAAAAACAAAAACAAAAACAAAAGAAAAAAAAACAACAAAAAAGGAATTTATTCAGCATATAAGGAGAAGGATCTTTCATTCACCTCTCTCCTACTTCTAAGAGACCAGAAGCCATTGTTAGGCTTATGGGCAAAAAGAGCCAAGGTCTCCTGGCCTTGACCTTGAGCCAAGCTTCTTTACATTTCTTGTTTTTAGAAAATCCTCATGATCCCCATGATACAATATTCTTATGTGAGATGGCTAAAACTGGTAAAACTATCTGAGTCTGGCTCAGAGATGTTTGACACATCGTTTAAAGCCCTGCAGGTAAATGGAGCTGATAGCCTGGGTTCAACTCCTGGTCCCCTGGCTGCGAGGTTGCCTCCCAAACTTGGCATCACAAAGCTGACTCATAAACGTCCCCAGCAGACAGAGAGCCCGCCCTTTCAAGCTAGTCACTAAATCACAGGGTTCTTGGAGACATCGCTGGTCCAGCCCTTGCCAGAGGCTCACTTAGGCTGCTTGTTATTTGAGTGACAGTCGACAGGGTACATGTGTGAAGTACGACTCCTGCCTCCCTCAGAAACAGACAATGCCAACAGCCCCTACTGCTAACTCAGATTGTGGGCCACAGGATGATGAAATGCTTGTGTAATGTGTAATGTAATGTGGGTCCTGGACCAGAAAAAAAGACATTAGATAAGCCTAGAAAATCCGAATCAAGTATGGACTTGAGTGAATAAATCTGTGTCGGTATTGGCTCATTAATTGTAACAAATGTATTGCACTAATGTAAGATGCTAATAATAGGAGAAACTCGGTATAGGGAATTTGGGAACTCTTTATACTATCTTTGTAATTTTTTTCCGTAAATCTAAAACTATTCTAAGAAATATTAGAATAGAATAAAACACTATTTTTATATAAAGTATATATGGTACATACTATGCATAATATATACTATATATAATCATATATGTACTATATATAATCATATATGCATAATATATACTCTAGTATACACTCTATATAATCATATATGATATATAATAAAGTATATATCATATACTTTATTTCATATATAATATATACACTATATGTCATATACATACATTCTAAGTTTTTACAGTCATCTTCTATTTCTTCTCAATACCAAAAGACTGTGTCTAAAAAACTGAAATCAGATTCTATTTTATAATTTTTCTGTGGTCCTATTTGTACCAGCTACACTGAGATGCCTGTTTCTCGCTTCATGGCCCCCAAGTTTTAGCAGACCTGGGGTCCTGATGGCAGATCGGCCCTCTCTATTCCAAACCCCTAAAAACGTGAGGCAGAACTCTGGGTGTTCGTTTTTGCCTTGACTACTTGCGAACTGTGCAGCCTTTCATTCCTAGATCCCTGCAGACTGG
This sequence comes from Homo sapiens, assembly GCF_000001405.40. Taxonomy (NCBI): domain Eukaryota; kingdom Metazoa; phylum Chordata; class Mammalia; order Primates; family Hominidae; genus Homo; species Homo sapiens. The sequence goes on along the minus strand of NC_000017.11, from coordinate 14,551,603 downwards.
CTTCCGTGGAGGGCTGTGCCCCTCCCACGCATGCCCGCCCATCTGGCTGTGGGTGGCAACACACAACCCCCTGCCTCGCTTCCCCTGGCCTCTCCCTGAGTGTCTGGTGGCTGCAGGTGGCTGCTGTTCCTTCAAAATGTGCTCTGTGTGTGTGTGTGTGTGTGTGTGTGTGTGTGTGTGTGTAGAAGAGAAAGTTTTAAATCCCTTTGGGTGGGAAATTTTCTTTCCTGCTTAAACCTCATATCGTGCAGAAATATAGGTTCCTTAATATTTCTGTGTAACAGAAGTAAACAGTTCCTCTGACTCCCCAATACTGGGTTAGTAGTAGCTCAGCTCCCTCAGTTCTCTCCCTGGGGCTCACCTCAAAGAGGCCTCCCATGCCACCTAATCTAGAAAAGCACCTGTCCTTGTTGATTTCCTCGCCTGCTTTTGTTTTCCTTCACCCCACACTGCACCACCTCACAGGATAAGTGTCTGTTGACTTGTGCATCCTCTATCTTCCACCACTAAATGGAAACTCCATGCAAGCAGACATTTTTCTCTTTTGTTTGCTCTTGTAACCCCAGTGCTTAGAAGAGCAGTTCTTCAACTTTGCAGAACATTAAAATCACTGCGGACTGTTGAAAAACCCCAATACCCAGGCTGCACCCAAGGCCTATTAAACAAGAATCCCTGGGGCCTGGACTCAGGCATTAAAGTTTTTATAGCTCTCCTGGCATAGTGGTTAATTTCATGTGTCACATTAGCGAGGCTATGGTGTCCAGTTGTTTGGTCAAACACTAGTCTGGATGTTGTTGGTTTTTTAGATGAGATGAACATTTAAGTCAGTAGGTTTGAGTAAAGCAGATGGCCCTCCGCAGTGTGAGTGGACCTCACCCAGTCTGTTGAGCGCCTTAAGAGCAAAGACTAAGATCCTTCAAGAAAGAAAGAATTCCACCTCCAGACTGTCTTCAGATGCAAGATGGCAACATCAACCCTTCCTGGGTCACAAACCTATTGGCCTGCCCTGCAAATTTCGGACATGCAGTCTCCAAAATCACAAAAGCCAACTCTTTATAATCAATCTCTCTATTTGCATATATCCATACGATTGGTTCTCTCTCTCTGGAGAACCCTGATTAATATACCCAGTTACTCCAAGTCTGAGAATCAGTGACCTAGAATAATGCCCAGTGCATCATAGGCAGGCAGTAAATACACATTGGATGAATGAATATCTGCCTAATTCATTATCCCAATATTGTGTAGATTGTGATGGATTCTGGGCGATCAGTTCTCTAGCCACCCAGATCCTCAGAAATCAAGAGAGAACCTCATAGACAGGATGCAGTTGGTGATCTGAGTTAAGAGGCTTTGTCCAAGCATTGAGCTCAGCTGCTGTCAGCCAGCTCAGCTGAGAAATGAGGAAGGGCTGGCAGCATCCCTCAAACAGGAAGCAGGCGGCCGGGCGCGGTGGCTCACGCCTGTAATCCCAGCACTTTGGGAGGCCGAGGCGGGCGGATCACGAGGTCAGGAGATCGAGACCATCCCGGCTAAAACGGTGAAACCCCGTCTCTACTAAAAATACAAAAAATTAGCCGGGCGTAGTGGCGGGCGCCTGTAGTCCCAGCTACTTGGGAGGCTGAGGCAGGAGAATGGCGTGAACCCGGGAGGCGGAGCTTGCAGTGAGCCGAGATCCCGCCACTGCACTCCAGCCTGGGCGACAGAGCGAGACTCCGTCTCAAAAAAAAAAAAACAAAAAAAAACAAAAAAAACAAAACAAAAAAAAAAACAGGAAGCAGGCATCAAGAAGGATTTCCAAAAGGGAGTCACATCTTTGAAATACAGTATAAACAGGATTCTGGATCTTTCCATTTTGAGAACCAAATCTGACATGATGGGGTCCAGAGAGAGATAACTGTTGCTTTTTAAAAGCTGATTTCTAGAGACGAGTCTTGATTTGGTAAAGAACAAATGAGAAACCCAGTCAGATCAGAGATTTCCCATTCAACACAGCCACCCTGGCTCACTGGCCATCGCCTTTTCCAAATACCTATTGAAAAGGTCAAAGGAAAAGCTAGATCAGCTCAGAACCAGGGGAAATAATTATCTATAGGTTTCAGTCCTTAAGGAAATTCTCCACGAGAGAGAGCAGTGGAGAGAGACTGCAAGGTGGGCTCACAAATCTACAGCCAGATGATGCTCAGAACACCACCCCAACTTAGGACATCTAAAACAGGAAGGGAGGAAGCAAGTGTTGGCCTGGGAGCATCTTCCAGGAATGCACCTGACACCGGCATCTTCCGAGGGTCGGACCGAGGGGCAGGCACATGCTCCCAACTCACACTCAACTCAGAAGAGAGGAGTGTGCTGGAAAACAGCCTCCTCCTCTTTGTGAGCCTGGACGACTGCCCACAACAGAAGCCACATCCCACCAAACCCAGCCTGGTGAAAGTGAGCCGCCGCAAATTTACCTCTTCCCCTCTCTGTTCACCTGAGCCTGGCAGTGCCGAACAGGGACACAAACACTCCCTCAGAAAATCCATCTCAACTGCTGAAAGTAGAGAAACATAACATCTACCCCCGACCCAATCCTCAAATCACTGGAAGAATGAAAAAACAAAAATCAATACGTGGAAGGAAGAGGAAGCACCTGAGCAATCAGTGCCTGTGTCCCCTTTATGAAACAAACTGACTTCTAGAAACCAGAAAAAAAATCAATGTCATTTCTCATGCTCGAGATAGGGGAATAAGGTGATGATCTTGTGGTACACATTGAGAAACCCCTGCCAGGTCAAACACAGAGCAGATAATTTAAGAAATATAGCATTAGGAGATATACCTAATGTAAATGACGAGTTAATGGGTGCAGCACACCAACATGGCACATGTATACATATGTAACAAACCTGCACATTGTGCACATGTACCCTAGAACTTAAAGTATAATAATATATATATATGTAAAAGAAGCAACAACAACAACAAATAAAAAAAAAGAAATATCAGGTGTCCACTCCTAGACAGTCACATATTTCCTTTTATCCATGAAAATTTAGAGAGGGTGGATCAGTACCCCTTGGGAGAACAGGATGCTCAGTGCCAGGGGACACTTCTTGTGTCTGGAAACAGTGAAAAGGACGGAGATGAAAATGTGCCTTGTAACATGGGATTCCTTTTGTTTAAAGATAATGTGGTCCTTTCCAAAGGGCAAGTTAAAAGTTCATTTTCAAAAATGGAATCAAAATATCTCCTTGTTTTCTCGATGTTTAATCCCTGCTGGGCTTCCTCAGAACATAAAATAGAATTTACAAGGTTTAATTTGCTTGGTTTTTGCCTATTATCTCAATTGTTATTTTTTGTCTTATTCAGCAAGAAAAAAGAAAATCGCATCTCCCCCAAAGTTCAGAAATGCGAGGGTAAAGAATAAGGTGAGAAAAAGCGACATTAAAATCATGTATTGGTTGAAGCAAATTATGGTGTATAAGCTTTTATATACACAGAAAAACCTATAGATATTCAGCAAAAGGCAATACATTTCCATCCCAAAACTGGGACAAGGGAAATTGGAAAAACGATTAACAGATTATTAATACTAATATTTAGAAAATGGTAGAGAATCCACAAATGCCTTGGGAAATTTACTAGAGCCTCGAATCCTGAATTCTGTTTTGTTTAAATAAGGACTATTTTCTTTCTAATGTGTACAATATTACAGGAAGGGGAGACAGCTCCAGACCATAATGGTTTAATACACTGTGTACAGGGGAAAGGCCTAAGGAAAAAGCAGATGGCAACCTCTTTTGCAGGAGCCATATAATTTCATGGTGCATTTTCTCTTCATGGCTTCACTGAAATTCAAGCCTAGGGGCCAATTCTTTCTGGCAGCAGGGATGGGCTCAGCAGGCAGGGAGGAAGCAGCAAGGATAGAGGAAGTCTTAATAAAAGGGTTGGTCACTGAGATCTCTGCTTCTTGGTGGGTGTCCACTCTGTTTCCTCCACCCGTGACTTCGTTGGCTTCAGCACAAGGCTGGTCATATCAACCCCAACTCTGCCTGGTCCACAGTCCAACTTTCCTCCATGTCACCACATTCATATTCTTCAGGCATTGGCCTAGCTCACTTTTGAGTGGGGTCACACAAGTCAAAAGTAGTGGCCAGTTTACGGATAGATGTCTTTCAGGTCAGCCCCTTATCATTGAAGGCAACAGGGACTGGCGTGGCTAGATCCCCCAGAAGAGTATGTGAGTGGGCATCTACTTTATCATATGCGGTACATAGCTCTAGGAAAATACATGAACTGAATTCCTAGAGCAGTAGTTCTCACGGTGTGGTACCTAGACCAGCAGCATCAGTACCACCTGGAAACTTGTTAGAAATGGAAATTCCCAGGCCCCACCCCAGAGCTACTGAATCAGAAACTCTGAGGTCAGGGCCCGGCAATTTGTATTTTCACAAGCTCTCCAGGGGATTCTGGTGCACCGTGAAGCTTGAGAACTACTGTCCTAGAATAATTCCAGGATGTCTTCAAGCTCAGTGCAGTAGAGACTGAAGATGCAGGCAAATCTTATCTCCTTAAAAAGACTACAGGTCAATCTTCATCAATAGATGAATGAGTAAACAGTATTGTCTGTACATACAATGAACTATTACTTAACCTTAAAAAGAAAAGAAATTCGGCTGGGCGCGGTGGCTCACGCTTGTAATCCCAGCACTTTGGGAGGCTGAGGCAGGCAGATCACGAGGTCAGGAGATCGAGACCATCCTGACTAACACGGTGAAACCCCATCTCTGCTAAAAATACAAAAAATTAGCTGGGCATGGTGGTGGGTGCCTGTAGTCCCAGCTACTCGGGAGGCTGAGGCAGGAGAATGGCGTGAACCCGGGAGACGGAGCTTGCAGTGAGCAGAGATTGCGCCACTGCACTCCAGCCTGGGCAACAGAGCAAGACTTCATCTGAAAAAAAAAAAAGAAAAAAAAAAAAAGAAAAGAAGTTCTGACATACGCTACAACATAGGTGAGCCTTACAAGACTTCATGTTAAGTAAATTAAGCCAGTCACAAAAGGACAAATACTGTTTGATTCTACTCGTAAGGTATCTACAGTTTTCGAATTCATAGAGACAGAGAGTAGATTAGAGGTTACCACGGGACTGGGAGCAAGGAACTGGGAAGTTATTGTTCAATGGATAATAGAGTTTTAGTTTTGGAAGATTAAAAAAAAAAAGTTCTGGAGATAAATAGTGATGATGGTTGCATGACAATGTGAGTGTACTTAATGCTACTGAAATACATACTTCAAAATAGTTAAAATGGGCCAGGCGTGGTGGCTTATACCTGTAATCCAAGCACTTTGGGAGGCTGACGCGGGTGGATTACCTGAGCTCAGGAGATGGAGACCAGCCTGGGCAATACGGTGAAACCCCGCCTCTACTAAAATACAAAAAATTAGCCAGGAGTTGCGGCATGCACCTGTAGTTCTAGCTACTCCGGAGGCTGAGGCAGGAGAATGGCATGAACCCAGGAGGCGGAGGTTGCAATGAGCCGAGATCGCGCCATTGCACTCCAGCCTGGGCAACAGAGCGAGACTCCATCTCAAAAAAAAAAAAAAAATATATATATATATATTTATATTTATATAGTTATATTTATATTTTATATATATAGTTATATTTATATTTTATATATATAGTTATATATATATATATATAGTTAAAATGATAAGTTCTATGTTATGTGGATTTTACCGCAATTGAAAAAGAGACTATGGGCCCAGAAGGACACAGAACTCTAGCCCAGGCGGCCCCTCCCATCTGCAGTAGGTGAGGACGTTGTGTTCCCCCCACAAGGAAGTTGCCAGAACAGGTGATAAGGGTGGCCATGCCAGTCAGAGAAAGGTGTGTGACTCAGTCAGCTCAGCAAGCAGAAAGGAAGCATTTGTCATAGCCGAGCTCACCTCTCTCTGCCTGTTGACCTCCTCACGCTCTACAGTCCAGAGCACTCGGAATCTGTGACCTACGAGCTGCAGCACTGCAGGTGAGGCTCCTACCTGGATCTTCAGGCAGTGGCCAGCCCTCGATCTTATGAAAGATGGAGGAATGTGACCCAGCGTCCTGATGCACTGGCCACCACCTTCGTTTGTAGGAGAGTGCGTGCTAATCAGAGGAGCTGCATCCCCGGGGGCTGCTAACGTGAGCTGTCATGCCAGATAAGAAAGGGGCAGGCCACCCCTGCTAGCTCACGGTGGTCACAGCAAACACACAAATGGAGGCATTAGCCACAGCTGTGTGGTCCTGGCTGCACAGCTTCCTTAACTCACAGAAGCTTCCTGCCTACACCTCGCAATTGACTAGAAGCCTAACCTGGCAAAATACAAACTTTTCTTTTGCCTTTTTACCTAAAAGTAGCATATTCAAAAATGAACACCTGCCTCTCTACCCATCTCGGCTGCCAACAACCACTGGAACTCACACCTTCCCAAGTGAAGTTGGGCACACGGATAAATCATCCCACTTAAGACCACAGTCAATAGCTCAAAATAAGGAGAACAACCCAAGGGCAACGCCCTTCTTTCCCTGAAACCAGTTGATGCCATAAAACAGATTTTTAAAAGTAATCAATTTTGTATTTTCAATAATATTTTAGAGAATATTGCATCTTCTCAATGAAAATAATCTGATGATCAGAAAAGGAGGAGGTGTAATATAAAAAACAAACTTTCTAATATTCCATAATACATTTTAAAACCTAAAAATATATTTAAATTTTTAATAAAACAGAATAAACCCACACGTACTCAACGTAAGAAATAGAATATTAACAAAACCAAATACACATCCTCTGAATGCTCCTGCCCAAGCATTTTTGTCATCCTCTCCCTAGGTTTGATTATCTGGTTACAATGTTACCTTGTGATCACATAGCTTCTAAACACTGAGATGTTAGGAATTAAATCATATACTCTAGAACCTCAAGATACACTCGCAAAGAAAAACAGACGGCAGGGTGCAGTGGCTCATGCCTGTCATCCCAGCACTTTGGGAGGCCAAGGCAGGTGGATCACGAGGTCAGGAGTTCAAACCCAGCCTGGCAAAGATGGTGAAACCCCATCTCTACTAAACACACAAAAATTAGCTGGGCGTGGTGGCAGGTGCCTGTAATCCCAGCTACTCAGGAGACTGAGGCAGAGAATTGCTTGAACCCAGGAGGCGGAGGTTGCAGTGAGCCAAGATTGTGCCACTGCACTCCAGCCTGGGTGACAGAGCTAGACTCGATCTCAAAAAAAAAAAAAAAAAAAAAAGAAAAGAAAAAAAAAAGAAAACAGACAATGACTTGTTGTCATGTTTTCATATTTTATAGAGAAGTTTGGCTCATTCCCAGAGATTTTAAGAGATGTTCCTTGACCAACTGAAATTTACTCCAGGAAAACAATGCATTTCCTATATTAGAAAGTGTATAAAACTTTGTAATGTGAATAGGTCTAAGTCAGAATGCTCATTTGAAATGCTCACAAAATGCTCACGTGAAAATGCCCATAAGAAATGTGATCAAATGTAATATCTATTTTTTATTAAGGGAATGTCCATCATAAGTCACCAGTCAAAATATTCTTTTTTTGGTGAAACATGCATTGTACTAACATTATATGACAGAATTCTAAAGCAGCAGTCAACACATTAAACAAGAAAAAGTAACAAGAAAACAAGTCTTATTAGTGGATGCTAAGCACCTAGAAAAATCAAGGAGTAAACTAAAATTTATTAAAACTAGTAAGAAGTCAGTAAAATGGGCGATGGTAAAAGCAATAAACACAGTTTAACAATTTTATCACATTTCAACAAGGACTAATTAGAAAATATATTTTTAAAATCTTTGTTTAATAAAAATATTAAATATCTACAAAGAAGTTTTTTAAATGCCATGACCATAGTTTTATTGAGATACATTTAAAATGGAAATAAATATAGAAACATGCCATGTAGCCAAAAGTAAGTCTCACTGTGTTAATGATATCAGCCCTCATCAAGTAATAGCTAATCTCACTGAAATCTCAATGGATTATTTTGAAAATTGACAAAATGATTCTGACGTACATTTGGAAAACTGTGAGACTAGCTGAGACATTTTACTTTACAGAGTAGGAAATAGAAGTTTACAAATCACATACAAAAATGTTCTAAGGCTCTAGTATTTGAAATAGGGTGTTACTAGCTGCAAAATACACAAGCATTAATAGAACAGAAGTACCAAAAATGAACCCACGTGTATATTGGGATTTAAGATTTAGAAGGCAAATTTGTAAATCCATGGGGAAAAGATGAATTGTTTAATAAATGAAGTGAGGAAAAAAAGCTGGCTAAAAATTTAGAAAATAATAAAGTTAAACCCCTGCCCCATACTCACATCCAAAATAAAATCCAATTGTCTTAATTACTCAAAGGTACAACCGAGGAAAAATAGTAAAAGAAGAAAACATGTGTTACTCTATAATCTTGACCTGGAGATGGCTGTTCTTGGAGTAAGTAAAGTGTCTATGTGACTATCTGAAATTTAAAAAGAAAATGTCTTTATGTCATAAAACACCATAAACAAGATTGCAGGGCAAATTACATTGTTTGGGAGAAAAAAAATAACTGTAATACACATGCCTGACAAAAGCCTAATGTTTTCAAATTATAAAAAAATTTAAAATAAATTTAAAAACCAAAACATTCCAGTGGAAATTAGGCAAAACGTAAGAAAAGTCATTTCACATACACCACTCCCTCATACTTCTAGCCTTTAAGCAAGTAACTATTCAACTCATTACTAATCAAAAATGCATATCAAAATAATAAGACATCATTTTTAGCCTTTCAAATTGTTTGTGATTAAAAAGAAAGACCCAGTGTTGACAAGAGAGTAATGGGAATTTATATTCCTTTCTAGCCCATTGAGTACAAATTGTTACATATCTTAAGTGTGTAACAAAAACCTTTTAAAAATATTCGAATCTTACAAGATGCTGCTTTACCTTTAGAATTTAATCCTAAGGAAATAAGAGATGAACACGTGCACTCATGGTAATTAGAACAATGCTGAGAACATAATAGTTAATAAATATTTCTTAAATAATGGGAGTGAATAGTGTGAGTGAATACATACAGGGGTGATCAGCCCCAGGTGGTTGTTGACAACACTAAACACAGCCTAAGAAAGATGGGATGATAACAGTATATTTGTATCATCTAAGACAACAAAACTATGTAGATGCTATTTTAGAATAGTACTTAATGAAATGGAAGGATGTTTAAGAAATATTAGTGTGTTAGCAAACACCTTATCTAGTTGCATCTGAGCAGATAGGAAAGAGAGAGATGGATGAAAAAAGAGAGAGACATGGTGGAGGAAGGAAAAGGAAAGAAGGGAGGGGAAGGGAAAGAAGGAAAGGGGAGGGAAGGGAAGGGAAATGGGAAAAGGGGAAGGAAGGGAAGGGAGGGGGAGGGGAGAGTAGGGGAGGGAAGGGAAGGGAAATGGGAAAAGGGGAGGGAAGGGAAGGGAGGGGGAGGGGAGAGTAGGGGAGGAAAGGGGAAGGAAAGGGAGAGAAGGGTAGAGAGGGAGAGAGGAGGGGAAGGAAGGGGAGAGGAAGGAAGGGGAGGGGAAGGGAGGGGACAGAAAGGAACGGAAGGGAAGGGAAAGAAAAAGAGTAATATGAAGAAAGGGTGAGTGAGAAAGACGGAGAAATGGAGAGAGGAAGGAAGGGAGAAAGGGAGGGAAAAGGGAGGAAGGAGAAAAAAGAGGGAGAGAAAAGGAGAAAGGGAAAGAGAGAAGGAAGGGAAAGAGGCAAGAAAGAGGGAGAAGGAGTGAGGAAGGAGAGAAAAGAAAGAAGGAGAGAAAGGGAGAAATGAGATAAGGAGAGGAAGAAAGGAGCAAGGGATGGAGGGAGGGATGGAGGGAGGGAGGGAAGGAAGCCAGGCTCTAGGAAAGCCTCATTTCCCAGGTGCAGGCTTTCAGCCTGAAGCAGGTGCAAGGGAAGAAGACATTACACTAAGTTTGAAGCTTTAATATTTTTAGATAAGAATGTACATTCCAATTTCTGAAAAGAAGCTTCACTGGGGCCTTGGAATATTTTTACAGGGCTATTATCTTAGTGTAAACAGAAAAGTCATGTGAGCTGGGGTTTTCATCACTGGGGCCAGGGATAGGGGAGAGAAACACACCCAGTGAATTAAAGTTAAAGGGATGGTAGGAGACAAAGTTGCATTTCAATTAAGTCAGGAGTCCTACTTGTTCCATATACCAACCGTTGTGTAAGGATCATGAGTTAGATCTACAGTTGACCTTTGAACAACCCAGGGGTTAGGGCTGCTGACCCCTCATGTAGTTAAAAATCCATGTATAAATCTGATCCTCCCAAAACTTAACTACCAATAAATAGCCTACTATCGATAGGAAGCCTTATCGGTAACATAAATGGTCAATTAACACACATTTTTTATGTTATGCGTACTGCACACTGTATTCTTACAATAAAGTAAGCTAGAGAAAAGAAAATGCTATCAAAAAAATCATACGGAAGAGAGAATATATTTACAGCACTGCAGCATATTTGTCAATACTGTTACAGTAGGTAGCTAGTCAGGAATAAGCAGAGCAGGAGAGAGCTCCCCGCCCCCACCCACCAGGACTATCAGGTGACCATCAGGTGATAGGCAGTTGTCACACACTCTCTCTCTAAAATAATAATTGGTCACAGCTGCCACCAGGGAAAGGCAGTCTCCCAGTTGATAGAAACACCTAAAACTGGTGATCAGCAGCTTCCTGATAAAATCTCAGGTGTTGGGCACGTGGGCTTAAGCATGAGCACTAAGAGACGAAATGTTGGAGCTTAACTGATGGAGTATATGATCTTCCAGGGACATTCCACTGGTAAGGGAAGAATGACCTGAGTATGAATACAACTCCAGTAAACACACTGTGCATTCTGACCTCCCAAGTGCTGGCAGGCCACTGCACATGCAGACAGCCCACCCCAAGGGAAGAATGGGCAGAGAAAGAATGCAAGATCCCAGAAGCGTGCCAACGTATAAAACTCCTAGTCAAAAGGTAAAACTGCACTCTTGATCTCTCAAGTTGCCCACGTGGCCCTCTTCCAAGTGGACTCTACTTCTAATTAGCCAGCCGTGGTGGTGCATGCCTGTAGTCCCAGCTACTAGGGAGGCTGAGGCAGGAGAATCGCTTGAGCCCGGGAGACAGGTTGCAGTGAGCTGTCATCGTGCCACTGCACTCCAGCCTGGGCGACAGAGTGAGACTCCGTCTCAAGAAAAAAAAAAAAAAAACAACAACAAAACAAACAAACAACAAAAAACAAATGCCCTCTACTTCTTTTCAATCCTGCTCTAAAGCTTTTTAATAAACGTTCACTCCTGCTCTAAAACTTGCCTTGGTCTCTCCTTCTGCCTTGTGCTCCTCGGTGGAAATCTTTCTTCTGAGGAGGCAAGAATTGAGGTTGCTGCAGACCTGTTCAGATTCATCACCAGTAACATGCCTTGATGCCCTGTCTCCAATATGTTGCATTGCTAACATATTTTGGTGCCATGTGACTTGGATACGCTCAGCTACTAACCATACTGTCAGTTTACATTGCCCGTTTACAAGATGAATCGCGTGTCTGAAGTGGCAGCAATCGCAGCTGCAGACTTCAATCCACTGTACATAGCAAGAAATTCAACTTTTTCTTGTAGTATCAGGACTTTTCTCTGCTTCTTGGGAGCACTACCAGTATCACTAGTGGCACTTCAAATGGGTCCTGTGGTGTTATTCAAGGTTAATGGCATCACACTAAACATTATGAAAATACATAAGATCTGTGAGAGATGACTTTTTACTGCTATTCACAATTTAGTAGAGAAACTGGTCACCTGGAGAGGATTAGCGTCACATGGCCTTTTAAACAGGTACTCACAACCCTTGAGCTCAACACAATCACCATAGGAGGTGGCTATGAAATCATTACAATAGTACAGTAATACTACAGTCAATTTTATGCAGTTATGACATAACAGAGTACCTTTACATTTATTTACATTTCTCTTAATTGTGACTATGCATGGTCTAAGTTTGTGTGTGGAAGTTTGTTGTTGTTGTTGGTGGTGGTGCTGGTGGTGAAGATGGGGTTTTGCCATGTTGGCCAGGCTTGTCTCGAACTCCTGACCTAAAGTGATCTTCCCACCTCGGCCTCTCAAAGTGCTGGGATTACAGGTGTGGCCCAGTGTCCCAGCCTGTGTGTGTAAATTTTGAAAAATTTTAACTTCTTATTACAGATTTGTGTATACCTTATGGTAGTAAATGACGAAATAAATAGTCTAGTGTCTACATATATTTCATGCATTTATGACACACCTAACTTTTTCTTAATTTTATTGATATTTCTAGGGTACTTGGCTTGTCTGAGTTTCTTCAAATTGTCACTAATCTCCAAAAATTTTTCCAAAATATCTGTTGAAAGAAATTCATATTTAAGTAGACATGCACAGTTCAAATCAGTGTTGTTCAAGGGTTAACTGTATTTTGAAATTAAGTTTTCATTGCTTAGCAGTTTTGATTTTAGTTTGTTCTGTTTTTGCTTTTGCCTTTGTTCTGGAATGGGAAGCTGTCTGGGAGGAAGTACTTCCTGAGCCAAGAACTGAAGGGTAAGTAAGAGTTAGGCAGATAAAGAAAAGGATTACATGGATGGTATTCTGAAAAGAGAGAATAGTACATGCAAAAACCACTCAGTGAGAGGGCATGGCCACATCAAAGAACTGAAAGAATCAACACTGATATTACAAACAATTCTGAAATAAATGACAATGATAGCCCTACTTATCTCAAGGAGGGCTGAAAGACATGGCCAAAGCAGCACTCAACAGGAAGATGTGTAGTCCCAAAAGAATTATTTAAGAAATGATAAAGACTGAAAACAAACTAAAGATTCAACTCAAAAGACTGAGAATAGTAAATTTTAAATGACAAAGGGTGACTTTGTGCACAGTTAGAAATACTGAGAGTTGATCATAGCTGAATTTTAATCAAAATCACATTTTTAAAATGTGTAGATCTAAAAATAGTTTTATATTAAGAATTTGAACATAGAGATCACATTTTGTTTATCCAGTATTTCATAACATTTTAAGTACCTACTTACTCAGTTTTTCATTAGTCAAAACTGAAATTTGGTAAATACTTTCCTAGTTAATGTTATTTATAAGTTTGCATTTTCTCAAATATTTCAAATTACAATAATAATTTTAGTGTACCTGATTCCTTCAAACACTTCAAACCTTTAGGAAACCAAACTTTTAATCTAAGAGCCCCTTAAGCCTAAAAATCCAAAATGATAAATTTAGTAAATCAAATTATCAAACATCTAAAATCAAAGCATACATGAAGAACTGCAATGATTATTAAAGGTCATGCTACACTAGACTTTAAATTTTGATACAAAATTTGATAGCTTGCCTGAGTTATCACATCAGGCAAGCTGAGGTTGTGGATTTGGGTTATGGGCTAAAGATCTGGGAATGGGAACAATCTCAAGATACTTCTTGAGACATGAGCTTCACTATTAAACTGAACCCCATTCTGTAAGTAGAGAGATGCCTGCCATGTCAAAGACGATTTTAATCCACATCTTTCGTCTTAGACTTCCCCAGTCACATAGGTTTCCATCTTTCCGAGGCAGTCTTTTCCTAGAAGACCTCTCTCTAAAATTAGAAGTCACTTCTTAGACCTTTGAGTTTAATAGGCTTTTCCTGGCACTCAAGACCTTCCCATCTCCAATTGCAGGATCTTGCATACCTTTCACATTCCGATTGTCCAACTCTTGAGTCTTTCCAAGGTAAAAATGTTTAAACCCTCAGACCAATTGCCAGTTGGGTAATTACTGTGGAATTTCTCATGTCAAGGCCTGGATTGTACTCATTAGATTCTTAGATCAGCTATTGAACTTATTTTAAATGCAATATTTATGTAGTTTTATTGTTTGAAAGACATTATTTTCTGTAAATATTATTGGAAAAATCACACGTGGCACACCTTATGTAATCTACTCTCTTGAGCATCCTGAAGTTCTCCTGGTTCCCACAGACCTAACTTGTCTCTATTAACAACAATTATTGCCTTCTTTGAGATCTTCCAATTGTCACAACTTGGCCAGGAGATGGGTGTAGGGGGAGCTGTAGCTGGCGCCTTTGTCCTTTCTGCTCTGTGCCATACACCCTTGATGTTCAGGCATACCCTGATTTTCTCTTCACCAAATGTGGGATCAACTACTCTCCAAGGGGGCTTGGTTGCTGTTCCTGAGCTATACTATTAAAGCCAGACACTGGGTCCCAGCATATGTGTGTGATCTTTCCACGTGGGGAGTGGGGAAAGAAACTGCTCCTAGGCATCCTTTAAGATTGAGAGAGAAAAGATACATTTCTTCTGAAAGGGCATGAATTCACATTGATGTCCCATTATAATTAATTTCACAATGTTCTAATTTAATCTTGTTTTCCTATACTGTTTTTTCTACTTTCCTCCATTTCTACCAACTAGCTTCTCTACAATCACTGTATCAAAATTTAATATAACTTGTGTTGAAGTTGTAACATCATTTAAATTTTTGCAACCTTAATTCTCTTAAAAAAAATACTTGGAGATGGTTAAATTTGTAACCCCTAACCTAGACTAAAAATATACTCCACTTTTTCATAATCCTTTTATGAAATACCATTTATTTCATAAAAGGATATGAAAAATTCACATGGTTGACCAAAAAAACAAAACAAAACAACCCCGCAGAAAGAGCAATTAATAAGATAAAAAGCGGAAATTAATAAAATAGAAAGGAAGAATAGAACAGCAGCTTAATAAAACTAAAGTCTGGTTCTTTGAAAAGATCAACAAAATAGATAAAACTTTAAGAAGTATAATTAAGGATAAACAGAGAAAAGCCAACTAACATTGTAATGAGTAAGGAGATGTATCTGTAGGTGAGATTTTGAAAATTTTTAATGATAGTTTCAGTTCATGGTGAAGGGCACAGACTCTGGACCAAAATGCTTGAGTTCATATCTTGGCTCTGGTTTTTTTTTGTTTTTTTTTTTTGAGATGGAGTCTCGCTCTGTCGCCCAGGCTGGAGTGCAGTGGCACAATCTCGGCTCACTGCAACCTCCGCCTCCCAGGTTCACGCCATTCTCCTGCCTCAGCCTCCCAAGTAGCTGGGACTACAGGCACCCGCCACCACACCCGCTAGTTTTTTGTATTTTTACTAGAGACGGGGTTTCACCTTGTTAGCCAGGATGGTCTCAATCTCCTGACCTCATGATCTGCCTGCCTCAGCCTCCCAAAGTGCTGGGATTACAGGCGTGAGCCACCGCACCCGGCCTTGGCCCTGTTTTTTAATGTGTATCCGTAACAAGTTACCTAATCTCTCTTTGCCCATTACCTTTTATAAGAAAAAGGGCAGATATTATAATAGCTACTTCATGGAACTGTAGCAAGAATTAAATGAGTTAATTCATGCAAAGCTTGTAAAGCAGTGTCTACCATATACTGAGCATTCAAATTGCTCCTTTCCCAAACATCTTCATACCTTATACAAAAGTGAGCTCCAAGTGGATCATACCACTAAATGTAAAATATAAAACTTTAAAAACAAATAAGTGGGAGATCTCTGTGACCTGGGATTAGGCAGAGAGTTCTTAGACATAACACTGAAAGCATCATTCTTAAAAGGAAAGCAACAAATCAAACATCATTAAAATTTAAAACTCTTGCTTTGCAAAAAGTTTTGTTAAGAGAATTAAAAGATAAACTATAGACAGAAAATGATATTTTCAAAGCACATATTCAACAAAGGACTTGTATCCAAGAGGTATAAAGAACTATTTCAAGACTCAACAGCAAGAAAACAAACAACCCAATTAAAAAATAGGCAACAGACCTTTCACCAGAAAGGATGTATAGAAAATAATTAAGCACATGACACCAGGTGCGGTGGGTCGCACCTGTAATCCCAGCACTTTGGGAGGCTGAGGTGGGGGGCTCACGAGGTCAGGAGATGGAGACCATCCTGGCTAACACGGTGAAACCCTGTCTCTACTGAAAAAAAAAAAAAAAAAAAAAATATATATATATATATATATATATATATATAGCTGGGCGTGATGGCATGCACCTGTAGTTCCAACTACTCGGGAGACTGAGACAGGAGAATCACTTGAACCTGGGAGGTGGAGCATGCAGTGAGCTGAGATCACACCACTGTATTCCAGCCTGGGCGACAGAGTGAGACTGTGTCTCAAAAAAAAAAAAGAAGACAATTAAGCACATGAAAAAGTGTTCAACACCATTATCCACTACAGAAATGCAATTCAAAGCTACAATGTGATGCCATCTCATGCCTACTATACTGACTCAAGCCAAAACCACCTACGATGCCAAGTGCTGGTGAGAAAGCAGAGTGACTGGAACCCTCATACATTGCTAGTGGAAATGCAAAATGTTATGGCCACTATGGAAAATGGTTTAGCAGTTTCTTGGGAAGTTAAGCACACACTTGCCATGTGACCCAGAAACTCTGCTTTCAGGGATTTACCACAGAGTTAGAGAAATGAAAAATGGAGATTCATACAAAAACCCATATGAATGTTTATAGATGCTCTATTCATAATTGCTAAATACTGGAAACAACCAAGTTGATTTTCAATGAATAGGTACACTGTGGTATATGCATATGTAGAATACCATTCAACGATCAACAGAAACAAACAATTGACACACAACAATTTTGACAAACCTCAAAGGCACTATGCTAAGTGGAAGAAGCCAGTTTCAAATGGTTATATCTTGTATAAGTCCATTTATATGAAGGACCAGTGTTTGCTATAGTTTAGGGTGAGGGAGAGTATCATTACAAAGGGATAGCATGAGGGAGTATTTTCGAATGATGTCATTGCTCTGTACCTTGATGGTGAAGGAACTTACACAAACTGTATATATTTAAAAAATCAGTAGGTTCCAAGATGGACGAATAGGAAAAACTCCAGTCTGCAGCTCCCAGCATGAGCAATGCAGAAGATGGGTGATTTCTGCATTTCCAACTGAGGCACCTGCTTCATCTCATTGGCACTGGTTGGACAAAAGAGAATGGGGGCCAATATTCCATATTCTTAAAGAAAAGAACTTTCAACCCACAATCTCATATCTAGCCAAACTAAGCTTCATAAGTGAAGGAGAAATAAAATCCTTTACAGACAAGCAAATGCTCGGAGATTTTGTCACCACCAGGCCTGCCTTGCAAGAGCTCCTGAAGGAAGCACTAAACATGGAAAGGAATAACCAGTACCAGCCACTGCAAAAACATGTCAAATTGTAAAAACCATCAATGCTAGGAAGAAACTGCATCAACTAAGGGCAAAATAACCAGCTAACATCATAATGACAAGATCAAATTCACACATAAAAATAATAACCTTAAATGTAAATGGGCTAAAAGCCCCAATTAAAAGACACAGACTCACAGACTGGCAAATTGGATGAAGAGTCAAGACCCATCAGTGTGCCGTATTCAGGAGACCCGTCTCACATGCAAAGACACACATGGGCTCAAAATAAAGGGATGGAGGAAGACCTACCAAGCAAATGGAAAGCAAAAAAAAAAAAAAAAAAAAAGCAAGGGTTGCAATCCTAGTCTCTGATAAAACAGACTTTAAACCAACAAAGATCAAAAGACACAAAGAAGGTAATTACATAATGGTAAAGGAGGGATCAATTCAACAAGAAGAACTAACTATCCTAAATATGTATGCACCCAATACAGGAGCACCCAGATTCATAAAGCAGGTCCTTAGAGACCTACAAAGAGACTTAGACTCCCACACAATAATAATGGGAGACTTTAACACCCCACTGTCAATATTAGATCAACAAGACAGAAGGTTAACAAGGATATCCAGGACTTGAACGCAGCTCTGCACCAAGCAGACCTAATAGACATCTACAGAACTCTCCACCCCAAATCAACAGAATATACATTCTTCTCAGCACCACATCACACTTATTCCAAAATTGACCACATAGTTGGAAGTAAAGCACTCCTCAGCAAATGTGAAAGAACAGAAATCACAACAAACTGTCTTTCAGACCACAGTGCAATCAAATTAGAACCCAGGATTTAAAAACTCACTCCAAACCGCACAACTACATGGAAACTGGACAACCTGCTCCTGAATGACTACTGAGTAAATAATGAAATGAAGGCAGAAATAAAGATGTTCTTTGAAACCAGTGAGAACAAAGACACAACATACCAGAATCTCTGGGACAAATTTAAAGCAGTGTGTAGAGGAAATTTATAGCACTAAATGCCCACAAGAGAAAGCAGGAAAGATCTAAAAATTGACACCCTACATCATAATTAAAAGAACTAGAGAAGCAACAGCAAACAAATTCAAACACTAGCAGAAGGCAAGAAATAACTAAGATCAGAACAGAACTGAAGGAGATAGAGACACAAAAAACCCTTCAAAAAATCAATTAATCCAGGAACTGGTTTTTTGAAAAGATAAACAAAATTGATAGACTGCTAGCAAGACAAATAAAGAAGAAAAGAGAGAAGAATCAAATAGATGCAATAAAAAAATGATAAAGGGGATATCACCACCGATCCCACAGAAATACAAACTACCATCAGAGAATACTATAAACACCTCCATGCAAATAAACTAGAAAATCTAGATGAAATGAATAAATTCCTGGACACATACACCCTCCCAAGACTAAACCAGGAAGAAGTTGAATCCCTGAATAGACCAATAACAGCTCTGAAATTGAGGCAATAATTAATAGCCTACCAACCAAAAAAAATCCAGGACCAGACGGATTCACAGCTGAATTCTACCAGAGGTAGAAAGAGGAGCTGGTACCATTCCTTCTGAAACTATTCCAAGCAATAAAAAAACAGTGACTCCTCCCTAACTCATTTTATGAGTCCAGCATCATCCTGATACCAAAACCTGGCAGAGACATAACAAAAAAAGAGAATTTTAGACCAATATCCCTGATGAACATCGATGTGAAAATCCTCAATAAAATACTGGCAAACTGAATCCAGCAGCACATCAAAAAGCTTATCCACCAATATCAAGTCAGCTTCATCCCTGGAATGCAAGGCTGGTTCAACATACGCAAATCAATAAACACAATCCATCACATAAACAGAACCAAACACAAAAACCACATGATTATCTCAATAGATGCAGAAAAGGCCTCTGACAAAATTCAACAGCGCTTCATGCTTAAAAACTCTCAATAAACTAGATATTTATTGTTTATCTAAACAATAAGAGCTATTTATGACAAACCCACAGCCAGTATCATACTGAATGGACAAAAACTGGAGGCATTCCCTTTGAAAACTGGCACAAGACAGGGATGCCGTCTCTCACCACTCCTATTCAACATAGTATTGGAAGTCTGGCCAGGGCAATCAGACAAGAGAAAGAAATAAACGGTATTCAATTAGGAAAAGAGGAAGTCAAGTTGTCCCTGTTTGCAGATGACATGATTGTATGTTTAGAAAACCCCATCATCTCAGCCCAAAATCTCCTTAAGCTGATAAGCAACTTCAGCAAAGTCTCAGGATACAAAATCAATGTGCAAAAATCACAAGCATTCTTATACACTAATAACAGACAAACAGAGAGCCAAATCATGAGCGAACTACCATTTACAATTGCTACAAAGAGAATAAAATACCTAGGAATCCAACTTACAGGGGATGTGAAGGACCTCTTCAAGGAGAACTACAAACCACTGCTCAATGAGATAAAAGAGGACACAAACAAATGGAAGAACATTCCATGCTCATGGATAGGAAGAATCAATATCGTGAAAATGGCCATACTGCCCAAGGTAATTTATAGATTCAATGCCATCCCCATTAAGCTACCAATGACTTTCTTCACAGAATTGGAAAAAACTACTTTAAAGTTCATATGGAACCAAAAAAGAGTCTGCATTGCCAAGACAATCCTAAGCAAAAAGAACAAAGCTAGAGGCATCATGCTACCTGACTTCAAACTATACTACAAGGCTACAGTAACTAAAACAGCATGGTACTGGTACCAAAACAGAGATCTAGACCAATGGAACAGAACAGAGGCCTCAGAAATAACACCACACATCTACAACCATCTGATCTTTGACAAACCTGACAAAAACAAGAAATGGGGAAAGGATTCCCTATTTAATAAATGGTGCTGGGAAAACTGGCTAGCCATATGTAGAAAGCTGAAACTGGATGCCTTCCTTACACCTTATACAAAAATTAATTCAAGATAGATTAAAGACTTAAATGTTAGACCTAAAACCGTAAAAACCCTAGAAGAAAACTTAGGCAATACCATTGAGGACATAGGCATGGGCAAGGACTTCATGACTAAAACACCAAAAGCAATGGCATCAAAAGCCAAAATAGTCAAATGGGATCTAATTTAACTAAAGAGCTTCTGCACGGCAAAAGAAACTACAATCAGAATGAACAGGCAACCTACCAAATGGGAGAAAATTTTTGCAGTCTATCCATCTGACAAAGGGCTAATATCCAGAATCTACAAAGAACTTAAACAAATTTACAAGAAAAAAATCAAACAACCCCATCAAAAAGTGGGCAAAGGATATGAACAGACACTTCTCAAAAGAAGACATTTATGCAGTCAACAGACACATGAAAAAATGCTCATCATAACTGGTCATCAGAGAAATGCAAATCAAAACCACAATGAGCTATCATCTCACATTTGTTAGAATGGCGATCATTAAAAAGTCAGGAAACAACAGGTGCTGGAGAGGGTGTGGAAAAACAGGAATGCTTTTACACTGTTGGTAGGAGTGTAAACTAGTTCAACCATTGTGGAAGACAGTGTGGCAATTCCTCGAGGATCTAGAAGTAGAAATACCATTTGACCCAGTGATCCCATTACTAGGTATATACCCAAGGGATTATAAATCATGCTACTATAAAGACACATGCACACGTATGTTTATTGCAGCACTACTCGAAATAGCAAAGACTTGGAACCAACCCACATGTCCATCGATGATATACTGGATTAAGAAAATGTGGCACATACACACCATGGAATACTATGCAGCCATAAAGAAGGATGAGTTCATGTCCTTTGTAGGGACATGGATGAAGCTGGAAACCATCATTCTGAGCAAACTATCACAAGGACAGAAAACCAAACACCGCATGTTCTCACTCATAGGTGGAAATTGAACAATGAGATCACTTGGACACAGGGCAGGGAACGTCACACACTGGGGCCTGTCGTGGGGTGGGGGGATGGGCGAGGGATAGTGTTAGGTGAAATACCTAATGTAAATAACGAGTTAATGGGTGCAACAAACCAACACAGCACATGTGTACATATGTAACAAACCTGCACATTGTGCACATGTACCCTACAACTTAAAGTATAATAAAAAATAAAAATAATAATAAAAAAATCAACTTTACTACGTAAGTTAATTTAAAAGTAAAATTTAGAAATGGGTGGTGAGTGGAGACCAGAATCAAATGGTCCTGGCAAACATTCAAAGACTAGAAAAGTCTCTAGTTTCATAAACTTTTATACAATATATACAGTGCACAGGGGAGATGTAAAGACTTCCAACTAATTCTATGATATGAACCTAACTCTTATACAAAACCCTAAAAGATAGTAGAAAAACAAGAGAACTATGAGCCATATTATTGTCAAATACAGACACAAAATTTATAATTAAATGACTAGGCTACTGGATCTAGTAGGGTATTTAAAATATAACACATCAAAAATCATTTGAGTTTATTCCAAAAATGTAATAATGTTTCATGATAGAAAAAATTCTATCACAATACTATTAATAGATTGGGGGATAGAATCATGATTATTTCAAAGGATGTCAAAACATATTTAATAGAATTAGACATTTTAACTTGTTTGGGAAAACTTACCAGAAACCGACAGGAAACACCAAATTATAACCAACACTGATAGTGTTCCACATTTACTCCAGGTCCCAGACAGTGAAATTAGGTTATAAATACATTTAGGTAAATAAAGTTGCCTTTAATATCCAAGAAACACAATTAAGAAACTATTAGGTTATAAGAGGTCAACTGTGGCAGGGGCTGGCCATATGCTTCCTTTCTGGGCACACAGCTGTACTACATTTAAGCAGGGCATATTTCTGAGGCAGTGAAGTGGAGGGAAAATGATATAAGCATCCCCTAAGCTTTGCTCATAAAACTACTCCTTTTATCCTCCAACCCCTTTCTCATGTACCTCATTTGTGGCCAAATGCCAAGGATCCCAGGGAAGACTCCAAGATCTTAAATGAATGGCAGAGATACTAAGGGGAAGGACCCTGGATCCCTGAGTGACTATGTGAAACTGAGACCCCACCGCCACCACCACAGGCCAATGGTGGTCTGAACATGGGTGCAAAATGAACCTTTATTCTATTAAATCATTGAGGTTTTGGAGTGTCTGTTACAGCAGTTGGCCTACTCTAATACATCAGTAAAATAACTTAATATAAGACTAACAAACAAATGTTAACAGTTTTCCTATGTACTAGTAATAACCATTTTAAATATGAGATGGATAAGATGATCATGTTACAAGACTCCCTACACACACACACACACACACACCCCCCAAAAGTATTGTGTAATTAGGATTAAATTTAAAAAGAAATGTGTGGCCCGGCATGGTGCTCACGCCTGTAATCCCATCACTTTGGGAGGCCAAGGAGGGCAGATCACGAGGTCAAGAGTTTGAGACCAGCCTAGCCAATATGGTGACACCCCATCTGTAATTAAAAATAAAAAAATTAGCCAGGAGTGGTGGCATACTCCTGTAGTCCCAGCTACTCGGGAGGCTGAGGCAAAAGAATCGCTAGAACCCTGGAGGCGGAGGTTGCAGTGAGCCAAGATTGCTCCACTGCATTCCAGCCTGGGCGACAGAGCTAGACTCCGTCTCAAAAAAATAAATAAGTACATAAATAAATAAATAAATAAATGTGCATAATTTATATGAAGACTATAAATTTTGGGGAAGGACATCATGTACGACCTGAATAAATAGAGAGACGGGTGATAAACCTCAACGGGAAGCTGGGATATTGCTACCCTGTTTGGAAGGAATCTCTGTTTTTCCTTATGGAACCCCAAAAGTGGTAAGTGAACTGCTTACTTTCAGCTTTAAAACGCTGCCCTCTTTTGTATTGCATTAATGATCGCATTGGTTTTGTGGGGATGCCAGAGATTACTTTGTGCTGTGAGAGGACTTGACCTTGCTGTGTGTAATGGCTGGCAGTCACAGGTAAGAGCTATCGTGTCAGAGGTGGCTAATGACAGTTGTTTGAAGTAAAAGGTTTTTATTATGGAGGCTACCCGTTTCTTCGTACATTTGGATAAGAAAACATGGTTTAGGCCCTAAAAACTGCATGCTTTAATTGCCCTACTCATTAAAAGGCTCCACCTTAAAACCAGTAATCTGATTAAGAAACAACCTAAATTTAAAAGCAGACACTTTTCTGGCAATCTTGTTTTCAGATAATGGTGTTTAGGTCAAAGTTCTGTGCCTTTGAGATATGAATTTTCTACCTTATTTTACATAAAAGTCATGTCTTTGGAAGTAATTGATAGTCTAAAGGAAGGAGAGAAACTATTTGAACACTGACAAGTAAAGAATCTTTTCAATCTATAAAATCTGTTTCTGTATTTATGTCTGTAGGTCTTTATGTTTATATGTGTCATGATATATCACTACCAAAATATATAAAACAGCTCTAATTAATTGGCTTAAAGGAAAGTAAGCTCTTACATCAAATATTTTATAGAATAAAAACCAACTCAAATGCCTTTTTTAGTTCACTTGACTTTAGTAATCTTTGGTAAATAAAACCAAACTAGTTTCAAAATTCTTTTCAGTAATTAAAAATCTTAAAGACATGTTATGTTAAGTAATTCTAAGTTTTTCACTGAAAATAAGGGTTACTAAGAGTTACAGTAGTAGTTAATATATGTAATTAAAACTACTAGATATACGGGAGGCTGAGGCAGGAAAATTGCTTGAACCCAGGAGGCGGAGGTTGTGGTGAGCCAAGATCACGCCGTTGCACTCCAGCTGGGCAATAAGAGCAAAACTCCATCTCAAAAACAAAAACAAAAAACAAACAAACAACAACAAAAAAACAAAACTACTAGATATAAGAGAAACAATTTTATATACAAAGTGTATAAAGAAAGATGTGTTTTGGTAAATAAGTTTATTTTTAAAAAGGAAGGCATAGTTTTTGCTTAAAGAAAATTTTGCCTAGGCCAGGAGTGGAGGCTTATGTCTGTAATCCCCAGCACTTTGGGAGGCTGAGGTGGGAAGATCACCTGAGGTTGGGAGTTTGAGACCAGCCTGACCAACATGGAGAAACCCTGTCTCTACTAAAAATACCAAATTAGCCGGGCATGGTGGTGCATGCCTGTAATCCCAGCTACTCAGGAGGCTGAGGCAGGAGAATCACTTGAACCCAGGAGTCGGAGGTCGCCATGAGCAGAGATCACACCATTGCACTCCAGCCTGGGCAACAAGAACCAAACTCTGTCTTCAAAAAATTTTTTTTAAAAAAAGAAATTTTGCCTAGTTTAGAGGGTATTTAAAGATTGTTTCAAAGTGAGAGAAAAAAATGATATAGCTAAAGCTAAACGGATAGAAAGAGAAAGAATAGAAAGGTGTAGAAGGAATCTTTCATTCCTGGGTGGCCACGTGGTATGGAGCTCCAGCTTTGCTGTGCTCAGTTTCTAAAGGAAAGGGTCAGTAGTGAAATTTAAAGATGGCTCCAACTCGCAGAAAGTTGGTTTACTGGATGCGTACTGAAATGCAAACTAATAAGGAAAAAGCAAAATAGGCAACCCCTTGGTTATTATTATCTGTAATAGCCAAAATGAAAGTAAAAGAGAGTGCTGGGTTGGACCATGAGGCTGGACCAAGCTCAGATGCGGATCTGTTTGAATTCAGGTTATAACTGCCCAACAGGTTCTTCCTGCCAGCTGCACAAATAAAGACCACAGCATTGGAGTACGGAAAGAGTTTAATTGATGCCGGGCTGGCCATGCCATGCAGGAAACAGAGTTATTACTATTCAACTCAATCTCGTTGAAGGCTCCTAGGTTAGAGATTTTCCAAAGGCAGTTTGGGAAAGGGGTGGGAGTGAGTAGGAAATGGTTGCTTACTGCTGATTGGTTGAGATGGAGATGAAATCATAGGTGGTTGAAACTGTCTTCTTGAGCTGAGTTGTTCCTGGGTGGAACCATAGGAGGAGTTTGGCAGGTCCAGGCGGAGCCATCGGGTCCAGGTGGAGCCATTGGTGTCAGACATGCAAAAAACCTGAAAAAATATTTCAAAAAGCCAATCCAAAATAGTGATGTTATCTGCAGGAGTAATAGGGAAGTTACATATCTTGTGACCAGTCTACACCTTAGCAGAATTCAGGCTCCTCTCCTCCCGCTAGCCTGGTGGTCTCTCATTAGCTTTACAAAGGCAGCTGAGTTTCAGGGAAGGGCTATTATTATTGAAACTTCCTAAATGTCTTCTAAAGTTAGCTTGGCTTAAGCCCAGGAATAATTAAGGCAGCTTGAAAGTTAAAGGCAAAAAGGGGGGTTGGCTAGATCAGATCTCCTCCACTCCCATAATTTTCTCACTGACAAAAGTTTTGCAAAGGTGGTTTGAAGGTCACTAACCTCAAAGCTACCTACAAAAGGGAAAATGATTTCAGGGCACAGAAATTACCTGAGACCTGTGGTTAACAAGAAGGAAGTCAATGTGGGGTAAGGGCAAAACCAAATAACTATTGAAACCAGAGGGTATAATGTGATGGAACTCTTGAGTTTTATAGAATGGTATCATCAGCTCCCTGAGGAACATTTACCAAAATGGATTATGACAGTAACCAATTTAGGGGCAGCATCTTTAGTTTTAATTGCGGTAGAGTGGAAAACCATGTTTGGGTTGATGCAGGACACACAGCTCACTATTGAACAATTACAGATGGCTATACAGGATCCAGACACACAGGAGGTTATTCCTGTAGGAACAGCCAGCCTAGTAGATTGGACAAAAGCCACTGTCAGGTCTGTCTACCCTGAGAAGGAGCACTGTCCAACTCCACCTATAAATGCCAAGTAGAGCATCCCATATGAAGCAACTGATATGCTTCATATGCAAGTTATGTTGGACTGGCTTTATGAAGATAGGGATATTCAGTCACTGAATATGCCCATTGCCTAGATCATGGTAAAAGGTGTGGTTAAGAGGGCATCCTTAACTACATGTTACCCTTGCAGAATCTTAACAGTTGAGAAGCTTTAGCTTACAGATGCCAATAAAAACATAAGGTTAATTAACAAGAGAGGAGAGAGTCATGGGACTCCTCCCAGCAGGGTAGAAATTTTTAGAGGGTTATTAAGAATAAAATGAAATAAATAAAAATTGAGGGGTTAAAACAGAAGTTTAATAGAACACTATTGAATATAGGATGAACCAAAGGGAGCTCCTGCTGGTCCCCCAACATTAAAGGGACACAAATCAACTTTCTGTGCTTAACTCAAATGGGAGAAATTTTTTAAAAATAAAAAGGCAAAATTACAATGAGAAAGCTGACATTGTGTGGGGCATTGTTGAGGCACGTTAATCAAGATAAAGACTGACAAAAGGGCCTGGGTCCTTTGGCTCAACCCTCTGTTGGGAGTCCAAATTATTTTTCACAAGAAAGGGTAAAATGGACTGGAGGTGGAAAAGAAAAGTTCCTGGAACCAGAACATAAAAATGTAAAGGTTGATATGATTATGAAAGTTGGAATGTTTCAACAGGTATTATGTAAAGTAGTTGCGTCTCCTTCACCTAAATGTTTTATGAAAATAAATATTATGTTTGGCTTGGGAATGCTTCCCCTACCTAGTACTGCAAAACAGAAGGCATGTAACCTTGCCCTTCGAAAAGTACTAAATGGGAACCAGTAGGATTGTCTGAGCTCACAGAGTGTAGAGTGGAAGCTGGAATGCTAGTAAGTACAAATTTTCTATTCCATAATCCTTGTGGAAAATTTAGTGGGGGTTATAGGGTGATGTCAGAGAAATACTAATAGGAACAGCAATGTCCCAAACAGTTCCGTGATAAAATGGAAATGTTTCATATAGGATCTTGCTATCTGGGGAATGCAAAGAGGAGCAGGGACCCTCTTTTTTCCCAGGGCTGACTCTGGAACTATGTGAGGAGCTGCTGGATTCTACAGTGCCCAATAAACAGCTCTCATCTTGCTGAAAAAGAGCTGCTTGGTTTGTGGATGGCAGCTCCAAGGTGAAGGGACAAAATATCCTGTTTGGGAGGCTTGCTACTCTGATTGAAGAATCGTCAAGGAAACCTTTCTTCTTTGGAGCTCTTTATAGCTTACAAAGTATACTTTTTTTTGAGCAAAATTTACCTTTCTCTGTACCTGATTTCTCCAACATTTGGAAACAATTTTCGTGTATTCTTTTTTATGGCAATATAGTTATAGTCCAGTAAGAATCTGTTTTCTTTTGTATCAGGACACAATTGGAGATGCTGGTTATTTTACCAAGGCTTTGACTGGAAATGCATATTTTCTGTTATGACAACACTGTTTTGAGGAATAGAAGTTGACTTTATACAGTGAATAAAAAGCCTCCAGGACAAACTGACTTGGTACTTTGTCTAAATGGTTCCCTTACAAGGTTCGTGGCCTGTAGTGAGTAAAGAATGTCACTTTTTGACAGGCCCAGAAACCCCAAGATATTAATATTTTGGGACCTCAACAAGAGAGAAATTTGTACAGGTATTACAAGCACAGAATTTTGGTGAATCCTTGGCTTGGATTCTGGCCTTGAGGCTTTTAAAAAGTCTAATCTGAGATTGCTTACAAAAAAATGTTGCAGCAAAGACGATATAAAGGGCCGTATGTGGCCAATCACTATTCTTGCTGCATTTTGTAGAAATAATCAGGCCAAGTAAAATGAGACTAAAATTAATTTTGCAAATGAATTGGTCCGATTATGATTCAGCCTTGGTAGAAATGGGGAAACTGGAGAGAGAAAAGTTTAGCTTCTGGCCCTGACCATTATTTTTGAGTTTTTATTATTTGTGTACAATCTGGGCTAAATTCTGAGTTCTTTCCTGGCTACAACAAGTCTCTACAGAAGTACCGAGTCTTCATTTTCTTCATGATCCTTTTAGTTTTCTCCCTAAAGGAATGGGTTCTCTTTTGTTTTTGTTGTTCTGGCTTACAAATTCTCTTTTGATTGTAATCCTCCTGTGCATTGTATGTCTACTAATCAAATTATTAATGTTATGTATCTGTCTTTGTTTTACTTCTTCTGAGAAAACCAAAGTCTTAGTATTTTAAAGACTACAGACAATTCAACAAAGCCTGTAAATGCCTCTCATTTGGAATCCCACTGGGCCTAATCTGTTTTCCATTGCCAACACACTGCTGCTAAAGCTATCCCACATCAAGCACTCTCCCTAAAGGCTCAGCAACCATTGTGGAAGAGAGGTGCATGTGAGATTCTAAAAGCTGGATTAGGGAGGTGGAGTATGGAAGCCAAAGCAACTCCATCTTGGATGCTAGTCAGCCATGTTGACTTCTGAATAACCCCAGTTCCAGGAAGTCCTTTCAGATTTCCAGTTTATCTATTATTCCTTGGGTAAGAGAGGTGCTTACCGTAAATCCTGCCCTTAAGTCAAACAACCTTGATGTTGTCGTACTTCAATTGTCCTACACACCCCTTCTGAATCACATATACCATTTCCCTATGGTATACAAGCCCTGACTCTGGAGGGGTAATCGCATGGGTATCCACCATTTAGTCTAGCCTCTGCCCTAGACACAGACATGGCTTCCATTTATAAGTCCTTATTAACTGTTTTTTTCTAAATAACTGACCTTGTCAGCCTCCTTCTTCAGCCTCTCAGCTTCCTCTGACTTAGAGGATAGGTTTACATAGGCAGAATAGGAATCTTTTTTCTTTTCTTTTCTTTTTCTTTCTTCTTTTCTTTTCTTTTTCTTTCTTCTTTTCTTTTCTTTTTCTTTCTTCTTTTCTTTTCTTTTCTTTTTTTTTTTTTTGAGCTGGAGTTTCGCTCTTGTTGCCCAGGCTGGAGTGCAGTGGCACGATCTTGGCTCACCGCAACATCTGCCTCCCAGTTTCAAGCGATTCTCCTGCCTCAGCCTCCTGAGTAGCTGGGATTACAGGCATGCACCACTATGCCTAGCTAATTTTGCATTTTTAGTAGAGACAGGGTTTCTTCATGTTGGTCAGGATGGCCTCGAACTCCTGACCTCAGGTGATCCACCTGCCTTAGCCTCCCAAAGTGCTGGGATTACAGGTGTGAGCCACAGTGCTTGGCTTTTTTTTTTTTTTTTTTTTGAGACAGAGTCTTGCTCTGGCCCAGGCTGGACTGCAGTGGCGCCATCTCGGCTCACTGCAATTTCCGCCTCCTGGGTTCAAGAAAGTCTCCTGCCTCAGCCTCCCGAGTAGCTGGGATTAAAGGTGCCCACCATCATGCCCGGCTAATTTTTGTATTTTTAGTAGACGTGGGGTTTCGCCATGTTGACCATGCTGGTCTCGAACTCCTGACCTCAGGTGATCCACCCGCCTCGGCCTCCCAAAGTGTTGGGATTACAGGCGTGAGCCACTGTACCCAGCAAGATTTTTATTTCAGTATTGTTCATTACAGAAAAAAAAAAACTGAAAAAATAAATATTTATCAGAAGGTGAATATGTCACACACTATTAAATATTTCACTGCAATTACAAAAATTAAAGTTAAAAAATTTGCATGCAGAAGGTTCTCCAAGAGACACTGTAAAAAGTAAAAAGCATACAGCAGAATAATTTATAAAGATTATCAGAGTTATATTTAAAAATTGTTAAGCAAACTCAAGTATTTCTACCTACACTTTTATATGAATGTACATGAATAGGAAAAGATAAATATTCCTCACCAAACTGACAACAGTGAGAAAATGGGAGAGGATAGATTAAAAGGGAGTTTTGAAATCTCTTTCTTAAATACTTATTATTGACAAGAAGGCATTCATTAGTTACTGATGTAGTAAGCCAAGAACTAAATAAGAGGCAAAATGAAATAATAAAACAATGAGTAAGTTGGTTGTGTAATAGGAGCATTTAATAAAGACCACAACTCAGCTTGTACAGATCAGAGATACGAGAAACTGAATTCTACCTTCTGCTGTTCTTAGAAAGAGAAGTTCCTGCAATGAACGTAGGGGTACATATGTCTTTACAACAGAATGATCTATATTCTTTTGGGTATATACCCAGTAATGGGTTGGCTGGGTCGAATTTTATTTCATTCTGATCAGTTCCTACTTCATCAGTTCCACTCTCAACTATTTCACATTGCTTCACTCTATCCTGTACCCACCTTAATTTTCCTTGTAGCAGCTTCTCACCACATGACCATATGTGTGCATGTATGTAAGTATGTACGCATACATTTTCTTTGGTCTTTGAGGAATCACTGTCTTCCACAATGGTTGAACTAATTTATACTCCTACCACCAGTGTATAAGCATTCCCCCTTCTCCACACACTGGGACCTAATGGAGGGCAGAAGGTGGGAGGAGGGAGAGGATCAGGAAAAATAACTAATGATCACCAGGCTTAACACCTTGGTGATGAAATAATTTGTACAACAAACATGAATGACACAAGTTTACATATGTAACAAACATGCACATGTACTTCTGAACTTAAAAGTTAAAACAGAGAGAGAGAAGTTCCTTATCTGAACCTGGATTAGGATATAAGAGAAGCAATTTGATCTGGGGAGGATACCCATTGGGTATTCCATTTCCTTAGCACCTCAATAAATTGGTGGGATTGTCCCTGTGGTTTATGTTGCCTCCACAAGTATCTATGTGGGGGTGGCAGCAGCAGAGAGAGTTTCCAGAGATCTGCTAGCTGGCCACATGGGCAAGCAAACTACAGCCTTTTTCTATCTTGATGGGCCTTTGAATGATCTCCACCATCTTCAGGAGTCCTTGCAGAAGACTCTGGGCTGGGCATTGAGGATGCCAACCACCAGCTGCAGATGTTGAGGGCAGTAAGCAAGAGCACTGTCAGAAGCATTTATGACACCTTTTCCGATATGTTGAAAATGCTGCATCCCAGAGAATACTGAAATCTTCCACAGATAGCAGACTCACTAGGGTCTGCAGAAGATCTGCAGATTAGTCAAAACTAAAGTCAAAGGCTGGGCGCAATGGCTCACGCCTGTAATCCCAGCACTTTGGGAGGCTGAGGCAGGTGGATCACGAGGTCAGGAGATTGAGACCATCCTGGCTAACACTGTGAATATTTCTCTACTAAAACTATAGTATATTTCTCTACTAAAAATATAAAAATTTAGCCGGGCGTGGTGGTGGGCGCCTGTACTCCCAGTTACTCGGGAGGCTGAGGCAGGAGAATGGGGTGAACCCGGAAGTCGGAGGTTGCAGTGAGCTGAGATCGCGCCACTGCACTCTAGCCTGGGCAACAGAGTGAGACTCCGTCTCAAAACAAACAAACAAACAAACAAACAAACAAACTAAAGTCAAAACGCAGAAGCCTCAACCAAACGTTTTATTTTTCCTCACACTCAAATGACATGGTAATTGACCCTTTTTGGAAATTTCACTTGTAGCTATCTATTCATCTTACTCTCTTTGTCTGTCATCAAAATATTTCATCCGAGTTTCCCACAGGATATTTTAAATCACTCTTATCTGAACATCATTGTAAATTAAATTATGCAGCACACCTTGTATAACATTCCAGGTTTTAAAAAGATCCACTTGCTAAGAGCCCTCTTGTACCACCTAGTCCAAAACACTAAATTCATTCTTTCTCTTTCCTTGAAAAGCCTGCCCTTAGCCCAGCCTTCTTTTTAAGATAATTTCCAACAAATAGCCTTGAACCCAGGATTTCTACCTTTAAACACACATTACCGCTTCTGCAAAATCATGCCATATCTATTAAAATTCCTTAATTATCTTGTTTTATTTAGTCCAACATATGTTTGGGCTTAATTTGGTTACTCTCCTAAGCTCTTAGAGTCTAGCAGGAATTTTTTTTTTTTTTTTTTTGAGATGGAGTCTCACTCTGTCACCAGGCTAGAGTGCAGTGGCACGAGCTTGGCTCACTGCAACCTCTGCCTCCTGGGTTCAAGTGATTCTCCTACCTCAGCCTCCTGAGTAGCTGGGACTACAGGTGCTCACCACCACACCCAGCTACTTTTTGTATTTTTAGTAGAGATGGGGTTTCACCATGTTGGCCAGGATGGTCTCCATCTCCTGACCTTGTGGTCCACATGTCTTGGCCTCCCAAAGTGTTGAGATTACAGGCGTGAGCCACCGTGCCCAGCCAGGAATGCACTTTTTAAAGAGAGCTGAGAGATGAGTCACATGTGGTGACTGAATAGCATTTAGATGTAGTTCCAAACAAGTGATCTGCGTGAGAAAAATTGTTTGCTTTTTACTTTAACTTTTTGCTTTTTGAGGAAAATACCAAAAGGTGGTCTTAGGAGTAAGGTGAGGGGTAATATCTTTCAAAAGTAAGCAAAGAAAAAGGAGGAGGAATAAGAGGAGGAAGAAAGAGAATATAACAAAAATAATTCTACTTTTTTTTCATTCTCTCTGATTGGTGTTCAGACAAGAGTTGAACAAAAGGTGGTGTCTCCTTATCAGTGAAATATCAGGGTGGATATTCTCTGTTGCATCACTGAGTCTATGTACATGGTGCCAAAAAATAAATTACTCAATTAAGCTTGATTTTCTTTTCTCTGTCTCTGTCTGTGTTTCTCACTGAATGATTTTAAACTGCACACCAGACATTGTATTCAATTGTCCAAGATGCTCTGCACTCCTCCTCCATTTTGTAATATCCATGATGCTTTAGGAAATAATTCCAACTCCAGGAATGAGAGGAGTATTGATTAATCAAAGCCA
Source organism: Homo sapiens (assembly GCF_000001405.40). Lineage (NCBI taxonomy): Eukaryota > Metazoa > Chordata > Mammalia > Primates > Hominidae > Homo > Homo sapiens. The sequence continues at coordinate 14,518,548 of NC_000017.11, read as the reverse complement.
AACAAGATAATCCCATCAGATTGTCTGAGGAACCTGGAGTGACACCAGTAAAGGCTTGGGTTTTTCCTTGCACCAGTTATGGGTCCAGAGCAGACACAAGACAATTACAGCAAAGGGAAGAATTTTATTTCAGGATTGAGGGAGGGGCTCTTTTTTTTTTCTATCCTTAGATCCTACAAATTGGACTAGGGCCTACTGCTAGCCCTGAATAGAAGCCATTATTATGGGCAGCAAAATAAAGAGGCCATGAGAAGCCATGTCCTTGATGGCGTTGTTGAACTGTTGGATTAACCAACCTGAAATTCCATTCCCTATTATTAGACTTCCAGTCTTATGAGCCATACATTTATTATTTTAGGCCAATCTGAGCGGCATTTTCTATTACTAATAAAAGCACCCTAACTACCTAAAGCCAAAGTAAATGCTTACTTCTAATTATCTGGTGGGGGAAAAAAATGTCCCTTGAGCCACACAGTCTATTGTCAATTGCCTAAATAATTCGGCGACCTGAGAATATACTTCGAGCATTTAGGTACTGAATCTAGAACACATTGCTGTGCACAGGTTGAATTGGTGGTCTATTTCTTGGCCACAGACTGACTCTAGGTCCTGTGATCTGCATGCGCATTAGAGGGAAGGTCAGGCACTGCTGAGCTGTCAGCCTGAATGGACCGTTAATTGACCATAGTCAATATAGTTGTATATTCCTCATTTCCTTACTTTCACCAGCAGTAAGAAAATAAAGATTATTGTCTAGAATGCAAGCACTTTAGTGAAAGCAGCAAGAATGCCTTTTTGTGGAAGGCTCCCACTCACCTATTATTGCTTCATTCTACCAATACCACCACATTTCAAGCTTAAGCCTCTCCTTTTTAGTGTGTGACTATGAAAACAAAGCCTGTGTCTATGCCTTTGCTTAGTAATTGCATCCTTGGTAAGTCAGCAGTGAACTTGGAGTGTAAGGCATATTTTATTAGAAAAGATTTATAAGTAAACAGCTAAGTTGCAGGGCTTAACTTTCTCTTCCCCCTAGCTGGTCACTCTTACCTTGCTTAACTCTAGCTAAACCATTGGAATCCTTGGCTAAACCAATGGAATCCTTGTCCTTCAGAGTGATGGGTCTTGTCCAACTGACTTAGAAGGACAAGCCCCTTGCAATTGATGGCTTAGTCCCATAGATCTCATTCTACCTAACAAGAGAAGCGAACCCTCCTCTGTGGTACTCTTCCTTAGGTCAGCTCTCATCATTTTTCCTCTTCACCTCTCTAATCCTCTCTTTTTCTTATTGTTTTTATCTCCATGACTATAGATTCAATTCAACCCAGTTAATAGTTCTGGAGCACCTGAGTGAAACTTGGGATATAACCGGCCTCTTGTCCTGTGTTAGGTGCTGAGATATTTGAGAGGCAGGCGCTAATTTCCTCATGGAGCTTGTATGTTGATTTTGAGGACACACACACACACACACAAACACACACACACAATGTTTAACTATGAAAAATGTCATATGAGCAAGCTTAACAACATCTTACCAAGTTTGATACATGGAGAAGCTTTTGAAGAAATAGTAAGGAAAGGCCTTCCAGAAGAGGAAATGTCTGAGCTATGTCTTAGAAAAAAAAAATAGAATTAATAAACAGAAGAAAGACCATTCAAGGCAGATGGAGCAAAGTTGTGAAGGCAAGGTAAAAGAAGGCATATATGGGGTTACCTGTAGGGAGGTGGCATGAGCCTTAGGAGGAAGAGGTAGTAATTAGAGATTTGGTAATACAAGTAGGTCATGAGAAGTCTTGTGTGTTATTCTAAGTCATTTTTGAAGTTATGTTTAGAGGAATTGTATGATCTAATCAAAATATTTGTTAAGGTTCAACTAGCTGTTGAACTAAATAATCTCTAAATTTTAAGTGGATTAACACAACAACAAGAAAATTATTATTCATGGTACAATCTAATGAGGGTGTTAATTGTTGGATGGATTTCCTCCAAGAAAGGATTCAGGGACTCAAACACCATAAACCTCGTGAATTCACCATCTTCACTCACAGTTCCTAGAGTTTCTGTAGTTGGGGAAAGAGGCTATATGGAAAGGTATAGCAGTAATTACCCACTTCAGCCCCAAAAGACACAGACACAGACACACACACATACACACAAGTAAACATGCAAAATTTCTGTCATACTCCATTGACAAGAACTAATCACAAGCTCAATCTAAACGCAAGGGGGATCCTGGCATATGTGCCCCTGGAGGCAGCACTTCCCTGCAACAACTCAACACTGTGAAAGAGAGACATCAAGCTTTGCTGAGCAGGTCTCTGTCTCTGATGTGAACAGGGAAAGAGTATGATTAGGTTAACGTTTTAGAAAGTCCATTCTGGCTGCAGGAAGGAAGACGTGTGGAAGACAAGAAAGAGAGAGAGAGGAGGACCAGTGAAGAGGCTGTGGCTCCCATATGGTGGTAAATGACAGGGGTCAGCTACTACTACAGCTCAGTAGTGGTAGAGATGGAAAAGAAGGAAAAGAGAAGGAATCAGGAAACACTTCAGAGATGACATCACCAGGACTTGGTGCCCAAATTCACAGTGATATATGCATAGTGAGGGGCAAAGAAAAGTGTGGTTTGACTTTCTAACTTGGGATATGATCAACTGTTTGGCTCATGCAGCAAATTCCAGGAGTAAAAGAGAAAAAGCTATTTGGAAGTAGAGGAGAAAGGTGGGATTATTAAATCTGTTTTTTCATAATACACAAAACTTGAAATTATCTAGTAGAAGTTATCTTGTACATATATGAAGGAGGCCTTTTGTAAACCTAGGCCTGGAACTCAGAGAAAAAGCCTATATTGAAGATGGGGATATAGATTTGGAATTGCAATTATAAAATCATATTATATAGAACCCATGAGAGTTGAAACTTGGGGCGTGTAGCTGAGAACTTGTTCCCCTGAAACCCTCGTTCTTTCTCTGGCCCCCAATATATTCTTTTCAATCAACCAATCTCTAGTTTATTGTTAAATTTTCTTCCCCGAAACTCACATTGTTTTTTCTAAATGCATGATTTGATTAGATTCTTCATGATTTCTTAAGTGTAAAACTACCCTATGATCAAAAATTTTTGGACTTCCAGTTAAGATGTAAGACTAAGCAAACTCAGCATTTTCCTCCCTCAGCCCCATTATTAGAAACATTTGCATTTGTGAAGACTGTGTTAACTAAAGAATACATATTTACACTTTAAAATGGGAAATTTTCACAGTCTAGAATCAAAGAGTGAGTACACTCAATGCCTCAGCCACCAGAGGGACGTGGATTGGATCTATGCCTTAGGAGAGGAAATTTTACTTCCCTGTGGAGCAATGGCAAAGTACATAGCAGTAGCATAACTGAATTTCCTCATCCCTAGAGGCAGAAGAGATAAATCACACACTGGCCTGAGGTCTGGATCCTAGAAGTGAGCCGCACACCATGCAATTGGTGGAAATAGAGTAACTTGCAAGAAGCGAACCCTGAGCTCTGCTATGTATTAGTTGAGATCTAAACTCCCATCAATCACTGTGAAACACAGTCCAGAATGAAGAAACAACTTAAAAACAGGTGTGAACCTAGCAACCATCTCAAGGCTGAAGCACAGGCAATTTTGCAACACCTCCCTATCCCCAATCCAGAATGTCTTTTTAATCCGGTTTACAGGCTGGAATTCTACTAAAGACGAACTCACAGTCAAAAATTACAAAACACGGAAGAAACACTCCGTCCTAAAACTTAGTCAGTAGATGAGAAACCAAACCATAATACACCCAAGGAAGTAGAATAAATCTAAACAGAAAATTAAATCAATATCTTAACGTTTGTTAAAAGAAAGATAAAATGAAGAAGTGGACTTTGTATTCAAGGGCAAGAAATTATCATTTGAAAAATAGTTTTAAAAGAAACAAGTAGAAATCTTGCAGGTAAAAAAATAGTAAATATAATTTAAAGCTCAATTGAGTTTTATCTAATATAATATAATGTCCATGAAGGCAAAGGTGGTTGTTTTTCTTTTTGTCTGCTTTGTTTATTGTTTAAACCCTAACACTTAGAACAGTACCTGATACATAATTTGCAATCAATATATGTATTTTTAATGGATAAATAAATTAGTGGGTTAAATGGTAGATTGGCAGAGAAAAATTAGTGAGTTAGAAAATAGAACTAAATAAACCACACAGAAAACATACCAAGAGACAAAAACATTAAAGAAAGAAAGAAAGTTAAGAGGCCTGGACAAGAGAAAGCAATACTGTATCACAACATTCATCTAATAAGGATTCCAGAATAACAAAGTAGAAAGAATGGAACAAAGGCAATATTCAAAGGAACGCTGTCCAATAAGTTTACAGTATTTAAAGTGTATAAAGAACTCCTAAAAATAATAAAAGTTGAACAAGCAAAGAAAGAAATGGGCAGGTCATTAAGAGGCAATTCACTGAAAAGACCCAAAGAGTACAATTAACATATGAAAAGATGCTCAGGCCCATTAGTAATCAGGAAACTCAACAGAAAACAACAGTTAGGGCTCAGTGTGCTGGCTAGAGCCTGTAATTCCAGCTACTTTGCAGGCTGAGGTGGGAGGATCACTCGAGTCTAGGAGTTCAAGTCCATCCTAGGCAACATAGAAAAAAAAACAGATAAATAAAGAAAACAACAATTGGACACTATATCTTGCCCATCGGACTGGAAAGAATTAAATAATCTGATAACATCAAGTGTGAGAAAACGACAACTTTTATGCAGTGTAGGTAGGACTATAATTTGAAGCAATTCATTTTGACACTAATTAGTCTAGCCAAAGATGTGCACACTACAACACAACACATTTGTTTCTAGTTGCTACCCTAGAGAAATTCTCACCTATGTGTCCAAGGTAACAAATGTTAACAACAAAATTCATTGCCACATTGTATGTAATAGTGAAATGTGCAAACAGGCCAACTGCCCTGAAGTGACTGAATGAACAATTAAACTGTGGTTTATTTACACCATGACACGATTACACAGCATGTAAAATAGATTAACTAGACCTGCATGTGTCAACAAGGATGAATTTCCAAGACTCATGATGAGTGGGGGAAAAAAATGCAACTAAGATAGGTATATTATGACACAAAACAGTACTATACATACATTGCTTAAGGAGACATGCCCGTGTAATAAGTATACAAAAAACATACATGAGAAATACACGCTTACTTCACGATGGTGGTTATCCCCAGGGAAGAAAAAGGGACAATGTGTGTGTTGCAGAGAGGAGATACAGGAAAGTGAGATTTCAGTTCAATTTATACAGAATTTAAAAAAATATATGATGCAAGAATTGAAAATTGTTAACTCAAACTCAGTTATATTGTTGTTTGTGCTTTTTTTATCTTTAGTATATTTAAAAATTTTTAAATAACTTTTAAAAGAATGAGAACAAAGTAAAGACATTTTAGGCATGCAAATATTAACAAAATTTACAACCTAGAGACCCTTCCTCACACACCATAAGTGGATTTATGTATTGTAGTTTAAAAAACAAAAAGGAAGAAGTGAAATATGAGAAACAATGGTGAGCACAAAACATTGAAATCATGTTGGAAATTTTAAATAACCATAGACAATAAAAAATATATATTGATTATTACTATTAATGTTTTGTTATAACATACAACAAAGGCAAAACACTAGATGAAATTACAAAAAGATGGGAGAATGAAAGTTGGGAAAAAATGAAAGCATGCTTATTTTTGAATGTGCTTGGGGGAGGAAAGCGATATTAATTGTAGGCCTTGTTAGCAAAACATAAACTTCAGCATATATGTTCCAAATTTTAGCTGATGGCTAAAAGCATATAAATACAATGTATGATTTCCAAATTGAAAGGAAAAAAGCGCAAAATATAAAAAGCTTTATGAATTCAACAGAAGGCAGAGTATCAAAAACAAACAAAAGAAAAAGCATGTGAATGGTAACTGCAAAATAATATTTAAGTAATCAAAATAAATGTGATTAGATTTAATTCACATATAAAAGTCAGAGATTCTCAGATTTGATAAAGAAAAAAGTGGATATTATGCTATTTGCAATAGACATTAAAAACTATTTAAAGGCCAGGAGAGTGGCTCATGCCTGTAATCCAAGCACTTTGGGAGGCCAAGGTGGGAGGATCTCTTAATGCCAGGAGTCTGAGACCAGCCTGGCCAATATAGTAAGACCCTATCTCTACCAAAAAAAAAAAAAAAGCCCGCTTAAAAACTATACCTGAAGTTCTAAAAATAAAAGAATGGAAGAATATATCAGGCAAATAAAAATAAATAAATCAAACAAATAAAAAACAAACCCCACCACCCCCAACAAAAACAAAACAGAGAAAAAAAAGATGCAAGAGGAAAGGAAGTTGAAATAGCAATAATAAAATCAAATAAAATAAAAAGCAAACTAAAAACACTAAGAATTATGGAAAGGAAAATAAAAGCCAAATGCTGATCATAATCACTAATATTATGTATATATATTTTTACAAAATTAGAACTCTATTAAATATTGTTTACTATTTATTTTCATCTATTTTATTTTATTTTATTTTTAGAGATGGAGTCTTGCCATGTTGCCCAGGCTGGACTTGAACTCCCAGGTTCAAGTGATCCTCCTGCCTCAGCCTCCAAGGAGCTGGAATTATGAGTGTGTGCCACTGCACTCAGCTTTGTTTTAATTTGCTGATAGAGGAATATTTCATCATTCCCAGACATTCTTCAATACCATGATGTCTAATATTTTCCATCATGTGGATGGCCTATAATTTATTATTTTTATTGTTGGACATAAGGAAGATCCTTTGTAATTTTTTGGTAGTATAAATAACACTGTAATGGACACTCTTTTGCATAAATCCTTATGTAGTTTTCTGCATGGTTTTGCATTTGTCCTTGACAGATAAAGAGTATAAAGAGCTAAATATACATGGGTGGAAAATTATTTGTTTGGCATCTTCAGATTAACCAGTGTGATACATTATAGGAAAGAGTTAGACATATTAGATAAGCAACAAATTTGACTTAACAAATGCTCCCCTTTGTTGACAGGAATGTCCAGAAGGATCAGGAAAGCATCATCTTGGCCCTTTCTCTTAATAAGGGATGGTTGCTTTGGTCCAGCTGCTATGCTGAGGTCTTTGGAAACAAAGAGATAGAAAGACAGAAGCCCTGTCCTCAAGCACCTGTGAGCTTCTCAGAAGACAGCACATAACAGATGAACAACTACACAGCACGACAATTGCTCTAAAGCAGGTGCCAAATCAGTTTGACCATGCCTTTTCAGCCCTGCATTTGTTTTGCACTTTTCTAATCAAATCAGCGTTAGAAGTTGTTCAAAATAATGAAAATATTGGTAGTATTGATTAACAAAAATTGAATACTACATATTTGAAGTATTCTTATTATATATTTGTGTTTCTAGAAGCACTCTTTTCACTTATATGGCTCTAGGTTTGTGATAGCTTCTCAAGTAGCCAATCTACATACTTAATCTCTGGCCTTCTGCGTCTAATCCATCAGTTTAATCCTTCAAAAATTTAATCGGGGCCTGGCGTGGTGGCTCACACCTGCAATCTCACCACTTTGGGAGGCCAAGGGGGGTGGATCACGGGGTCAGGAGTTCAAGACCTGTCTGACAAATATGGTGAAACCCCGTCTCTACTAAAAATACAAAAATTAGCCAGGAGTGGTGTGATGGGCGCCTGTAGCCCCAGCTACTCAGGAGGCTGAAACAGGAGAATCGCTTGAACCCGGGAGGCGGAGGTTGCAGTAAGCCAAGATCATGCCATTGCACTCCAGGATGGTTGATAGAGTGAGACTCCCTCTCAAAAAAAAAAAAAAAATTTAATCTGTCCCTTCTCTTCCTGAGAACAGTGACTCCCCACTGCTGTGTTCCACGGCACATAGGATATTTTGCTAATGAGCTACCTTTAGGAAATGCTGAGATGAAACCAGGACATGAAAAAAAGATCTAGACTTTTTTACCATGGTGAATTTTTACAGCAGTAACATGCACTGAAAATCAAGGCAAATGATGGGGAAAGCAAGCAGTATCAACAATGGCCTCACCATAAAACACTCTCTAAACCATGGTCCCTGCAATCACAGACCTTCCTGCCAGAAACGGGCAGCTCCGGCCACATGTTGGAGAAGACATTTGCACACAATGAAGGGAAATGAATTAGCTGTAACCTAATACCATCAGTCCCAGTGTTTGACTCATTGAGCAGTGATGAAAATTGGAGAGCAGATGTTAGGGAATCTCAAGGAAGTAGTAATATTTCAATATTGTTCTGTAAACTAAAAGTACATCCATGGTCAACCGGCAAATATTTATGAACACTCCATTTGGTGCTGGAGAGAGATGGGGGAGAGCGAACAATGATCAGAAGAAGGCTAAGGCTTACCCAAATCCCTGGCAAGGTAGAGAGGTAAGAAACAATAAGGTCAGAAGTAAGTGTTAAGTCTTGAGGCATACATGTATTAGGAAGTTAGAAAAGGGAGAAAGCCCTTTGGGCTGGAGTAGTTCAAGATGGCTTCATGGAGAAGAATCGAATAAAATGGGCCTTGAAATGATGGATAGGGTGGGGGCACCTCCTTGAGCACCTAACCATGGAAGTTGCAGTAAGCCAGGCCAATGTGAGTGCTTGGGGTTTCTTGTGCACCTCTCTGGCAGCAGACGACACATTGTGGTGCTCTTATTGTCTGTTTTCATGTCTGTTTCCTCATGTGCCATGAGCCCCTTGAGTCCAGGGCTTCTGTCCTTTCATCTTCATACCCACAAGACCTTGTGCCAAGCCAAGAGGAACGCCAAGAAAGAGTAAGCCACGAACTGTCATGTGCCTCAAAGGAAATAGAAGGCACAGGCTGGGCAAAACTAGGATATCAGGTTAGTTGGGTAAAGTTAAGTGTTAGAGAATTTTGAAAACCAGCCGAAGAACTGAAGATCAAAATATAATTTATATGGGGCCTGAATTTATTAGCTTGCCAGGCAAGGAGAGCTGCATTACTCTGGAGCAAGCTTGGCAACTCTCCCTGAATGTGCATGTGAGGGCATGGTGTAGACAAGGTAGGATTCTGAAAAGTCCTCTTTGACTGATGACAGAGGAAATTTTAAAACCTTCCTTGGGATTGATCATTATTGCAATGAGAAGTTACTGGGACATCCATTAAACAGGGCCAACTCACACAGGTCCAGGGGGAACTGTGTGAGGCTAAGCAATCGTAAGGTCATTCTGAACTCGATCCCCTGTACACTAAGCAGAGACTGAGCACAGAGTTCCTTCAGCACCAACACGCAATAGGGAGGTACCATAGATTCTTGAGAGGGGGAGAAAATGATGAAGATGGTATTTTAGAAATATGACTAACCTGATATCCCACTACTGCCCAACATGTATCTTTCATTTGTCAGAAAGACACGGCTGGTGTCTAAGTTTGTTTGGGCTGCTATAACAAAATACCATAAACTGGGTGGCTTCAGAAATTTATTTCTCACAACTGTGGAGGGTGGGAAGTCCAAGATGAAGGCAAAGCAGATTTGGTGTCTGGTGAGGGCTCTCTTCATAGATGGCACCTTCTGGCATATCTCCACATGGTGGAAAGATCCAGCTTGCTCTCTGGGGTCTCTCTTAAAAGGGCACTAATCCCTTCATAAGCGCTCCACCCTCATGACCTAATCACCTCCTAAAGGCCCTAATTCTTAATATCATTACCTCCAGGTTAGGATTTAAACATGAATTTGGGCTGGACATAAGTATTCAGTCCATTGCAACTGATATGATACTGATGTCAATGTCAGAAATGATTTTGGTTTGCTTTACACAGTTTCTATCCCTTGAACATATTTTTAAGCACTAATTATTTATGGACATAAGGCTGCATTTAAAAATGGAACACTATTCACTATATACAGTATTCCAGAATTCCAGTTTGGAAGCTAGGTCCACTCCTAGCATCTGTCCATTCCACCTTCCTGTAGAGAGAAAGGGATGCTTAACGCCTGGCTAATCTAGTAAGGAATCCTTTGGGTTGGGGCAAGTCGAGGGTCAGTGTCTGGGAGAAATGGGTGCAGATGCATCATCTGGGTGAGAACAGCTGAGGCCGGTCTCAGGCTCCAGAGCATGGAGCTAAAGGGATGAGCACAAGGAACCATGAAGAGATGCTGGCCGAACGTGGCTAGCACAGGGCCATTCTGGGCCAGCAGTTGCTGGGGCTGGGGTGTCTGTTGATACTCTTTGGGCTTCCTGAAGTTCCAAAGGGCTTCAGTTTCATGTAAACAGCAGGGAGCAGGGCCAGCTCATGATTTATTACATATCTTTCTTTAGACTAGACTGAACACTTCTTCAAAGAAAGCTTTTCCACTTATTTCACATCCCCAAGCATCTGGCACATTGACTCACAAATGTGGATCCTCAGTACATATCAGTTACATTTTACTAAGAAGACATTTTCTCCCAAAGTCAGAAACCAAAGGAGATTTGAGGTCAAGGCACGATTTGCGCTATCAAAACCCACAGTTAACACCTTCTCCCTTCCCCCGACCCTTGCCTCAAATTCCACAGAAGGGAATTTCACATCCTGAAAAGGGATATTCCCCCCTCCAGATCTATGCCTTGCATTTTCATACAGTGGGTCCTCCTCTGGAAGAGCCCTTCCAAAGCCTAGCCTTCTCTGTGGACGTCTGCTCTCTCGGGGACCACCTCCCCTGCCCCGTTACAAATCTAAACCATGCCAGATCACAGACTTATAAATACATCTCTGCTGAACTAAGCAAGGGCTTTTCATCAGAGATAAAAGTGGCAGGGTGGTTTTTCCACATATGCCTTGGCTTAGGGCCAGCTCTATTCCAGTGGGCATGGGAGCAACCTGGCTGGAGCCAGGGATATGCCTACCTTTGAGAGCACACAAAGAACCAGGCCCTGTTACCTGTTCACCTCGCTGCCCTACAGCAGCAGAGAAGATGCTTCCTGAATGGAAACTTAAATATTGCACATTCTTGTGCTTGCCTACTGCCCATGGTTATTCTGGAGCAAATCACTATTCTGTTTTACAATCTTGACTGAGGTTTAACTTACATACAATGAAAAATGCCCATTTTAAGTGTACAGTTGGGTGAGTTTGGACCAATATGCCCCTGTGTTACCACCACCATAATCAAGATACTCCCATGACCCAGGTGTTTCCTCGTGCCCCTTGGAGTTCACTCCCACCCTGAGCTCCAGCCTTTTCTAGAACTTTATGCAAATGACATCAGATAGTATGTGCCCTCCTATCTGGCTTTTTCAGCTCATCCTTTTTTATCTAAGTTCTTGGTCCCTTTTTAAATCCTAAGTAGTTTTTCCTGGTATGGGTATGCCAGAATTTTAACCTGTTGATGGTTATTTGGGTTATTTCCAGTTTGAGGTTGCTATTGAATAAAGCTGTCGTGGACATTCATGTGCAAGTTTTAGTGTGCACATTTTTATGTTTCTTGGGTAAATACCTAGAGTGGAATTGTTGGGTCATATATTAAGTGTATGTTTCACTGTATAAGAACTGATCACTCTTATCCAAAGTGGCTATACCATTTTCATTCCCACCAACCATGTGTGAATGTCCCCATGGCTCCACCCACCAACACTTGGTATTTGTCAGTCTTTTACTTTTCGTTTAACTAGCATCTTGGTGGTTGTAAGTTGTATTTCTCTGGTGGCAAATAATGTTGCAATCTCTTTTGGGTTATGATTGACCATTCATAGCTTATTTTATGACTTGTCTGTTTAAATCTTTGAGACAAGCCATTTTTTAAAAGCCTTGAGTATAATGGAAAGTCTCAGCCTTAAGGGTCAAAGGACCAGGGTTTGGATCTTTACGCTATACATAGCTGTGCGGCTTCAGGAAGTGATTCATGGACTCTGGGTATCAGTGTCTTACCTTGATCGTAAAGAAACAATGACTAGATTATCTTGAATGTTCTCTTTCTACTCCAGAGATTATGACTACAATCTCCATTTCTTCATTTACAAGACAGGCACATCCCTGGGGCTTGAAGAAACACGTAGCTACAGATTGTTAAAATACAAAGGGACATTGGAGATCTCATCCTCTCCAGCATATATGCAGGTACGAAAAATTGAGCTTGGCCAACATCATACAACTATTTAATGGCATATATGGTACTAATCCCAGAGTTCCTGGCTTTAACTATTAAAACAGAATTTGGGAAATCAGCGTATATCCTTTTGCTGACTTCAGAGGAAGTTTCCTGGGTATAAGAGCTGGGCAACATAATTTTGTTTTTGTTTTCTCACCAAAACTGAGACACGTTCATTTATACCCCAGGTATTCATGGGAGCGATAGAGGGAAGGTGATGAGAAGGGTCTGGGTCCTGAGGCCAGGAGTCTTGACTGGGAGTTGCTCTACCCCATTGCTGCAGGTGCATTCCCATTAAGACACGAACCCAGCAACCTCAGCCCAGGCAGCCTGTTTACAGAGCTGTAACTGCTATAAACATTGCCAGGAAAATTACATTTCACTCCAGTGTCTAGAATGAATTCTGTAAACTGACAAGTACTTAGGGGCCAGGGTATATTCCCTCATAATTATGGCATGCTGCTCCCATGGGTGTTAATGTTTATAGAAGGCTAGTTAACCTTGCACAGGCTCTGGGATCTTGGGGCCATGTGTGCCATTTAGCTGCAGAATTGAAGAATGCATTTCCATGTTTGCAACATGTGTACTGATGCAGAGGGGACAATCGTGGCTTGTTCTCAGGGCCAGGGCAAGGTCGCTGGACCTGGCATGCATGGCCTCCAGTGCCTTGATTGCTCGACCAAGGCTTCACTTTCCCTGAACAGCCCCAATTTAATGGACTGTGATTATTGAGTTTACACTGTAACTCTGGTGTTACTTGAGCAAATGATGTAGTTATACATTTGTTCGTAGCTTTTCAAGACCCCTTAAGAAAGAAGGGTCCATTGTAAACCTTTGAAACAGAACCCAGACATGCTGAGAGCCTTGGTGATTGTTTCAAGTAATATGAAACTGCTTTTCATCACGCACTCAAGGGACAGCAGAGAAGGGTAAGACATGGTGCTTTTGTTCCGAAAGTTTACAGTCTATCTTTTTTGGATAGACAAGGCAGGCATACATGAAAAATTCAATAAAGTACAAGAGAGTATGTGCTAAATCTCAGCTGGGGGGGTGTAGAGGTAAGTCCATTAAAAATTCAGAAATGTGCAAGATTGCTGTGGTCTGGCTAAGCACGGGGAAACTTCAGGAAGGAGATGGGAGTTGAAGTGGCCTTTGATGGTTGTTGGGGTTACGATAGAGTAGATCAGGGCATAGATATTGTAAGGTGCGTTCAGGTCAGAGAAAAGAGACCCGTCTGGGCTGGGCACGGTGGCTCATGCCTGTAATCCCAGCACTTTGGGAGGCCAAGATGGGCGGATCACGAGGTCAAGAGATCGAGACCATCCTGGCCAACATGGTGAAACCCCGTCTCTACTAAAAATACAAAAATTAGCCGGGCCTGGTGGCGTGTGCCTGTGATCCCAGCTACTCAGGAGGCTGAGGCAGGAGAATCGCTTGAACCCAGGAGGCAGAGGTTGCAGTGAACTGAGATCGTGCCACCACACTCCAGCCTGGTGACAGAGTAAGACTCCGTCACAAAAAAACAAGAGAGAGAGAGACCAGTCTGACGGAAGTGAACCAGAGCATTGAAGCCAGGGCTGGAAAGCATGGGCCAGCCCTTGACAGCCAACAGACACTGGGCACAGAAGAGAAATGTGTAGATACTTGTATGTTTGTTCAATGCCCTCCAATGTCTTCCTAACTCAGAGTAAAGACCGAGGTCCTAACGATGGTTCTGCATGAGCTGCCCTCTGACCAATCCCTCACTGACCTCAATATCTACTACTTTCTCCTTCGCTCACTCCACTCCAGCTACCCTGGCTTTCTATTTCCTAGAACACTGGAGGCAAGTTCCCATGTGAGCACTTTTGCATTTTCTGCTCCCTCTTCCAGAAATGCTTTTCCTACTAGTATCCACACAGCTCTCTATCTCTCCACTCTGTTGCTTCAATACCCCTTTGTCAGTGATCCTTCCCTCATGACTCAATTTAATATCACAACAGCTCCTCACCTTTGACTTCTATTATCTTTCTCAGCTTCATTGTTTTCCAGAGACGTTTTGCCATCTAACCTCATGTATGTATACACAAATGCAATGTATGTGTGTGTCTGTATAAGCATGTATATGTGTATGTGTGTATACAAACATATGTAATTACTTAGTTTTATTGTCTCTCCGTTTTGGAATGTAAATTCATGAAGGTATAGAATTTTGTCTATTTTGTTCATTGATGCATCCCCAGAATCTAAAATGATGCTTAGATACTCAATAAATATTTGCCAAATGAACAAATGTGTAAATTTTTTTTTTTGAGGCAGAGTTTCACTCTTGTTGCCCAGGCTGGAGTGCAGTGGTGCCATCTTGGCTCACTGCAACCTCTGCCTCCCAGGTTCAAAAGTGATTCTCGTGCCTCAGCTTCCTGAGTAGCTGGTATTACAGGCACCTGTCACCACTCCCGGCTAATTTTTTGTATTTTTAGTAGAGATGGGGTTTTGCCATGTTGGGCAGGCTTGTCTCGAACTCCTGACCTCAGGTGATCTGCCCACCTTGGCCTCCCAGAGTGCTGGGATTACAGGCGTGAGCCACCGTGCCCGGCCGTAAATGATTTTTTAAAAACTGATATAATATGATAAAAGAGCTGTTCTGGGTGCACTAGCATACATACTACATACATACACACATACATACATACATATGTGCATGAAAGAGAATAGAGGAAGATAACGGATTTCATAGCATGGTCTACCTTTACAAGACAGGTTAGAGCAGGTATTAGGGCTCCTTTGTTTCAAGCAACAGAAATTAAGCCTGACTTAGGCTAATGGTAATTTATTGGAAAGGATCAGGAGCTCACAGAATCAATGAGAGGCCAGAATACCAGGCTAGGAAGTAAAGGAAAAGAAAGCAGCCCTGGAGACAAGGTATCAGAGACCACAACATCTGTGCACAGCAGGGCCAAAGTGTCAGGAGGCTGTGCTGAATGCAATGAACACTGATTGTTTTCAATTTCCTTGTTCCCCTACTCAAGAATTAAATTCCACTGAGGGAGCATCCAACTGGCCTAGCTTGGGTCACGTGCCTGTCCTCAGCACTCATTGTAAAGATTTACTGTGTCTCAGTGTTCCAAGCATCCATTGCTTCTTCCTAATTTTACCACCAGTTTCTTTTTTATCCTCAGTTTTCTCTCGGCTCAGTAGAGTCTGGTAGAATCATAATCAAGAATTTATCTCTTCTCTGCCAAGGAGTTGAACTTGCTTTTCCTTTCATGTTTTTACTCAGGAGGTAGATCTTGAGGAATTAAACAATAAAATTTTGTTATGGTGATCTTTTTAGATCTTAACATAATGAAAATAACTTTGAAGTACATGGGACTTTGCTGTTTATAAAAATCTCTATGTATATTATCTCACATGACTCACGCAACATTTCTGTGAGGTAAATAGGCAGGTGTTGTCCTCAATTTATAAATGAGAGAACAGATGCTTGGAGAGTTTAAGTAATTTATTTAAGGCCATAATGCCAGGACTGTTTTAATATGAAATTTTGTTATAATGATGGCACTTGCTATGTATTAAGCACTGCTATGCTTGTTCCATGTGTTGATTTAATTCTCACAACAACCCTGTGAAGTGAGTACTAATAGTTATTGTAGTAGATGAAGAGTAACTTGCCTAAAATGGCATCTTTATAAAGTAATAGAGACGGGCTCCTATCCTTTTGTCTGCACCCTTAACCTTATGTTATTCTGCCTTTCATTGTATTAAATTAGATGTTGATGGATATATATGAAGTCAACAATATTCATGTTTACCAAAATCCCAGAAAAAACTTGTGGTTCAAGTTCAAAGGTTCCAGAGATTCAATGTCTACTCCATAGTGGTGATTCAATAAACATAAATTGAATACATGAATGAATGAGTGAATGAATGAAAGTTATTTTCCTTACAGACCCTTTGCATCAAGAGACTTGGTCTTTCAAACAATATTGCAGATTCTAGGACTTGGAAATATTTCATTATAATGATTATTGGCACATTTAATTTTCTGCTTTCTTGGTCACAAAGGATGAAGCAGATCCCTTTCATTGTCCCCCTTCATTCTTCTGATTCCTGACACACAACTTGCTTAGGAAAGAAACTAAAGATATCTTTATGCTTTGATATCCTGCCTCTGATCTTGCTGTGACTTGTTTCATTTGTTAAATAGAGAAAAGTCTTCTGACTTGGAAAATCATCCTAGTATCATGGCCTTCATCCTATCCCATTGGAAACATTGGAATGCCAAACTTGGTCATCCATACCAAGGAGTTTCCCCATCTGTGGGTGCCCTTTGCACATAAATATTGAAGTGAAGAAGAGGCACATTTTTTGACACGGAATATTCACTAGCTCTCTACACTTGGTACTGTGTTAGACTCAGAATGCAGAGATGAGTAAGACATGATCCTTACCTCTTAAGCTTGCTACTGTTGCTTCTGTTTTGAAAGGTTCAAGTTGGTCTGTGTATAAACCATACTATTAGGGGAATAATATTCACAGGAAAGTGCCAACAAAGTGAACTTGATTCAGAATTACCTGATCTGAAACTTGGGAAACCAATCAGGCAGAAACAGTGAATGTGTATCCCATTGGAAGACAAGAATCTAGCTGAGTAAGCCGGGAGTGGTGGCTCACGCCTGTAATCCCAGCACTTTGGGAGCCCGAGGCGGGTGGATCATCTGAGGTCAGGAGTTCGAGACCAGCCTGGCCAACATGGTGAAATCTCGTCTCTACTAAAAAATTAGCCAGGCGTTGTGGGTGATGCCCATAATCCCACTTACTCGGGAGGCTGAGGCAGGAGAATCGCTTGAACCCGGGAGGTGGAGGTTGCAGTGAGCTGAGATCACACCACTGCACTCCAGCCTGGGCAACAAGAGTGAAACTCCATCTCAAATAAATAAATAAATAAACAAATAAAATACTACCAAAATTAAAAAAAAAAGACTCTAGCTGAGTAGTGCTCAGGAAAGTGAGAAATTAGAACAAAGTGAAAGACACTAGCAAAGGCTAATAGTGGTTCTATCCCCCCAAATTCTAGAGTATAATAGATATTTAATGTCATGTAAAAGAACTACACAAAGAACTAGACACGTGCAGGTGCATGTGACTGGTACATAGTAGGTGATCAAATAAATGTTTCAATTATTGCCTTCTTTTAAGGGGTGCAAATGTACTAAATTCTACATGAAAATACTATCTTAGCTGTTGTATCTTGAAAACGTTATGTTTCAAATAACAGTTATATTTCAAACTGACATAACTGCTGACAGCTGGATCCAGGAGGAAAGCCAAAATGCGAGGCAGGATAGAACAGCCTTATCCTGTCCTAATCATTCTGAAAAGACTTCCTAAAAAATGGGTATTTCAGCAGCTGCTCGAAGGTTGGGATCAAGTCAGCTTTGCTAAATTCAGATTAAGTACCAAGCATCACTTTAAAAAATGCAAATCCGTATCTTTAGTGTGGTTTACAGCTTAGATTATCTCTCCTTTACTCACACTTGAACGTAAATCAGCTTAAGCAGATATTTTCTTTATGCTGATGGAATAGGATAAAGAACTTAGAAAAATAAAGAAAACAATTTAAGGAAGATGGGTCCTACCCTAGGAGAGGTCAGAGAACACTAAGATTTTCACGAATATTTTAGTTTTACTTTTCATGAGTAAAATTATTGACAGTAAATCTAAGTCATTGAGATTTTCATATGCAAATGAAGAGTCTGCAAACGTCTGATAGGTACTCCTGCATTACCAAGTGGGTACAGAAAATGACCATCACCAGAACACAGGATTTTAATCCTCATGTTCAAGGACAGTTTTACTCCAAGTATGGCATTGAACTTATTCTTGGAAACACACAAGAATTTATCTTGGAGAAAGAACCCCCAAATAAAGATCCCAGATTTTATGAGTAAACCATTCCATTCCCCAGACCCGTAGTTTCACACCTCCGTGGGCTCTCTAAACATCAACAAAAACTCCAAGGATTTGATGGGAAAATGGTGTTAAGTCTCATGTTGTTTCAGGAATTTCCCAATATGCACTAAATTACCTTTTGGGCCATATGAGGCCAAGTGGTAGGAAATCATTCCATTGGACACAGATGGCAGTCCTAATGTTCCCAACAGCTGTTGCACACACACGAAATCAGATTGGGATTAACACTTACCTTCAGAGTGGTCGCGCCCGGATGGGATGGCTTCTCTGTAATATATACCAAGCTTAGCTTATGTCTCTGAAACCACATGACCTCACAGGTCTTGGGAACATTTGATCCAGGAAATCTGAACTTAGGCAGAAATCATAAAGCATCAGGTACATGTTAAGCAGGAATTTATCTGCTTTTTGTCTGAAGCAGCCTCACATCCATCCAGCTTTTGTCTGACTCTGAGTGAAATATTTATAGGCAAGCTGCTTTCTAAGGCAGAGTTACAGACCTATTCAGGTTGGGCGTGAAATGTCTCTGCCCATTGAACACCTGCTGAAACCTAAATTCCAAGTGCAACCAGACCCAAGATGATTTGTATCACCGTGAGCTTTAGCACTGTTATCAGGATGGTAACCAAAGTAGAATTAAGATCTCCACAGACCCCTTTAGTCTTGCCTTGGGAAAGAGAAATACTTCCTTTAGTGAGGTTACCATTTTACAGCTTCTGAAATTCTCTTTGACACTATTTTCAGAACCATGGCTCAGTCTTCCACATAGACTTACAACTACATCCTTAGAGGGTAGATTTGATTTTTTGAAATAGCCAAAGGTCATTCAGAGCTAAGCCTGATGATTTAGGAAGGGGATTGAGTTGGGTGATACTAATATATGTCAAAATGAGGTGTGACTTTTAATTAGTAAGGTGGATTTTATTTTATGGCTTATACATATGGTCTTCGGGTAGTTCCCAAACTTTTCTTTTTAATAATGCCAATATTGTAGCAATTTGAACTTAAATACTAGAAGGTTTGCTTATAAATAATCAGTTTTACTACCTAGTATAACAGTTTATATTTGACCCTAATAAGGGCAAAGTTATAGAAGGATGTCAAGAAGCCCTTTTTGGGGGCATTTCAGAAAGAAATAAGCAAATGCCTAGGAATTCCTGATGCCTAACTCTGACACTCTTCAATTTTCAAAATTATTAGTCAAGAGGCCACATTTTTTTCTTGCTTTTAGGTCTTACCAAGGGTCTACTAATCAGCTTTAAATTTGCTTCTGTTATTCTCTTTCATGTTCTCAAAGTTTATGGTTTATCTGTAAAGGACAAAAGCTCAGTAGCTTGAACTGAGATATTTATTTCTCTTTCATTTCATTCAAGTTTAAGCAGTCCAAGGTTAATATGCTGACTCCTGAATTTTGGAGTCTTGAGCTCCTCTAATCTTTTTGTTCTTTTTTCACACGTGGCTTCCATATTGACTCCAAGATGGTTGCTCCAGCACCAGCCATCACATCTACATACCAACCAATGGAAGAGATATTACTTTTCTTTCAAGGATGCAGTCTGGACATTGTATGTACTGCTTTATCACTTCTGTTCTAATTTCCTTGACCAGAATTTATCTGCAAGCAAAGCAGGGAAACAGTTTAACACCCAAGCATGTGTCCAACTAAAACCTGTGAATTTGTTATTAAAATGAAAAGGAAAGAGTGGATATTAGAGAAAACAAGCAGTCTCTGACACACAAAATATTTGATAGAATTTCATTTAATGTGACATACAGTTTTGGCTGTGCCTTGAGGAATTAGGGAAGGGAAGATGCCCCCATCATGGATAGGAAAGCTGCCAGAGTCACCAGTTAAGTGATGACAACAAAGAAGTGAGTAGGCATCTAGGTCAGGTGAGAATGCGGGGGACAGTCGGGATGAATTTGTGGACTTCCACACTTTCGGCAAGAAATCTCAAAACTAGTTACACTGAACCTTATGCTATGTGTTAGAAGAGACAGTCTACTGGCATTTCGATATCAAAGAAGAAAACAATCCCAGAAAACTACAGACTGTAGGGACATCTAGGCTTACCTTAGCCCCCTATTAAAAGAGAGTATTCCCAGTTCTGAAATACCAACCTTTCACTTACCAGGGCAGAAGCCTCTTCTGCCATGTTTGAGATTTGTTTGTTTGTTTGTTTTGTTACAAATGGCTACTGAACAGAGAGGGGTCATGGTTAAGGAAAATAATAATTTAAGAGTGTGTGAGCTTACTTGGAAATAAGTTGGAAAGAATTTTTAAACTCCCTGTTGTATCTATTTGTCAACTGCTATAGAATTAGCTCTACTCCATAAAGTGAAAAGAGTATTTAATAAGTTTAAGATCAAGAAATTCTACGTCTGGCTTCATCACCATATGGTGGGGATTGGTGCCTCCTATTCGGGAAATACCCCCCCATAAGGCAAAATTTCTCTCTTTTTTTTTTTTTTTTTTGTTTGAGGAGGAGTCTTGCTTTGTCTCCCAGGCTGGAGTGCAGTGGCGCAATCTCGGCTCACTACAAGCTCCACCTTCTGAGTTCACGCCATTCTCCTGCCTCAGCCTCCCGAGTAGCTGGGACTACAGGCATCCACAATCATGTCCGGCTTATTTTTTGTATTTTTAGTAGATACGGGGTTTTACCGCGTTAGCCAAGATGGCCTTGATCGCCTGACCTTGTGATCCACCCGCCTCGGCCTCCCAAAGTGCTGGGATTACAGGCGTGAGCCACTGTGCCCGGCCGCATTAGCATCTTAATACTTATGAGAATATCCCTCTCACCACTAAGATTCACAAAAGTCCAATTGTACCCAGTACCCAAGAACACTGAGAATTGTCTTCATTGTGCATGTGTTGAGAATGAATGCTATATATGTTTTAGAGTAAACTTACAAGAAGACTATAACTTAAAAAAATTGAAATGATAAGATATGCCTTGATTATACTCATCAAAAAAATGGAAGTGTCATAAAAGAATAACTCAAAGTTGATTATAAAATATGTAAAATCCACTTGCTTACAAATACTGCTGAGAAGTCAACTGTTGTGAAGATTTTCTAGAGCAGTGATTAAAAACCCAATTTTGCCAAAAGCCAAGCAGTAGTCAAATGGCGGCAGAGGGTAAAATATAACCTATGATATCCCAAATCCTGTTAAGAGAAGAATAAGAAAAACAGGAGGAGGAAAGAAAATTTTAACAGTGTTGGAAAAGATAGGGTGCCACCAGTGAATCAGTGGACCAGAAATGCTCAGTAATTCTTAAGTGATACAAAGCAGAGAAAACAGATCCTCATATATAAACAAATAACAACCAAAAGAGGAAATCAGTGCTCAGAATATGTCTGGAAGGAGCCTTCTGCAGGCAAAGAAGCAGTTCTAAGAGCCTATGAGGCCAGAACTAATTGTCACAAGAAGCCGAAGAAGAATGTGAGTTGTCCAACAGGGTGCTTGCATTTGCAGTTACATATGAGCGATTTTCCTGCCTCCTCTATACTAATCAGAAAGTAGCAGTGATAAAAGTGTCAGGGACAGAAAAACAGCAAAGTGCCCCAAAACACAGTAGCCCTAGAAGACACAGGGAACTCCTGTTTCCTAAACACAAGCCACCAGTCCCCCTCCTCCCCATCAGTAGAAGTTGTTCACCATAAACAGAAACAGCATTCTTAAAAAAATACAACTCAGGGACACCCATGAACATACAATCAGTCATTCCCAAACATTTTCAGAAAACAAGTACAAGAGAGGCAACAAACTCAACCCATGCAACTATCATCTGAGAAAATGGATTTAGGTGAGAAAACAGAAGACTCAAATATTTAGAAAATTTTGTGTTACTCATGTATTTGGAAGAGTCAGGAAGCTACTGCATCCATGCTAATAATCAAATACAGTTCTTGGAAATTAATATTTAGCTCATAAATATTTGTGTAATCACTAAAAATTGGAGAAACAACAAAAGGCATGCAGCTGATGTGAAAAAAATTATATGTGAGATCAAGCAAGTGATTAAGAATAAAAGATTTAAAAATGAAAGTATTATTAAAAAATTAAGAAGCACGGAACATAAATCTAGAAGTTCTAGTGTCTAATTTAATTTTAGTCTAAAGAACGAGAAAGCAAAGAAAACTTATTTAAATATTGTTAACATTTATTATTTTTACTAATTTAAGAAGTGACACAGCAACACTACTGAGATATATGGAGATTCTTTATGATATTCTCTCCTCTATTTCATGTTTGAAAATATCTATATTTAAATTAAGAAAAAAGACAACTAAGTCCTTGAGTAAAAATTTTTAAATGCCTACAATTATAGCTATCAGAGTGAAACTTCAGAACACAGAAGATGAAGGAGAAATGTTCCTGCCAAGGAAGAGAATCAAGCAGACACAGGTTTCTTATGCCAGATGATTGGGGTGTAAAAAGGAGGCGTAACAAGATGAGGCAATTTTAGAGAGCATAAAAGAAAGCCATGCAACTTTGGGCAAATAAAGTTTTAAAATTCTAAACAAATTACTCATTTCTTGGAAACATGTAATATACAAAAACTGGCTAAAGAAAGCATTTGACTAAATAGATCAATATTATTTATGAAATTTAAAAGTTTTCAAAGACATATTCCTAAATAACCCTCCAAATTCAAATCATTTTATTAGCAAGTTCTGCCACATTTTCAAGGAAACAATAATTCCTATGTTACATAAATGCTTACTGCATATTTTGAAAAAATGAAGTTCCCCTGACTCATTCTACAAACTTAGAATTGTCCTGACATCAGAACAGAACATCAATAGGGCACACACTGAAAAAGACAGTGAATCAAGATAATATATAAACACAGATGCAAAAATTACAGAGAAAATATTGGTATTAAATTCAGCATGAGAATAACAATATATAATGACTTGTCAGGCTTTGTCCGAAGAAAGAAAGTATTAGCCAACTTCAAGAAATATAAGAATAAAATTCATTACCTTAATAGATTAAAAGATAAATATCATCTAATTTTATCATCCACTCAGCAATATTTATTGAATGACTACTAGGTTCCAGGCACTGTTTAAGAGATTGGAGGCTGGGCATGGTGGCTCACGCTTGTAATCCCAGCACTTTGGGAGGCTGAGGTGGGCGGATCACAAGGTCAATAGATTGAGACCATCCTGGCCAACCTGGTGACACCCCATCTCTACTAAAAATATAAAATATTAGCTGGGCTTGGTGGCACATGCCTGTAGTCCCAGCTGCTAGGGGGGCTGAGGAAGGAGAATCGCTTGAACCTGGGAAGCAGAGGTTGTAGTGAGCCGAGATTGCACCACCGTACCACTCCAGCCTGGTGACAGAGCAAGAGTCCATCTCAAAAAAAAAGGGAGAGAGAGACTGAAGATACATCAGTACATCAGTTAACAAAGTACTAAAGATCCTGAATGTCCTATTCCAGCAGACCAAAAAAGCTATAGATTAGGTAGATACATAGATAACAACCAAGTAAACTGTACAGTATGTTAGAAGGTGATAAGGATCTTGGAGAAAAAACAGAACAGAATAGGAGGGATTGGAATTATCAGGGGGAGAATTTTGCAATTTGAAATAGGATGATTAGTAGAGATCTACCAAAACTGACTCAAGAAAAAATAGAAAATAGGAGTAGACCTACAACAGGTAAAGAGATTGAATCAACAATGTAAAAAACAAAATGCTCATAAAGAAAACTCCAGGACCAGATGGCTTCACTGGTGAATTCTGCCAAACATTTACAGAAAAATTAATCAAATTCTCCACAAACATTTCCAAAAAATTGGAGTGGAAAAAACACTTTCTAGCTCACTCTAAGAAGTCAATATTATTCTAATACCAAAGCCAGACAAAGACATTACAAGAAAATAAAACTGCAGATCAATATCCCTATGAATATAAATACAAAAATTCTCAACAAACCAAATCAAATAATATAAAAAAAATTATTATACACCATGACCACGTCCCCTTCCTAGGAACAGGCATGCAAGATTGGTCTAACATCTAAATATCAATCAATGTATTGCATCATATCAATACAATAAAAGCAAAAAACACATGTCGAAAGATGCAAAAAAATCATTTTATAAAATCCAATATCCTTTTATGATAATAATACCTAACTCACTAGAAGTAGGTGGAAGCGTCCTCAACCAGATAAAGGCTATCTACGAAAAAAACAACAGCTAGAGTTATACCTCATGGTGAAACACTGGATGCCTTCCCCCTAAAATCAGAAGAAGACAAGGAATTCCTCTCTCACCATTTCTATTCAACATTGTACTGGAGGTTCTAGTCAGGGCAGCTATGCAAGAAAATGAAATAAAAGCATCCAAACTGGAAAAGGGAAGTAAACTTTCTATATGCAGACAACATGTTCTTATAATAGAAAATCCTAAGAAACCAACTGACCTAATAGCTTCAGAAAGGTTGTAGGATACAAGTTTATTATACAAAAATCAACTGCATTTCTACATACTTGCAATTAACATACCAAAAATGAAATTAAGAAAGCAATTTCATTGAAAATAACATCAAAAAGAACAAAATATTTAGAAATATATTTAACAAAAGAAGTATAAATTTTATGTTTTAAAAACTACAAAACATTATTGAAAGAAATTTCAAGATCTATATAAAAAAAAGTGTGTGTTCATAAATTGCAGACTTAATATTATTAGAATGACAGTACTCCCCAAAGTGATCTACAGGTTTAATGCAATTCCTTTCAGAATTTCAGCTGATATCTTTGCAGAAATTGACAAGGTCATTCTAATTTTATAGGGAAACTTAAAGGATCCAGAGCAGTCAAAACAATCTTGAAAAAGATGGGCAAAGTTGGAGAACTCACAATTCCAATTTTTAAAACAAAGCAATCACAATCAAGACATCATAGACCAGCATAAGAATGGACATATAAATCAATGGAGTAAAAGAGAAACTCTGGAAATAAACTCATATCTGTGGTCAATTGATTTTTTTTTTTTTTTGAGATGGAGTCTCACTCTGTTGCCCAGGCTGGAGTGCAGCGGCACAATCTCAGCTCACTGCAACCTCCGCCTCATGGGTTTGTGTGATTTTTCTGCCTCAGTCTCCTGAGTAGCTGGGATTACAGGCACACACCACCATACCCGGCTAATTTTTGTATTTTTAGTAGAGACAGGGTTTCATCATGTTGGCCAGGCTGATCTCAAACTGCTGACCTCAAGTGATCAGCCTGTCTCAGCCTCCCAAAGTGCTGGGATTACAGGCGTGAGCCACCACACCTGGAAGTCAATTGATTTTTGACAAGAGCACAAGACATTCAATGGAGAATGAATATTACCTTCAACAAAAGGTGCTAGAACATATTAAGATGCAAAATAATAAAGTTGAACCTCTTCCTCACAGTATACACAAAAGGTACCAAATAGATCTAAAACTAAATATGAGAACTAAAACTATAAAACTCACAGAAACAAACTGCTTTGGTCTGAATATGTCCCTCAAATTGATGTGTTGCAAGTTTAATCCCCAATGCAATAATATTGGATAAGGGGTGCCTAATGGGAGGCTTTCAGATCATGGAGGCTCCACTCTCATGAATGGGTTAATGCTTCTGTAAAAAGGGCTTGCAGGAGTGGGTCTGCTCTCTTTCACTCTTTCCCATATGAGGACACCATGCTTGTCCCCACGTGCTCTTCTTCCTTTTGCCATGTGAAATCACAGCAAGAAGTACTTTGCCAGATCAAATGCTGATACCTTGATTTCAGACTACCCAGCCTCCAGAACTGTGAGAAAATGTGTTTCTCTTCTTTACAAATCACTCCATCTGTGGCATTCTGTTACAGCAGCACAAAATGGAATAAGACACAAACATATAGATAAATCTTTGTGACCTTGAATTTAGCAATGGTCTTTTCGATATGACATTAAACACAAGAAATAAAAAAATAGATAAATCGGACTTCATCAAAATTAAAAATGTCTATGCTTTAAAGGACACTATCAAGAAAGTAAAAAGACAACCTACAGAATGGGAGATATTTGCAAACCATATAACTAATAAGCAACTTGTACCTAGAATATGGAAAGAACTCTTACAAATCAATAATAAAAAGACAACCCAATTGAAAAATGGACAATAGATTTGACTAGACATTTCTCCAGAGAAGATATGCAAATGGCCAATCAGCACATGAAAACATGCTCGATATCATTCATCATTAGAGAATTGCAAATCAAAACCATAGGAAACACTACTTCACATTCACTAGGATGGCTGCAATCAAAAAGTCTGCTAATAACAAATGTTAGTGAGATTTTAGAGAAATTGGAAACTTCATACGCTGTTGGTAGGAGTGTATGAAAATGCTGTAGCCATTTTGGCAAACAGCCTGATAGTCTTCAAAACATTAAACATAACCAAGTGACTTTGCTCCTACATCCAAGAGAAATGAACACATATGTCTACATGAAAACTTATGTTCATGGCAATATTATTCATGGTAGTCAAAAGGTAGAAACCACTCAAATGTTTGTCCAAGGATGAATGAATACACAAAATATGGTATATTTATACAATGGAATAGTATTCAGTCACAAAAAGTAATGAAGTACTGATGCATGCTACAACATGGATAAACCTTAAAATATTATATTAGTGAAAGTAGCCAGTCACAAATGACCACATGGTATATAATTCCACTACATGAAATGTCCAGGATAGACAAATCAATGGAGAGAGAAAGAAGTGGTTGCCTAGGGAAGGGGGAGAACTGGGGGGTAATAGCTAAGGGATGTAGGGCTTCTTTTTGAGGCAATAAAAATGTTCTGAAATTGATTGTGATGATTGTTGCACAATTCTGTGACTATATAGAAAGCCATTGAATTGTGCATTTTAAATAAGTAAATAGTATGGTATGTGAATAGTTCTCAATAAAGCTGTCACCAAAAACAAAAAATCTTAATGAACTAGGAGAAAAATCTTAATCTGATAAAAGATAACCATCAGAGAACAATAAATATCAAATTAAGTTCCCATTAAAAGAATAAAATTGGAATGCTAGCTTCCGCTGCTTCATGTATAGCCAAAAGTGGCCAAAGGATATCAACAGGCACTTCTCAAAAGAAGACATTTATGCGGCCAACAAACATATGAAAAAAAGCTCATCATCATTGGTAATTAGAGAAATGCAAATCAAAACCACAACGAGATACCATCTCACTCCAGTTGCAATGGCGATCAGTAAAAAGTCAGGAAACAACAGATGCTGGAGAGGATGTGGAGAAATAGAAATGCTTTTACACTGTTGGTGGGAGTGTAAATTAGTTCAGCCATTGTGGAAGACAGTGCGGCGATTCCTCAAGGATCTAGAACCAGAAATACCATTTGACCCAGCAATCTCATTACGGGTATATACCCAAAGGATTATAAATCATTCTACTATAAAGACACATGCACATGTATGTTTATTGCAGCACTATTTCCAATAGTAAAGACTTGGAACCAACCCAAATGCCCATCAATGATAGACTGGATAAAGAAAATGTGGCACATATACACTATGGAATACTATGCAACCACAAAAAGGATGCGTTCATGTCTTTTGCAGGGACAGGGATGAAGCTGGAAACCGTCATCCCCAGCAAACTAACACAGGAACAGAAAACCAAACGCTGCATGTTCTCACTCAAAAGTGGGAGTTGAACAATGAGAACAAATGGACACAGGGAGGGGAACATCACACACTGGGGCCTGTCAGACAGTGGGGGGAAAGAAAAGGGAGAGTATTAGGACAAATACCTAATGCATGTGGGGCTTAAAACCTACACGATGGGTTGATAGGTACAGCAAACCACCGTGGCACATGTATACCTATGTAACAAACCTGCACGTTCAGCACATGTATCCCAGAACTTAAAGTAAAATTTTAAAAAAGAAAAAATAATCTGTATGTATAAAACTATAAAATAATACCAAAGAACATAAAAGAAGAATTAAATAAGTGGAGAGGTATTTCATTTATTGGACAAAAATCTTCATGTTGTGCTGATTTTAAATTTTGCCCAAATTAACATACAAACTCAAATAATTCTCATCTGAATCACTGTGGAATTGTATGGAGTATAACAAGCCAATTTTAAGGTTCATGAAGAAGAGACAATGTATAAGAATAGCCAAGAAAAATGTCAATAAAACAGAACAATGAGAGGCAACATGCCTTGTCCTGTGTGAGCATTACAGTTTGCTGACTCGCTGTTCTGTTTGAATTCTTATATCTTGTTTGGATCGTTTAGAAAGAGAATGTGTGGATGCATTCCTTGTAATACATATTGCCACCTTTCTTCTTTCCCACAATATTTGTCAGGAATTATTTGGTACTAATATCAAGACATATGAATGTCTGAGCTGCATTTTATAGACATCACATTACAAATCATTTGGGATAGGGAAAAAGTAAAAAATAAAAGAGCACCATACTATCTTTATGAACAAGAGACATGAGCCAGAGGCAAAATGAAGTAGGACTTTTTTTTTTTTGAGATGGAGTCTCTGTCGCCAGGCTGGAGTGCAGTGGCGTGATCTTGGCTCATTGCAACCCCCCGCATCCTGGGTTCAAGCGATTTTCCTGCCTCAGCCTCCGGAGTAGCTGGGACTACAGCCGCGCGCCACCATGCCGAGCTAATTTTTGTGTTTTTAGTAGAGATGGGGTTTCACCATGTTGGCCAGGATGGTTTCGATCTCTTGACCCCATGATCAGCCCGCCTTGGCCTCCCAAAGTGCTGGGATTACAGGCATGAGCCACTGCGCCCGGCCGAAGTAGGACTCTTTAAGAAAACCAGTGTGTGAATTTTTCTGTGGGTCATTACCTCCACTAAAATCCAAAAGACAAGTCACCTTAGAGTTGGTTGGAATGGCCTGTCTTATCAATACCATAGAACAATATCACCTCACATGATGGTCAATGTCATTTCTTTCATTGCTGTAAAAAGCTTGAGGTCCTGCCTTTTTAAAACCAGATGCTTTTGGCCAAAACTCTTATCCCATTTCCCTGACTCAGCAGGTGCTGGACACTAAGGGGACTTTTACTAAGGAGGCTAAGCCTTCCATTTTATTTGAAACAGATGCACAAAAGGAACTTACGAGGAGACTAGATTTCATATTTTATGAAAGAATTACTTTTTGTGTACACATTCACAAGGCACTAAGTATAAATAAACGGTAAATGTAAGTGGTAAATGTTCCCAGGGCATTCTGTTAAGACCCCTGTTATCACACTTGTCTGCAATTATTTTAATTATTTGTTTACATGTCCCAACTTAGTGCTTGTCAAATCACAGACACTCAGTAAATATTTGTTGAAGAGATGGAAAAAGAAAGAGAGGAAGAAAGAAATTCCCACCATCTCAAGACAACAGGGCTATATTATCTAATCACTGTGTTTGTAGTTATTTTCAGTCTATGACTTAAAGATGGGTTTCTGTTTCAAATCATCAGTAGTCAGTTGGGACCCCTTACACATGGATACTTGGGTACCCTACCCTAGTCACCCTGGCTTGATTGACAAAATCCAGAGGGTTTGTTATCTTCAAAACTTCCTGTTCCTTCAACTGACACAGTGATTTTCTCTCTCAGGAGCACAAGCATCTCTGTTCAGGGATAATTACCTAAAGCTCAAAGCTGTCCACACACTACCTGATGGTGAAATCTCTTTTCTCATGGCCTTCTTTCAGCAACCTCATCAAAATATGCGCGGTAATGTTCTGATTCCTCTTAAACCTAGTTACAGTCTCATTTCCTTAACTGGGCTCCAGATATCCCATTACTGTCAAAATTAACCTTCAGTCCATAGTGATCCTTACTCCAAAATTATGGTCTTTTCTCCCAGGCCTAATTTTCCCCTGTCTCAGCGGCTTCATGCTCTATACTCTTTAACTGCCAACTGCATCATGGATACTAATAGGCCTTCTTCAGTTCACATTCCAGGGACAAATTTCTTTAGAACTAGACTTCTGCCTTCCAGTTTAAAATTGCTTCCATTTTCTCATTAAAATACCTTTTAAAACAGGGGAAAGACAGGAAACTCACACTACTGTAAACTAAAATTGACAAGTAGAGAATATAAGGGTCTAAGATGAATCTCTATTGACTAATGAGGCTGGTGGTGAGGTCTGTCTAGAAAATTCCACTCACAGGGTACTCCTTCAAAGTATCTCCCCTCTCCGGTTTCCTGGCAACTCACCAGGAAAAGTGTTTCTAAGCCACTATTCACCTTTAAAAGATGCAGAATTGATTCTTTATATATTCAACGAAAAAAGACAAATGACGAAAAACGTATTTGTTTAGCAAAATGTTCACAAATTATTGTTATTATTTTACAAATGACATATTTTCAACTGCAGGAGAACATTGGAGTTGTTCTTTTTATTTATTTTTATTTTTTATCATCATCATCATCATCATCAATATTATGACTAGAGACAGAGTCTCGCTCTGTTGCCCAGGCTGGAGTGGAATGGTGCAAATCATGGCTCACTGCAGCCTGGAAGTCCTGAGCTCCAGTGATGCTCCTGCATCAGCCTCCTTAGTATTTGGGATCACAGGCGTGTGCCACCATGCCCCACCCGGTTAATTTTTAAATTACTTGTAGAGACAGAGGTCTCACTATGTTGCCCAATCTGGTCTCTAACTCCTGAGCTCAAGCGATCTATCCGCCTCAGCCTCCCAAAGTGCTGGGATTACAGATGTGAGCCATCGCGGCCCGGCCAGAGTTGTTTTTAAATATAGGAGTACTTCTAAGTCTCAGCAACCTTTTAGGTCTTAAGAGCCTTCCATGGGGAAAAAGACTTCCTGGTCTGCCCCAGACATGGAAAGAAAGAGGAAAGGACCAAGTATGAGGATCAGAAGACTGGGCATCATTTCCCTAATCAAATCCCTTCCGTGGGTCCCGATATACTGAACAGAAATTTCAAAGCCTCTGCTCTGGTGTGACAAGACCACACATGATTAGACCCTGCTCCTCCCAAGCCTCTCTATTCTCTGGGACCTCCCTTCCCACTGCTCCCCCTGCTGCTTCTGCCCCAGCCACACTGGCCCCCTTCCTGTCCCTCCCACATGAGGCCTTTGCTGCCCCAGGCCGTTTGCACTTACGACCACCTCTGCCATAAACACTTGCTTTGCCGGCCAGCCACATAACTTCTTTCTGACCAGTTCCTACTTCATCAGCCCCACTCTCACTACTCTTTCACACTGCTTCACTCTATCCCTTACCCACCTTATCGCTCTGTCTTTTTTTTTTGAGATGGCGTCTCGCTCTTGTCACCCAATCTGGAGTGAAGTGGCCCGATCTTGGCTCACTACAACCTCTGCCTCCCAGGTTCAAGTGATTCTCCTGCCTCAGCCTCCTGAGTAGCTGGGACTACAGGCGCCCGCCACCATGCCAGCTAATTTTTATACTTTTAGTAGAGATGGGGTTTCGCCACGTTGCCCAGGCTGGTCTTGAACTCCTGACCTCAGATGATCCGCCTGCCTTGGCCTCCCAAAGTGCTATGATTGCAGGTGTGAGCCGCCGTGCCTGGCCCTTAATTCTCCTTATAGCACCTTCTCACCACATGACCATATGTATGCATGTATGTAAGTATGTATGCATACATTTCCTGTCTGCCCTTGCTAGATTGTTGTTCAAAGTGAGCAAAGACTACAGACTTTTCACTGCTATATCCCTTTGCCTGGAACAGGGCCTGCCATTCAGTAAATATCTGTTAAATTCATAATACATCAGTAATGGGAGAGGGAGAAAGGATTTGTTGAAAACAGAGAAAATGGGGATCCTCCAATGACTGCTTTATCCAAATCGCAAACCGATGAAATTGATAACCCCTTCCCAGCACAACCGTCAGTCTATTTCTACATACACTAGTGAATAATGTATTTTATAAATATCAAATTGATGTATGTGGAAAATTAGCTGGGTATAACAGGGATCAATACCATAGAATGAGCTGTAAGTATGAACAACGGCGGAACTCATGGCATTGGAAAAGATGGGAAGAGAAAACCCTACGCCATCAATCAGGGATTCAATTCAAAAAGGTAAAGAGTAAGAAGATTTTCTGAAAGCAACTTTGGCAGCTCCAAATCACAGATGGCAAGCCTACAGGGCCAGGCAGGGGACATAAACCAGTGAAGCCGCCTGAGATGGAGCGGGGAGGGGCAGGACTGTGGAGAACTGGACAGCAGATGCAAAGGAAGCAAGTAACTGCGAGTCAGCTCCATTTGTTGTTAACCTTGGAAAAGAACCAGCTTTGCCAGATCTTCCAATGTTTCAAGAGATAACGAAAATCTGATTTGTGTGTGAAACTACGTAGCAACCAACTTCTTTTTTTTTTTTTTTTTTTTTGAGATGGAGTTTCACACTCTGTCACTAGGCTGGAGTGCAGTGGCCGATCTCAGCTCACTGCAACCTCCACCTCCCGGGTTCAAGTGATTCTCCTGGCTCAGTCTCCTGAGTAGCTGGGATTACAGGCACAGGCCACCACGCCCAGCTAATTTTTGTATTTTTAGTAGAGACGGGGTTTCACCATGTTGGCCAGGATGGTCTCGATCTCCTGACCTCGTGATCTGCCCACCTCAGCCTCCCAAAGTATTGGGATTACAGGTGTGAGCCACTGTGCCGCGGCAAACAACTTCTAAAAATTAAAGCACTTAGTTGGGGCAACCCTGAGGAAACAAAATGCACCTTCTAGAGTGTGGAATCCATGGGTCCCGAGCTTGCAACCTCTGCTCTTTAAGAATAATTAAGAGGATACACAAGGCAGCCTGAGGATCGGTACTTGGGTTTATGTATAATTGGAAGATAGCTTGAGTCCTTTTGCTCAGCTATTGACAGGAATAATATCTGCATCATGAAGTTGTGGCAAGGCTTTGATGAGATGACCTAGAATACCTAGCACACGAACATAGTACCATTAGTTTTTCTATTAAATGGTACCTTTGCTCAATAATTGTACCCTCCTGCTAAATTATTGTACGCATACGGACTGTGCATATGCCATAATGCATTTCATTTGTTTTCACAAGCTGAACACCCTCATGTAATAAGCACCAGATTGAGAAGTAGAAATTACTCCAAATCCTCCCAGCGAGGATATCCCCCCTTCTTCTTCTTCTTCTTCTTTTTTTTTTTTCTTTTTCTTTTCTTTTGAGATGGAGTTTCACTCTTGTTGCCCAGACTGGAGTGCAATGGCCCCATCCCGGCTCACCGCAACCTCCGCTTCCCTGGTTCAAGCGATTCTCCTCCCTCAGCCTCCCGAGTAGCTGGGATTACAGGCATGTGTCACCACACCCAGCTAGTTTTGTTTTTTTTAGTAGAGATGGGGTTTCTCCGTGTTGGTCAGGCTGGTCTCGAACTCCTGACCTCAGGTGATCCACCTCCCTTGGCCTCCCAAAGTGCTGGAATTATAGGTGTGAACCACTGTGCCTGGCCTTTCCCCATTCTTAAGAACAACTTCTAGCATGACTTCTTTTACCTATGTTAGTTTTGCCTATATTGTATTTTATATAAATGGAATCATGCAGAATAGATATGTTTACACACATACAGAGTTTTGTGTCTAGCTTATTTCACTAACATTACGTTTGTGAGACTTGTTCACACTTGTAGTTGTAGATTGCCCAATCTAATTGCTCTACGGTATTCTGCTGTGTGAATATTCCACAGTTTCTGCATCCATTCCATTATAGATGGGCATTGGGTTTTCCAGATTTTGACTATTACAAATAATGTTGCTGCAAACATTCTAGTATAATCTTTTGGTGAGCCTGTGTGTGCATTCCTGTTGGGTATATTCCTAGGAATCAAATTGCTAAGCCATAGAGTGTTGGTGGGGAGGCAAAACTTTACCTCTCCCCTCTTAGGGTCTCCAGCTGGGCCTGAGAATGAAATTGACTTAAGACTGATTAACATGTGAAAAGCAGACAGATTTTTTTTTTTTTAGATGTACATAGGACCCCATAGGAAAATTAAAACCCAAAGAATTGGCAACACTTAAGTGCTTATCTACTGGGTTGAACAGACAGATAACTGTGGAAAAGTAACTAAAATATAGGAGGCGACCAAAAGAAGATAAGAGTCATTTCAACAAAGTCTGTCCCTTACAGATTTCTCAGTGCCGGCTCCTTGCCTCTGGGGATAAGGATTTTCCTCTCCTTCCTCCTGGTAAAGAGAGGACATCTTTCTTTTCTTTTCTTTTTTAATAGGATTGTTTGTTTGTTTATTTTTGAGATGGAGTCTCACTCTGTCACCCAGGCTGGAGTGCAGTGGCACAATCTCGGCTCACTGCAACCTTTGCCTCCTGGGTTCAAGCGATTCTCCTGTCTCAGCCTCCCGAGTAGCTGGGATTACAGGTGCGCGCCACCATGCCCAGCTAATTTTTGTATTTTTAGTAGAGATGGGGTTTTGCCATGTTGGCCAGGCTGGTCTCGAACTCCTGACCTCAAGTGATTCACCCGCCTCGGCCTCCCAAAGTGCTGGGATTACAGGCGAGAGCCACCACGCCCTGCCTGAGAGGGCATCTTTCACTTGGGAGTTCGATCTCCTGTTTTCAGGAAGAAAAAGGGAGGTCAGAGCGCCCCTCCTGCACCTGCTGGTCTTCAAGTGCCTGTAGAGCAGAGTAACCCTTGCGTCAAAGTGGCATCTTTGGAGGTGGCATATTCTGCCACCCTTCAGTATGCATGTGATTATCTTTAGTTAATACTATGAAACATTGTACAAAGCATTGCACTCCAACTATCAATGTTGCTTCTTCACACTCTCACCAACACTTAGTATTGTCAATCCTTTAATTTTAGCAGTATTGGTGGAGGTGGTGTAATAGTGGTCGATTTGCATTTTCCTTTTCACTAATGAAGTTGAGCCCTTTTTCTCATAATGAGTGGCCACTTGGATATTCCCTTTTACACAGTGTCTGATCAAGTCTTTTGCCCATTTTTCCATTGGGTTCTCTGCCCTTTTCTTAATGATTTGTAGAACTTCTTTTTATTTTTCTGGTGAATAGATTTTTGTGGAGTGGACAGAGAGAGAAAGGGAGAAAAAGAGAGAGTGGTTGAGAGAACTTCTTCTTCTATTGGCTGCTTTTTCACCATTTGTATAGTCTCTTTTTAAAAAGTTCTTACTTTTTAAATAGTTCCATTTATCTTTTCTCCTTTAGGATTAACATCTTTTGTACCCTGGTTTAAAAAAAAATCCTTTTCCTTCTCTGAGGTCATAAAGGTGTTCTCTTGAGTTGTTACCTAAAAGCTTTATTGTTTTAGCTTTTACATTTTACATTTAAATCTGGAACTGATTTTGTGTATGTATGAGTTAGAGGTCAAGATTGTCTTCTTTTTCCATATGGTTACCCAATGACCCAGCACCTCATTTTGAAAGACCACTCTCTCCCCACCATTATTTTTTTTTAATTTTTATACTGCTGACTCATGTTGGATTTGTGATCAACCAAACAGCACAGGTGCTTTTCATATGGACTGCATTACACCAGCTCTCCTATCCTGCACATATTGCACAAGTAGTTTACGTGTTTGTTGGTTGGTTTTACCTAAACATGGGACTTAATACTTATTCTTGATAAATTTTATCCTACTTTTTTCAACCTATTATTTCCATTGGTCAAGAAATTTATAAAATTTTATGTTACATCCTAGTACATTTGTCATATCCAACAGGTTTAATAAGCATGTCTTTTCTCTTTTCACGCAAAGTATTTAAAATATGGAAG
This sequence comes from Homo sapiens, assembly GCF_000001405.40. NCBI lineage: Eukaryota > Metazoa > Chordata > Mammalia > Primates > Hominidae > Homo > Homo sapiens. The sequence continues at coordinate 14,482,620 of NC_000017.11, read as the reverse complement.
AGGACCAAGCCTTATATATATAGTCCCTGTGTCAAGCCACTAAGGAATGTCCTCTAGGTAAGCACTGATCAACTCATCAATCATTGAGTGACACAGTGATCAGTCAATTATCTGCGTATCATGCAGCCATGTTTCCTTCTCCACCTGTCTTTCATACCTCTGTGGTCATTCATTTTTAGACCTACTTTAGGTCACCAATATATTAATACTTCCCCCAAATCAGTGCCCAAATTCAAAACAATGCCCAAATAGCAATTCAACAGCACAGTAAAATCTTTCTCACATTCAGAAAGCAAATCTTCCCAATGGTTTAAAAACATGCCAGGTCCCCCAGAAAGAAGAGAACCCAACAAACTCCTAGCCAACCACAATACATGGGATCCCTACCCCTAAGTCACCACCCCTAATACATACCATAACAACACTTGTCAAGCACGTGCTCATCCTCATCCCCTTCTTGTGGCAGGCCAGTGTTCTTTGGGGGAATTTTATGGAGAAACAGTTACCACTCTCGTCCACGTGTTCTGGGAGAAGTTGACTTCATCTCATCCTTTCCCATTCTCCAAGGGTAGACTACATGACTTAGACCAGGGCCAGTTGGCAAACTCTTTTGTATAAAGAGCCAGGAAGTAAATATTTTAGGCTTTGTGAGCCACACAGTCTCTGATGTAACTATTTAAGTCTGCCATTGTAGCACAAACCAGCTATAGACTATATGTCAACAAATGAGCATGGCTGTGTTCCAATAAAACTTTATTTGCAAAAATGGCATAGTTCGCCAACTACAGATCTAGACTAAGCTGGTCAGTCATTTCATACCATTTGGCCATTTTGATTGGCTCAAGCCAGTCCAATTAGGTCAAATAAGCCTCCATTCTAGGACTCTGAAACATGGGGGAAGCAGGTTTTCTCTCTCCTGGACCAGACAATGCTGAAAATGCAAGGCTGAAGCTGCAGAGGGACCCCACAAGGTGCCCAGAATGGAGGCTTCACAGAGGAAGTAGGGAAGAAGGGCAGATTTTGATTACATTCTTCAAACTGTAGATCTAGACAGACAAAAGCTCTTATGCAACACACACACAACAAAATCCTGTTTTTTTTCCCCTCAGTCTGACTTGATTTGTGCTTTCTAGTCCTTGCAACTAAAAGAGACTTATTAGACACCCACAATGATTCTCAATCCAGGTCTCCCACATGCTGCTTAGCAAGCAGGACCCTAGCTGCAATGTAAGTTCCCACATCTACCCCCATCGAATTGCACCAGCACACTCTATCTTTACTCAGCTGGGTTACGTCTCACCTACTCTATAAGGTCTGGGTGACCACATTGAAATGAACAAAATCTCATTTATCACCTATATTTTATAAAGGTGTTATGAAAACTATATCTATAATTTAAGAAATATGTAATAACAATTATCAAAATGATGATTTCTTTGCAATGCTAACATAAAGTATTAGGCAAAAATGGATTTTAGTGACAGGACCCTGGAGAAAGTAAGGTAGCATTTTTCAAAAAGATCTCTCCCTGTAACAAGTGTGGCAGACATTGTTCTTGGCCAGTCTCTACCCACCAAACTGCCACCTCTACCCTCCTTCTCTGTTGTCAAACACCTGGTTTTGTTCAGGATGTGGGGAAAGGGTTCTGTTCTCAAGGAAGAGGCCTCCTCTGCCAGGCCTGGGATGAACCAATCATGGCAATCCCTCTCCCTATTGGAGAGGGATCTGCCTCTCCTGCTCACCTCCACAGCTTCTCCTGTAGCAGGTGCTCATCTCATGAAACACATTTCTGAAAAATAAGACCTGGAGGGGAAGTCTGGTGTATGTGCTTCTGAAAGAACTTTCTATCTAGATTAAGGAGACAAAGCCTTAGCCTCTGCCCCTTCTTTTCTGCTTGGGTTGCCACCCTCTGGACCAATGACTAGTGTAGCTGCAGCCATCTTGTGACCATGAGGAAGAGAAGACAGCACCCAGAGAAGCTGACCCAGCTCACTACCATCATTGCTATGCTATGTCAACCTTGGTTCCACCACCAGCTAGTTCTTCAATGAGATGATTAAACATCTCCACTGATGAAGCCACTGTTCTTGCAGTTGTTCTACTACTTGCCACTGAAAGTATTCCTGACACATCAGAAATTTTAAAATATGCTTAACTCATCACTGCACAAGAATAACAGAAATCTGGGGGCCTCAAAATAGATACAGAAAGATTGTTTAGAAATAATGTCATCAGGCACAGACCTTTGAACTCATCCAAAATGGTCACTTGGTGATACCCTACGCCTGTTATTCCTACAGTTTGGGGTGCCACCCATAGACTTTCCATGTTTCCAACCAGCCAGCCCTGCTATTAAATATGCCAATTAGGCAAGGTCAAAAAAAGATCCACACAACAACTTTTTTTGTGTGGGCCAAGGGTTTCAAATTCAAAAGACAACAAAGGCTGTCATCCAACATGCATGCAGTAGAAACAAGACATGGTGGAATGGTGAGAACTGTGGAGAAAGACAGGGCACAAGTCCTGCCTATTTACATTCACATTCACTTTTGTTTAAAACACTAAGCTGACCAAGGAATTTCATGCAAGTCAGATTCAGCCTACAGGCTTCTGTTCTAGGTCATCACTAACTAAAGTGATTGTGTAATTTATTGTCCAAACCAGAAAACTTTGGAGAGTAAGAAGGGGTGTCAATAATTGTTCCTCCAGGACAACAGAGGTAAACTGTAAGTGTCCCAGCTAAACTGATACACATCAGTAACAATAGTCCCATGCATAAGGCAAGGGCAGATTTATCTTTAAAGGAGCTACTATTGGAGGCCAAGGTAAAGAGCTCAACCACCTCTGGCTCCTCTTCAAAATCAAGGTTCCCCCCTCAGGACCCACAAAACACAGCTGGAAAACTATTTATGCAGTGCAAGGCCTACTGCAGTCATTTATCTGGCATGGTCTAAGAGACAAACCTACTGACTTGTCAACTTGGTGATCCTCTTACTCTACTAGGTCTCTCTGAGGTCTTTAGAGAGGCATTTCTAGGAAGATAGAGCTGCTTTTCCTGAGCTCTGGTTGTTCTCAGGTCCTTAGATGAACACGGCAGCAATATGTTGTGCAAACAAGCAGACTGTGGTCTTGGAGGGTTTGGAAAGCCAGCCGTATGCACTGCAGTCCTCGGTCCCAACTTCATGAAGGCTCCTTCTCAAAAACTGGGACTTTGTTCTGCCACAGACATCAAATGGAGCCCTTGTGGACAGACCTATGCAGGTGCACACATGGCAAGCCCTGGCAGAGCCCGAGACATCCTCAATTTATTGTGAGATGAGACTACACAACCCACCTAGAGCACCACCTCCGGCCCACTCGTGCAGTCCTTCAAGGACTCTGGAACTGGAAAGATCAATCCACTTGGTGCTACACCCCAGTTATTTCTATTTACCTCATCTCTTCTCCATAACTACTTCGGCTTCTGCAAGGGATGAGAACTGTTTCCCATAAGAGGAAAATAAACATGTGTGCTGAAAACAGAGAACCAGGGAGGCTGAGGATCTTTAATATCAAAGAGGAAAATGAAATCACTTTAACCCTTGACTTGCACAATCATCGTAGCTAAAAACGATTGCTTCTTTCTGGAATAAAGGAAAAAGCCAAGTTCCTTAAAAGCAGAAATTACACCTTAACCATTCATCATGAAGCACCTATCATTTATCACAGAGGCTGACACACACTGGGTGCTCTATATGTTTCTTGGCTAATCTCAGGAAAAAACCTTAGAAATAAAAATTGTAAAGGGTTGAGCAACATACACTTTCTTTTCTTTCTGCTTCCATATAAGGAGATTATAGGTTCTATAATTTTTTGTTTTACTCTTTTAGGAACCCACTGGCAAGGGGAATTGTCATGAACACTTGTACTATGCAATACTTATCTTACACTCAACTGACAACATCTTTAGCTTTGACTTTTTGAAACGGACTCATCAAAACTGCACTCAACCCAAAGCGAGTGGTCAGCCAGGGAAGGCGGCAGAAAGGTGGAGGGAGTAAGGCTTCCCAGAAATACATCATTCCAAGTTTTCCAGCAAAGGGTTCTGTGGCTAGCATATTTGCATTTCAATGGAGCAGAAAGCGTCGTTCTTCTGTGTTTTCCCAGACTCTCAGGAGCTCCTTCTTGCAGTTTGATTAATCATTTCAAGCTTAACGTCTTTTAAAATATTCCTTGTACTGAGGAGAAGGTGGTGAAAGAGGGCTGGGGTGTGAGGATGGAGGGAAGAGCACAACAATGAACCGTCCCGCAGAAAGGGCCATTGCCGGGTTTCCTGCAGTGGTTACTCTGACCAGCAAGGGCCAGAGTGTGGCCGCTGGGCAGCTGGCAGGAAACCCAAGCCCATACCTGACATGGGATAAAGTCCTACTTGACCTACTCTTTCTCCCGGAGAAGAGCAGCAACTGAGAGATTGTTGTTTCATCATTCAACATCGAGGAATTTCCAAATTTATAATAAATTATATCTGGGGGAGAAATGAGGCATGAGGGTGCAGTTAATGCCAACATTCAACAAACAGCAAAAGAATTATACTGTGGCCTGTATCCTCAACCCTTTATATTCATGTAGGACGTTGAGAAGAATCAAACAGACACTGAGACCAGGGCTGCTCCCAAATATCTCTAGTGCTAGGCCCATTGTCATCTTTTTCTCTAACTTCATGTGGCAATAGGCGAGGAGGGACCTCCATCTTTTTGTTTCTAATTAAGGCGAAATTCAGCTAACATCAAATTAACAATTTTAAAGCATATGATTCAGTGGCATTTAGGACATTCACAATGTTGGGCAAACATCACTTCCGTCTAGTCCCAAAACATTTTTATCACCCAAAAGGAAATCCCATACTCATTAAGCAGTCACTCCTCCTCCTCCACACTCCCAACCCGCAGCCCCTGGCAACCCTGGACCTACCTTCTGTCTCTCTGCAGATACCCATGGTGGACATTGCATATAAATGGAATCATATAACATGGGGCCTTTGTATCTGGTTTCCTTCATTAGCATAATGTTTTCAAGGTTCGTCCCCACTGTAGCATGAAAAAGTGCTTCACTCCTTCTTATTTATTTATTTACTTATTTTTATTTTACTTTAAGTTCTGGGATACAGGTGCAGAACGTGCAGGTTTGTTACACAGGTGTACATGTGCCATGGGGTTTTGCTGCACCTATCAACCCATCATCTAGGTTTTAAGCCCCGCATGCATTAGGTATCTGTACTAATGCTCTCTGTCCCCTCGCCCCCCACTGCTCAACAGGCCCTGGTGTGTGATGTTCCCTTCCCTGTGTCCATGTGTTCTCATTGTTCAACTCCCACTTATGAGTGAGAATGTGCGGTGTTTGGTTTTCTATTTCTGTGTTAGTTTGCTGAGAATGATGGTTTCCAGCTTCATCCATGTCCCTGCAAAGGACATGAACTCATCCTCTTTTATGGCTGCATAGTATTCCATGGTGTATATATGATACATTTTCATTATTCAGTCTACCATTGATGGGCATTTGGGTTGATTCCAAGTCTTCGCTATTGTAAACAGTGCTGTAATAAACATACATGTGCATGTGTCTTTATAGTAGAATGATTTATAATCCTTTGGGTATATACCCAGTAATGGGATTGCTGGGTCAAATGGTATTTCTGGTTCTAGATCCTTGAGAATCACCACACTGTCTTTCACAATGGTCGAACTAATTTACACTCCCACGAACAGTGTAGAAGCATTCCTATTTCTCCACATCCTCTCCAGCATCTGTTGTTTCCTGACTTTTTACTGATGGCCATTGTAACTGGAGTGAGACGGTATCTCATTGTGGTTTTGACTTGCATTTCTCTGATGACCAGTGATGAGCTCTTTTTCATATGTTTGTTGGCCACATAAATGTCTTCTTTTGAGAAGTGTCTGTTCATAACCTTTGGCCACTTTTTGTTGAGGTTGTTTTTTTCTTGGAAATTGGTTTAAGATCCTTCTAGACTCTGGATATTAGCCGTTTGTCAGATGGATAGATTGCAAAAATTTTCTCCCATTCTGTAGGTTTCCTGTTCACTCTGATGATAGTTTCTTTTGCTGTGCAGAAGCTAGATCCCATGTGTCGATTTGGCTTTTGTTTTAATCGCTTTAGGTGTTTTAGGCATGAAGTCTTTGCCCTTGCCTATATCCTGAATGGTATTGCTTAGGTTTTCTTCTAGAGTTTTTATGGTTTTGGGTTTTACATTTAAGTCTTTAATCCATCTTGCTTCACTCCTTCTTATGGCTGAATAATATTCCACTGTATGGATAGATTCAATTTTGTTTATCCATTCATCTGTTGATGGACATTTGGGTTGTTTCCACCTTTGGCTATTATGAATAGTGGTGCTCTGAGCATTTGAATAAAAGTATTTTTTTTGAACACTTATTTTCAATTTTTTTTTTCTATATACCTAAGAGTGGGACTGCTGGGTCACATGGTGATTTTTTGTTTTACTTTTTTAGGAACCCACTGGCAAGGTTTTTTACACATTAATAAGGGGAATTGTCATGAACACTTGTACTATGCAACACTTATCTTTTATTTTTTATTTTTTCTTATTTTTTTCAGACTCCAAACCAGATCCAGGATTATGCAACACTTTCTAATAAAGGTAACTGTGATTCAAAAAAGTAAGAGGCTGCTTTCCTGCCCTCTGAGACCAGCAATGTCACTGGAGAGAAACGACAAAGAAAAGAAAAAAAAAGGGGGGAAATAAGAGAACAAGGCTGGACATTTTAAGCAAGTGTCAAGCAACAGGAAACAATTTCTCTAAAGATCTCCAGGACAGAAACACCCTAGGCTGGACACCCACTAAAGTGTCTCATCTCTTCTAAAGCTAAGGAAAGTCCAGGGAAACAAGACTGGGGACTTGGACCTTAGAAATATCTGTTTTGCCAGGAGAAATAGCATAAGCAAAACATAGAGGATAGTGGCAGGAGGGTATATGGACCACAAACTGCCCCCTCTGGCTGGAAGGATGGTTTGTGTCAAGGATCCTGGTTGTGGGGAGTTAGATTAGATCCAGACTATGGGGACCCTGGGGGCTGAGCAATAGCATCTATGAAATGAAAAGTCACTGAAGGTGTTTCATCAAAGGCAAGAAGCCAAGGAGGAGGATCCTGTATTGGGTGGAATTTCAGAAGAGAATGGAACAAAGGAGGCAAATGAGATAATTATTAAAATAGCCCAGGCATAATGTAATGAGAACCTCATGGACAATTACCAGGAAATAGGAGGCAAGAGGTACAAGAAAACAAAGAAAGAGTTTGAATAAAGAATCCATGAGACTTGATGATGCATCAGGGGATGCGGTCATGTATCAGAGGTCAGAGGGAGAGGAAGAGGAACAACTCCAAGGCTTTGAGCCTCAAATACCGGGATAAGGCAAGACTAGGGGCAACCATGAAATACCAAGATAATGTGACTATCATAAAAGAAGCAATTTTCAGTCAGTCAAGTGACTTAGCCCTCCATCAGGTTATTAAATTATTGACTGTTTTCCCAATGTCATTAAAGACTTGAGCTGGATCTCAGAAACCAAATGGTATCAAGTTAGACCTTCTGAATAAGGTAAGAGATGTTCTTGTTCGTGTCCTATGAGATCACTGTCATTAAAGTCGAGGAATCTGGGTACTCACTAAAGTGTCTCATCACTTCTGAAGCCAAGGAAGCTTCAGGGAAAGCAACTTGGGGAACTTTGACCTTAGAAATACCTGACACCAGCATTCTGACTAAAAATAAACAAACAAAAATGCCTACACATCTGCTAAGAATCCAATGCAGTTCTTAGAGGAACATGTGTTCCTTTCACTCAGAGCAAAACAGTGCCCGTTCAGACCTTACTCTAAACTATGATTTTCAACAGTGCCATGTGAGGCCACAAAAAATGAGAGCCTGCCACAGCATTCATGCCTAAAACAAGCAAGGCTTTTGAAGACGGAGGCCTCATAGCAGACTGACACATTTGCCTGCATAAAATTCTAAAGAAGCTCTTTACTGCACGACACCATTAATTATATTAAAGCGCAGGCACTGAACAGGGAAGAATATTTTCAACATATTTAATAACATTCTTATATATCAATATAAGAATTGTTATCAATTATATTTTTATCAATATAAGAATATATATCAATATAAGAATTGTTGAAGAATTTTTTTCAACAAATGTAATAACATTCTTATATATCAATAAAAAAAAGAAAGATATCTGCAATAGACTGAATGTCTTTCTCCCCCCACCAAAAAAAATTCATATGTTGAAATCCTAACTCCCAATGTGATGATTTTAGGAGGTGGCACATTTAGGAAGTAATTACATCATAAGGGTAAGGTCCTCATGAATGAGATTAATGCCCTTATAAAAGGGACCCCAGTGAGCTCTCTCAACTTCTTTCTGCTGTGTGAGGACATGAGAAGTTGGCTGTCTGCAACCTGGAATAGGACCCTCATCAGAAACCGACCATCCTGGCACCTTGATGTTGGACTACCCAGCCTCCAGAACTGTGAGAAATAAATGTTAGTTGTTTAAACCACCTATAGCTATGCGTCATAGCAGCCCAAAATGACTGAGACTGTACCAATCTTGAAAAAGAAGTGAGTGGCACATAATCCAGCAACCACACTCCTTGGTATTTGCACAAATGAGTTGAAAACTTACATCTACACAAAAAAAGCCTGCACATGAATGTTTATAGCAGCTTTATTCATAATTGCCAAAACTTGGAAGCAACCAAGATGTCCTTCAGTAGGTGAATGGATGAATAAACTATGGTACAACTACATACGTGGAATATTCAGTGCTAAAAAGAACCAACACAATAGAATATTCAGTGCTAAAAAGAAATGAGCTATCAAGATATGACAAGACATGGAAGAAACTTGTATGTATATTACTAAGTGAATGAGCCAATCTAAAAAAGTCACATACTGTATGATTTCAATGACATGATATTCAGGAAAAAGGAAAACTATGGCGACAGTAAAAAATCAGTTGTTGCCAGGGGTTGTGGGGAAGGAAGAATGAATAAGTAGGAACCGATGACTTTTTTTGCACAATGAGGCTGTTCTGTATGATGCTGCAGTGGTGGATACATGTCATTATACATTTGTTGTGACCCATAGAATATACAACACCAAGTGTGAACTGGGATGTAAATGATGGACTCTGAGTGATGATGATGTGCCAATGTAGGTTCACTGACTGTAGCAAATGTACCAGTGTGGTGGGGAGTGTTGGTAATGGGGGAGGCCCTCTGTGGGTGATGTAACGTGGGAACTCTGCACTTTTCACTAAATTTTCCTGTGTACCTAAAACCATTCTAAAAAATATAGTCTTTTTTTAAACAACGGAAATGAGCTAAGGCTATAAATAGATAATTCACAGAAGGAAAAATGCAAATGGCCAACGAATATTGAAAAGTGTTTAACCTTATTTGTAACCAAAGACATTCAATAAAGTGGTACCATTTTTGTCTATTAAATTGACCATACTTTAAAAAGTATAAGGATTCTTAATTACAGATAAACATACATGTTTATATATAGTCAATGGAAAAGTAAATTGCAATAGCTTTTCTAGATATACTTTGGCAAGATGTTCAGAAGGACTTGAAAAATGTGCATGCACTTTGCCCCCATTCTGCACTGAGAAATGTATGCTAAGGAAATAACCATGAATATTCATCAGACACAGCTGACATCAATAGAAAAATAGCAAACGGCCTGAATGTTAAAACACAGAGGATGGTTATTAAAAGCTACAATATACCTATATGATAGAACACTATGCAGCCATTAAAAATTGTACTGCTGAATGGCAACAAAAGCCAAAATTGACAAATGGGATCTAATTAAACTAAAGAGCTTCTGCACAGCAAAAGAAACTATCATCAGTATGAACAGGCAACCTACAGAATGGGAGAAAATTTTTGCAATCTATCCATCTGACAAAGGACTAACATCCAGAATCTAGAAGGAACTTAAACAAATTTACAAGAAAAAAACAAACAACCCCATCAATAAGTGGCTGAAGGATATGAACAGACACTTCTCAAAAGAAGACATTTATGTGGCCAAGAAACATATGAAAAAAAGCTCATCTTCACTGGTCATTAGAGAAATGCAAATCAAAACCACAGTGAGATACCATCTCACTCCAGTTACAATGGTGATCATTAAAAAGTCAGGAAACAACAGATGCTGGCAAGGCTGTGGAGAAATAGGAACGCTTCTACACTGTTCGTGGGAGTGTAAATTAGTTCAACCATTGTGGAAGACAGTGCGGCGATTCCTCAAGGATCTAGAACCAGAAATACCATTTGACCCAGCAATCCCATTACTGGGTATATACCCAAAGGATTATAAATCATTCTACTATAAAGACACATGCTCACGTATGTTTATTACAGCACTATTTACAATAGCGAAGACTTGGAACCAACCCAAATGCCCATCAATGATAGACTGAATAAAGAAAATGTGGCATATATACACCATGGAATACTATGCAGCCATAAAAAAGGATGAGTTCATGTCCTTTGCAGGGACATGGATGAATCTGGAAACCACCATCCTCAGCAAACTAACACAGGAACAGAAAACCAAACACCACAAGTTCTCACTCATAAGTGGGAGTTGAACAATGAGAACACATGGACACAGGCAGGGGGACATCACACTCCAGGGCCTGTTGGGGGACAGGGGGCTAGGGGAGGGATAGCATTAGGAGAAACACCTAATGTAGATGATGGGTTGATAGGTGCAGCACACCACCATGGCACATGTATACCTATGTAACAAACCTGCACTTTCTGCACATGTATCCCAGAACTTAAAGTATAATAAATAAAAAAAATTGTGCTGCTGAAGTTTATATCGACATACTTAGATGCACGTAAAATAGAGTGATACTTTTGTAAAGAAAGTTAAAGAAAAGTGTCTTGCAATCCTGTTTATAGTAAAATATAAATATTTATCACATATAAATATACACATTCTTCTTGGGTTTATGGAAAGGAAAAATGCGTGGAAGACTACTAAAGTGTAAATAGTAGTTATCTGTAGATGGGGGAGTTGTGAATTCTTTTCAAGAAATAGACTCTATGATAAAAGTAATAATGAAAACAAACACAAAAAAGCGAGACAAAACCTTAATTCCGCTTCTGCAATATGTCCACGACAACCATTCTGGGCCTTGCAGGCCAAGTTTGGTCTCACCCCATGACTGAGCAATGAACTATGTAAGCAGTTCTTAGACCGGAATGTAACCATTATCATGTCTTTTTCAGACAAACTTTCTCCAGCTCACCATTCGCCTCTCCCTCCCTGCCTTCTCCTCTAAACAAATATTGACACTAAGGGAGGGTGGAGTCCCCACTAACGTTCCATACTAATGAGTTGTGTTATTGTGAGGGCAGCTGCAGGCCAGACTGCAGCCTCCACATCTGCGCTGCTTGGAAACTGCTTCCCAGGAAGTGAGAAAGACCTCACAGTAGCCATAACTCCTCAGGAAAGAAGAATGAGAACTGCAAATGCAGGGTTTAGCTTTGTGGGTTTGGAAGGTTTATTATAACAGTCCAACTAGTACGCACACCTGGGAATTTGATGTGTTACCACAGGAGTTTTGAAAAGATCTGGAAATAAAGTCAACCTGTGCAAGGCGGGGAGAGGAAACCCCAAAAGCTGCCAGGTGCCAGGAGCTGTGAGTGTCCTGTAAAACAGGACAGGCACACATAAGTGAACACTGAGGGATGGGAAAGAGTCCCTTCATCTTGAATGTGGACCTTTTCTGAGATCATGTTCGGATTCTTCACCCAAAGACACTGCCCACAATCCTAAGGCACCTCTGAGAGGCCCCATTCTGCCACGTGGGAACTTGTGGTCTTAGGGTGCAGAAAGGCATTTCAGCAAAGCATCTCCAAACCTGGCCCTAAGAACAATGGAGGAAATCGGTACAGATGCTGTGATGTGGGTTCCCCAGCCTATCCTCATCCTGGCCTCTTAGCCATGCCCTTGGTGAGACGGGCCCCTACTAGCTCTCTGACAAGCCTGGGGAGCTACTTCTTTGGGGTACCACCTGTTTCCTTTTAGCATCCTATCCCATGTTCTGTTGCTGTGGGAGGTTCCCAAGGATTTCTGGGAATCCTAGGGATCACATATCCTGAAATAATTCATAACATTAGACTCTACAATATCAGAGCTGGGAGGAATGGGAGGGAAGCTCTGACTCCCATGTACAGAGCTAGGGAGAGACTGGAGGCTGGAAGGGGAAGGGAGCTGCCTGCAGACCACCATGGAGTTAGTGGCAGATCTAGCCCTGGAACCCAGGTCTCCTGGTTTCAAGCTATTTCGTCCATGGCCTTGCTATTCATATGTGGTTTGTGGCCTAGAGGCGTTGGCACCACCTGGGAGTCAGTGAGAGAAACAGAATCTTTTCTAAGCCTCACCCCAGACTGCTCAGAATCAGAATCTGAGTTTTAATAAAAGCACCGAGTGCACATTCAGGTTTGTGAAGTTCTTCTCTGAGGCAGTGGTGCTCAGCCCTTAATAAACATCAGAATTCCCTGAACTGCATGATCACACATCACTAAGCCCCACACCTTAGAGTTCCTGATTCAGGAGTTCTGGGGTGGAGTTTCAGACTGCGTTTCTAACAAGTTTCCAGGTGCTATAATCTGAATGTATGTGTACCCAGAAATTCATAAGTTGAACTCTAACCCCCACGGTGGCAGTATTAAGAGGTAGGGCCTTTGGGTGTGATCGGGTCAAAATTCTGCCTTCGTGAATGAGATTAGTGCCCCTATAGAAAGGGTTTGACTTGATGAAGCCCCTTTGCCCGTCCTTTATGTGAGGGCACAGGAGGTGCCATCTGTGAGGAACAGACCATCACCAGGCACTGAATCTGCTGGTGTCTTACCTTGAACTTCCCAGCCTCCAGGACTGTAAGCAACAAATCTCTTGTTTGTAAAGTACCCAATCTAAGGTAATGTGTTATAGCAGCCCAAACAGACTAAGACACAGGTGACACTGACTCGTCTGATCTGAGCACACACTGAGAACTGTACCTTCTCTACAGCATGCTATTAGCAATCCACTCCACCTGAGGAAGGAGGACAGCCTGTCAAGCAGGCAGCCCAGGGCTTCTCCGAGGCAGGCCATAGGCCTGTGCCCCTGATAGGCCAGGGCCAGGACAGCAAGAATGGAGCTCAGGAGCTTCCCCCAATCACCCTGGAGTCCATGCTGAGCCTGCTTTGCAGCAGCCTACTTCTGCTGTCCTAACCCATAGTCCAGGGTGGAGTAAAGACTGCACTCCACTGCCAGAATCTCCATTTCCATGATGTAGGCATCACCAGGAAAATGCCTCACATTTAAGTCAACCTTTTGACTCTTCACTTATTGCGTCCTTTGATCCTCTCTGTGCATGTGGGAAGTGAGCAGGTCATGTATGATTGACCCCCTTCACAAATGAGAAAAACCACCAGCAGAGAAAGTGAAAAGGGCACTCACCTAATTGCTGACAAAGCTAGAATGAAAAACCATTTCTCAACTCTTACTTCGTTAATTTTCCCCCACAATAATTCATTGCCCTTTTGGGTTCTATAGGAGTGTGTATAACTGAAGTGTTTCTGATCATATTCCAGATGGGGCAGGTACATTGCTATTCCAGATGAGCGGGAAAGAACCATTCCACTCATTTTACACAGAAAAAAGACACACACACACACACAAATGTACATACACTCAAAGCCATAGTGCTAAAAACATATTGAACTCAGCATCAATGCTGGAAAGATCAAAGGCTTTCAAGGGAGAGACCATCTCCAACAAGAGAAAATCTGTTACTAATTTAACTCTGTGTTTTGCCATTCACAAAAGTATAGGCAGTGCCAAAACTTTAAGAGTGCTTTGTTCCAAAAGTCAGTTTTAAGCCAGTTTCTTAAAGTGCTAAATGTCTACAGGGCATGTAGTTCATAGTGGGTGTTTGAAAATTAATGCATTTCTTTGAAAATTACAATGATAAATGATAGGGAGCTTTCCTGGGCTAGTCCATAAAATTCTGTTTTGGCCACAAGATACCTGAGGTGCCATTTACCTCTCTGGCACCATCTCTGGAGGAAAATTCCAGTCAAACTTCTAATTCCAAGCATATAACACAGGTCTTTCCTTATAATTGTCTCATGCTGTGTCTTAATTGGTTTGTTACTGATATGGTTTGGATTTGTGTCCCCACCTCAAATCTCGTTGTAATCCCATTGTTGAAAGAGGGGCCTGGTGGAAGGTGATTGAATCATGGGGGTGATTTCTTATGGTTTTACATCATCCGCCTTGCTGTTCTCGTGATAGTGAGTTCTCACGAGATCTGGTTGTTTAAAAGTATGTAGCACCTCCCCCTTCTCTCTCTTCCTCCTGCTCTAACCATGTAAGACGTGCCTGCTTCCTCTTTGCCCCCCATCATGATTGTAAGTTTCCTGAGGCCTCCCCAGCTATGCTTCCTGTACAGCCTGTGGAACCGTGAGCCAATTAAACCTTTTTTTCTTTATAAATTACCCAGTAACAGGTATTTACTTATAGCAGTGCAAGAACAAGCTAACACAGTTACTCATCTGTTTTTCTCCCCTTGAAGGTAAAAAAGTAGAAGCCGTTTCTGTCTTATTCATTATCACACCCCTAGTACAATGCCTGATATCACAAAGATTAATGAACGAATAAATAAATGCTGTTTCCTGTACCTGCAATGCTCTTTCCCTAACCCACCTGCTTTGACTGGCTGATTCCTACACAAAGTCATGAAACTAAGCCTTCCTTATGTCTCCACCTAAGTCCGAAACTCATTCATCTTTCCATGACACCTTGTGCTGTCCTGTCACAGCAATGACCACACTGTATTTTAAATACCTTCTCATTTATCTCAGGTATCTTTTTCCCAAATGACACTCACGTGCTTAGAGTTTTAAATTGGCTTCTTTAGTCCTTCATTCTTAACATAGAGCAGATAAAAGGCAAATGTTTAAGACTGAAACTATAAAAATAACTACAAACAACGTGCAGAAAGAAGACACCTTCATAAAGAAAGTATTAACGTCCTCAGAGAAGGATGTTAAAAAGATTGCTTCTATGAGCTATGTAAGAACAGGGAAACAGAATCCTATATTTAAAGAAAGGAGTATTCAAAGAATAAAAAAGAGTTCTTGGGAATTAAAAATATGATATTAGAAATTATAAACTTTGTTTTTCTTTTTTTGGAGATGGAGTCTCACTCTTGTTGCCCAGGCTGGAGTACAATGGCACGATCTTGGCTCACTGCAGCCTCCTCCTCCTGGGTTCAAGTGATTCTCCTGCCTCAGCCTCTGAGCACCTGGGATTACAGGGGCCCACTACCACACCCAGCTAATTTTTTTTTTTTTAGTAGAGATGGGGTTTTGCCATGTTGGCCAGGCTGGTCTAGAACTCCTGGCCTCAGGTGATCTGCCCTTCTCGGCCTCCCAACGTGCTGGGATTACAGGCATGAGCCACCATGCCTGGGCAAAAATTATAAATTAATAGAATGGTTGGAAGATAAAGCTGTAGACATTTTTTGAAAAACAGACAAAGAAAGGGAAAACAGAAAATAATGCTAGATGAAGCAAAGAATAACTGAGGTGGTCTCAAGATTATAACTCCAAGTCCTCACCAACAGTACACAAGATGGTAGCACAAAGCACACCTGAGACACGAGGATTCCTTCAGAGCAGAGGGAAAGGGATTATTGATGTGAGCTTGGGACTTCTCCACATGCAATCTGCAACTGGACATCCTCTCTCCAGACTGGAGAGCTTGGGACCAACACTGGCAGACTTCTTCTGTACTTCTGGGTTCAAAGGATTACAGTGTGACACAGTGTTTCCTCATTAAGAGTCACATGCATGTTACCTACACAACTTTTATGATACCTGGGACCTCCTATATTAAAATTTACTTAATAATTTTGTTTAAATCAGATTGTCTTTTAATACTTAAATACATTTATCTAAAGGTAATTTTATGACTTGGCTGTCAAGAGAAAAACAGTATTATGTTCTGTGGTAGCTAGCCTCCAAAATTGCCCCATTGTGACTTCTCCTGTGCCCTCTTTTAGATCACTTACTCGAGAGCAGCCAGCTGATGCAGGGTGAGCAGATTTAAGCAGCCCATGGTGAGGCCCACATGGTGAGGAGCAAAGCCAAGAGCCATGTGTGTGCGCCATTTTGGAAGCAAATCCTCTGGCCCCAGGCAAGCCTTCAGATGAAGCAGCCCCCTCTGATATTGTGACTGCAACCTCACTAGAGACCCTGGGCCAGAAATATTTAACCAGGACATTCCTGAACTCCTCACCCACAGAAACTGTGTGAGATAACAAGTGCATTTGGTTGTTTCAGGTCACTAAGATTTGGGATATTTTGTTACCTAAGTGTAAATAACGAATACATTTCCCACAAATAGAAACTGAAAACAAGCAAACGCTGTTAAATTCTATTTGTGGACTGTTTCCTGATGAAGATTCTGAGCCTAAGATTTGTTGTCTGTTGTTTAAAGGGAAAGATAGGAGAACATTAGGATTAAAAACTAACTTTAAACAAACACTTATTGTCCTTAATGTAATCAGGAAGAGAAAAAGAGAATTGGAAATAGATGTCTCTCTATATGGTTCAGTCATTTAATCCAGTATATATATATTTTTTTTTCTTTTTTTTTTTTTGAGATGGAGTTTTGCTTTTGTTGCCCATGCTGAAGTACAGTGGTGCGATCTTGGCTCACTGCAACCTCTGCCTCCTGGGTTCAAGTGATTCTCCTCCCTCAGCCTCCTGAGTAGCTGGGATTATAGGCACACATCACCACGCCCAGCTACTTTTTTTGTACCTTTAATAGAGACGGGTTTCACCATGTTGGCCAGGCTGGTCTCGAACTCCTTATCTCAGGTGACTCACTCGCCTTGGCCTCCCAAAGGGCTGGGATTACAGGCGTGAGCCACCATGCCTTGCTTAATCCAGTATCTTGCACCATCTAAAATGATTCCAGGAACCAGCAATGGCGTGTGTCACACAATTGGGAAAGGCCAGTAATGGGAAGGTAAGGAGATAGTGGCAGAGTTTCTAGGTCCAGTTTTGACCATCCCTAGTGAGTGCTTTTGGCACATAACTTCAGCCCTATAAACCTCAGTCTCCTCTTCTGTCAAAATAAAAGTTGAACAAGATGATGCTTGAGGTCCCTTCTAGTTTGCATAATCTACAATTTCCAGTTAGACCCAAGTCATGAATAACACTACTATTCATCAGAATATCAGAGGACAAATGTGTCAATTCACAGAAAGCAGTTTGTAAAACTTCTGTTTATGCATACATAGCTCAAAATATTTTTAATGTGGTTTCGTGTCAGATTTGTTCATTCACCATTTAAAAAATAAATAGAGTCACATGCTCTAATTAAACAAATAAACAACATTCCTGATTTCCACATTAAGAGCAGGTCTGATCTTTGCTAAAAATAAAGCCTTTAGCCTGAGTCACATCCAAAGTCATTATAATTAAATACCAAGGAGCAGAAGCTTGGAAAGGGTGAGGTCTGATTTCATTCCAGATGTGCATTTTTCACTAAGTATCAAAGTCACAGAGTTTCTGCGTGAGAGCCAAGGAGGCTCCGTGCCAATCTGAGCATTTTCTTTGACCTACAGAAAGCCAGCCTGCCAGACCTGAAATTCTGCGAGAGCTGAGCTAATTTTCTACACTAGCCTAATGTTTTAATGACCGTAACTGACTCTAATCTACCTACAAACATATGTGTAATCACAGTGACATTTTAGCCTAGTATTATTTTCATAAGACATCCATTTTACTGCATCTCACATCCAAGACGAAGGCAATGAGGTATTTCCTGCAGAGTAGCCTTGTCTTCCACCAGCCAAACACCTCCTGCTTGTGTTCATTTCAGAGGTTAGCATGGCCGCAAGTTCATTTCCTCGACTGGCTAGTTTCAATGCAAAGAGGAGGAAACTTTTCACCTGTGAGGTCCACTGAGAAAACTATATTTGAGGATTATGTACCAGTTTCCTAGCAATTTCAAATTTTGGTTTGACTGTTTTTTCTCTGTTTAGATAGATATGAAAAAAGGTTTAACTTGGCTAAATTTAAGGTCGGAGCTTATCCAACTTAATTTGTTAAATTTAAATAATAAATATTAAGGGAAGGCAAAATAAGGAGAAAAGAGGAAAGAAACAAGAAAGCCAAAGAGAAGAAGCGGGGAGGGAGAACAAGACTAAAAGTGAGAAAGAGAAATTATGAACTGATAGAATAATACAGAGGGAAATAAAAGAGGCCAGGTGCAGTGGCTCATGCCTGTAATCCTAGCACTTTCACAGATCAAGGAGGGTGCATCCCTTAAGTCCAGGAGTTCAAGGTCAACCTGGGCAACCTAGTGAGACCTCACCTCTAGAAAAAATTTTTAAAAAATTAGATGGGCATGGTGGTGCACATCTGTGGTGCCAGCTACTCAGGAGACGGAGGCAGGAGGATCACTTGAGCCCAGGAGATTGAGGCTGCAGTGAGCTGCAATCATGTCACTGCACTCCAGCCTGGGCAACAGAGCTGTATCAAAAAATAAAAATAAAAAAAAAATGATTTAAAGAGCACAAAAAGAAACAGGAAAAGCAAAGATTTTACTTGTCTTACCTTTTCCAATGCTCCCAATCTTCTCTTTAACACAAAATAACTTCCATATAACCACATTTGCATGGATGGATAGCAGTGGTGAAATGTCCTAAGAAAGCATTCAATTCTGGCCCCACCTGCTCTTCACGAAGGAGTCTGCCCAAGAATAGTGGCTCCTCAATGGCAGATACAAACTGTATGCTCTCCTGGTCTCCATGACCTCATAGGAACCCAGCTCTTGTTGAGTTGTTGAAGGAGCCCCAGATGGTTCTTCAGACACTTACACAATTGTCCTCACCAATCTGGAGAAGGGGAAAAAATGACATACGATGTTAGTAAGCTTGTTGAAGGCCAGACAAAATGTCATCAAGGATTGTGTTTTCCCACCTTTTTAGAGGAGCCACAGACCATTTATAAAGCTCTTCACACTCTGTGTAAGGAGGCCAGGGCAACTCAGAAGATCCCAAGCTGCTCATTTGTCTCAAGAAAGCACAAGGTCTCCCTCCACCACTCCTTGAGGAAATTTGGAGTATGGGTGTAAAGGTAGCAGGTGATGCATTGAAATATTAATTTGCTTTCGCTTTCCCTGTGTCTTTTCCCCTTTCATTTCTAGTTGATAACCAACATTTCTTTCCTTGCCGTGGGGATTTTAGAAAGGGGGATCATCTAGAGTGGCAGTTCTTTCTGTCTTTTCTAATGCTCAACTAATGGAAGAGGTTCAGTGTCCAGATAGAGGAAGACAGAAAGGGGGGTGTCTTTGAGGACAGCGAGACATGAGAAACAAGTGCATGGGTTCTGCCCTGGAGAGGACGAGGTATGCAGCTCCTCCAGGGGCCTGGACATGAATCTATTGAAGAAGCCAGAACTCAGAGGAACTTCAGTATGCTACAGAGAACTCCGGCCGTGTCAGAGATTTCTGGGCCTCATAGGACCCAAAGGAAACTTGTGGTTGGAACAATGTGCAGTTCAGTGGCATCAACAACAGTTGATGAGTGTAGGACCTCTCTACAGTCTTGTGCCACTTCAGATCTGGTAGCCAGGGCTATTGTGCACAGCTGTGTGGACTGCGCCCTGTAGAAGAATGCCACAGGGGCAAGTAGTATCTGAAATCCAGCCTACACTCAGTTTGCCAAGCTATGATGTAGGTGTGCACCCACCAGGTGGAAGGGGTTTCTAACACATACTGTGGTGCTACATGGGCTGGCAGTGGCCTCACTGATACTTATCATCTTAGTGTTTTTCCCATCCCCGGGAGAGAGAGTGGTATAGTTTGAACATATGTTTTCACCAAATCTCATGTTGACTTGTAATTCCCAGCGTTGGAGGTGGGGCCTTGTGGGAGGTGTTTCGATCATGAGGGTGGATCCCTCATGAATGGCTTGAGCCATCCCTTTGGTGATGAGTGAGCTGTCACTCAGTTCACAGGAGATCTGGTGGTTTAAAGGTGTGTAGTTCCTCCCCCACCTCTCTCTCTCTCTCCCGCCCTCCTACTTTTGCCATGTGAGGTGCCTGTTCCCCCTTCACCTTCTGCCAGGATTGTAAGCTTCCTGAGGTCCCCCTAGAAGCCACAGCAGATGCCAGCACCACGCTTCCTATAAAGCCTATAGAACTGTGAGCAAATTAAACCTCTTTTCTTTGTAAATTACCCAGTCTCAGATATTTCTTTTCTTTTCTTTTCTTTTTTTTTTTTTGAGATGGAGTCTTGCTCTGTCACCAGACTGGAGTGCAGTGGGGTGATGTCGGCTCACTGCAACCTCCGCCTCCTGGGTTCAAGCGATTCTCCTGCCTCAGCCTCCTGAGTAGCTGGGACTACAGGCGTGCGCCACCATGCCCGGCTAATTTTTTGTATTTTAGTAGAGACGGGGTTTCACCATGTTGGTCAGACTGGTCTCAAACTCCCGACCTCGGGTGATCTGCCCGCCTCGGACTCCCAAAGTGCTGGGATTACTGGTGTGAGCCATCGCGTCCGGCCTCCAGTCTCAGATATTTCTTTATAGCAATGCATCTCTAATGACTATGAATGAATTGCACACCAGTACTGGTAGACAAAAATCCATACTCTCTGTAGTAAAACATTTAAAGCAGTGGTCAGCCGTTCTTACAACCAAAACATGGAATGGTGAATGCCCTCATGGGAGCTTCTCTGACTCTCAGAAGCCCATCTTACAAAGATAGTACCCTTGACGAACACACGACAGCAGGGGATGGAGGCATCATTAGTTCTCACTCCTAGAGAAGGACAGCAGTGGAGACTTATTAGATGTGAGTCCACTTGGGTAAGTTTGAGGCCATCGGATCCACCACGGAGAGTCCCCAGCTGGGATAAAGGTGGAAGGGTGTCTCCCGTGAAAGCTGTTCTTTGTCAGGGAGACGCCACTTTCCATTGTCCTGAGGCACACATGGGCCACTGTTCATCCAGGGATCCCATAACGGATGTCGTCCTGCTTTAACAGCAGCAAGACCTCTGGTCCTTGACCCATGCAAATCTCAATTAGCCAAAATTATTCAGCTGTGTCCAAGCTCTGTCTTCCTTCAAACACCTAATTGTGTGAAAGCCACATTCCTTTGAGCCAGGACTCCCACCTCCATGATCTGACCCTCCCATCCCCCAGCCTCTCCCCAAGGGTATCTCCAGTTTTGTTTCTTCTCTTAATGAACTGTGCCAATCATTAAGGAAATTCCGCTGAAATGTTATTTCTCTTGGCGATCCTTCACTCATTAGCCAGTGAGCCAAGCAAATGTCCCCATTTATAGCTGCTTCCAACTCCCAAGTCCAGCCAGGCACTTCAAGATCCCATCAGCCTTTCCAACCACCCTGCTGAGAAAACAGTCAGGCAAATGCTTAAGAAACATAAAGGGATGTTAATATTGTACCAAATAACAGTGAGCAAACCTGTAAGCCAATTATTATACATCCGTTTCCTCACTCTGGGTCTCTTTTCCCTAACCTCTGTGGAATAAGTAATTAGAGAGAGAGCCACATAATCTAGAGATTCATTTGAATTCCTCATTGGTGAACTCTTCAAAACATGCACATGCTGTTTTTGTTGATGCAATTAAATATTCTTTTTTAGTTGTGTCTCAGTTTTGGCAGGAGGTTGGGCATGATATAAAACCAAACTGGGATCTTATTGCTGCAATTCACTTGTCCTAATAAGACTTCATCCTTGAAGTTGCATGCAGTGACCCCATTGACAACATCAAGGCAAAGATCCAGGATGTTACAGGCATCCCCCCTACAGGAAGCAGAAGCTAGATACACCCCCACTGACTACACCATCCAGAAATAATTTACTCTGAACTGATCCAGGCTAAATCATGTCCAAATTCTCACAATTCATCCCAGGTTTTTGAGGGAGGATAATTGCATTTAAAAATCCTAATAACCTTCACTATAAACAAATCAAACTAAGTTACTAAGAACAAGCTAGTTTTTCCTTTTGTTCCTTACCCACTTCTCCTGCTTCTTATAAAACCACATCAGACAAATGAAATCCCCACTGAATAAGCAAAAGTGGAATTACATTACGCAAATGAAAACAGCAAATGCTAATTCTGAAAATTCACGTTAGGTCACTTTGGCTTCATGTGCTGTCCCTTTATGTAAAGCAAACAGACTCTTTTGTTTTCTTTATTCTCTGATTCAATGCTGCTAGTTTACTGTGTTCAAAGAAACCGAGAGGTAATCCACCTAAGTTTTGAATGTTGGGATTTAAACTACTATAACAAAGAGAGTCAACCGGTTCCTTCTATCCATTTATCCAGTTGATTCCCTACTGGGAATGGTCTAGAGCAAGACCAACAGGAAAAGCAGGAAGCAACGTGGCAGATGAGAGAGGTGCTATGGATGCTGCAGACTGTTCTACAAATGGTGCCTGGTCCTAAGGTGCCCAGGGTGTAGGGAACAGCCCATCGTTCATTCCCAGGACAACATGTTACTGTGGTAGGTCCTTAGGGAGCCCCTCTCCTCTTAGACCAGCCCTTAGCAAGAAGTATTTCAGGAAATGCTGCACCTCAAAGAAACCAACCTAAGTCAGCCAAAGCCTGCAGGAGAACACAGGATGAGAAGAAAACAGGTACAAGAGTTAGGGCTGGGGCTGGGCGTGGTGGCTTATGCCTGTAATCCCAGTATTTTGGGAGGCTGAGGCGGGCAGATCACCTGAGGTCAAGAGTTCGAGATCAGCCTGGCCAACATGGTGAACCCCACCTCTACTAAAAATACAAAAATTAGCCGAGCGTGGTGGTGGGTGCCTGTAGCCCCAGCTACTTGAGAGGCTGAGGCAGGAGAATCGTTTGAACTCAGGAGGCAGAGGTTGTAGTGAGCCGAGATCGCACTGCTGCACTCCAACCTGGAGCGACAGAGTGAGACTTCGTCTCCAAAAAAAAAAAAAAAAAAAAAAAGTGAGGGCTGGAAGATGCCTCTAAGTGAAATGCCTTTCCCGCTTAGGCTTTTCTGAGCATTCAAACCTCCTTCCAGAACCATGTGGGCCAGTAGCCTCTGCATCATTCAGGAGTTTGCTGGAAATGCAGAATCTCAGGCCCCAACTCAGACCTATAAATCTGAATCTGCATTTTTCTAATCTGATTCTTATGCATCTTAAAGATTAAGAAACATTTGTTTAGGACACAGCTGAATAAAAACAAACACTTGCCCCGGGCCTGTAGGGAAATAAAAGATATAGAAAGAAAGAAATGATGGGCAAAATATAGAAAGAAAGGAATGATGGGCAAAATATAGAAAGAAAGAAATGATGGGCAAAATATGCCCGTATAGCACATATTTTAAAAAACAGGGAGAGAGAAGAGAGCCAGATCTACCCAGTGGGACATCGGTTGCCATTTCAAATCTGATGCTTCCCTTTGTTTCCCTACTTGCAGATCCGGCATACACCCACCCAAATTCAAACACCTCTCACTTATCATCCCTCATCAGGATCTAAGGAAACCTTCAGGCTGGACCCCTGCCAATAGTCACTTCCCTCCCTAACGTCTCTAACAAGCCACCTGCAGATCAGTCTTCTCAACCCATTTCTGACTTTCATCATCTCACAGTTCTGTTCACAGGTCTACAGTGGCTGCCTGCTAAACATGGCAGATTGAACTCACATGTTTATCTACCCTCTCTGAAAATCTCATTTAATGGAAGGAAAGAAATTAAAAAAAAAAAAAAAAAAGCATAAGCCTACAAGAACAAAATAAGCAGGGAAGAACACTTCAGTGTAAAAAAAAGATCCTGTAAGTTTTGGAAGACAGAAAAGAATGGGAGGGCAATTGACTTAACAGGTCAGTGGGAACTTCATTCTATTGTCTTCAGAGGAGGATGCCAACTCAAAAAGGGCTGATTCGCCCAATGGAACAGAAAGGTACTGGAGGAGCTTCTCCATGAAAATGAGCACATACATCAAGAAAAGGGGGTGACTGGGAGTTCAGGAAAAAGGCTCTAACACAGGAGAGCTGCACAAGGAAATCCCAGAGTGGTCGCAAAGGAAAATACCAAGACAACCCCAGGCAGGAGAGCTCAGAACACACCGTGCAGACTGGAGCAGAGAGTGGAGGACCGCAAGGGAAAAACAGGAGTGATGGGATTAGCTGATACATGTCACACACATTTTTAGAAGGCTTACTAATTTCCAGGAAAGCAAAAAGTTTTAAAAGCAAAAGCTGGGGTGAGGGATAGGCTAGAAATGCTTGACTGATCGTCTGTTCATGGAGTGATTAGATCACACATCCCTACCCCCACTCCATGCAACCCAGCAAATATACCCACGTAACCCTATGGGATACCAGTGGCTGTCCTCAGAGAAACTGAACCATTAAGGTTCCTGAAACCAGGATACAGGATCCAGGCAGAGTACAGGGCAGAGATGAGGAGCAGGCCTGAGAACAAGGGAATTAATTTGAATTTACAGGGGGGCCTTCAACTCCTTGTTTCCAAAGAACTGAGCCTTTACCATCAGAAAAGAGGACAGAGGATTTTTCCCTAGAGAAGCTGAACAGCCTCAAGGAAAAAAATCTCCATTTGCCCAACCAGGAAGCAGGATCACCAGCCTACGGCCCCATGAGGAAGTCTACCAGTGAAATCCACAAAGAAGTCTCCGTTCATTTTTTAATGCTTTGTTCTTAAGTTGAAATAGATAAGCCAAGATCACTCCAGGTTTGAGGAAGGCTACCAGTAATAAAGATAAAGGCCAAAACAAGAAATCTTTTCCTTTTAGAAAACAAAGCACAAACTTAGAGAAAACAGAGACAACACAGGAAGCAAAAGAAAACTGACTAGAAAACCTGTAATGAATGCGCTTGCAGAAATAAGATTGCCACCATGAAACAAGAATAAGAGGATATACAAAAGAAACAAAAAAAGCAACTCGTGCCAGGTTCAGTGGCTCATGCCTGTCATACCAGCACTTTGGGAGGCTGAGGTGGGTAGATCACAAGGTAAGGGGTTCAAGACCAGCCTGGACAACATGATGAAACCCCATCTCTTCTAAATATACAAAAAATTAGCTGGGTGTGTGGCACATGCCTGTAATCCCAGCTACTTGGGAGTCTGAGGCAGGAGAATCTCTTGAACCCGGGAGGCAGAGGTTGCAGTGAGCTGAGATCACACCATTGCACTCCAGCCTGGGCAACAGGGCAAGACTCTGTCAAAAAAAAAAAAAAAAAAAAAAAAAAAAAAAAAAAAAAAGAAGAAGAAGAAGAAGCAACTAGAGAATAAGAAAATATGAAAGTTTAAAATCTAAGAGTCAAATATTTTTTCGATTCAAAGAAGAAATGGCTAAGTTGAGAAACGCTCCCTTAGAGTAGAACCAAAAATAAATAGCCAATAGGAAGGAAAAGTTGAAAAAAAAAAACCAAAAACTAGAGGTTCAATTCAGGAAGCCAATATCCTATAAGGAGATCAAGAAAAAATAAACCTAGGAAGCAGTCAGGGTATAATTATCAAAAAATATACATATTCAAAAAATTTCCCACAACTGTAGGACACAAGTCCTCTGATCAACAGAATCTACAAAACAACCAGCACAATGAGTGGAGAAAGACACAAACCAAGAGACAAAATAATGAGAAAACCTTAAAAGCTTACCGGGAGTCAAGGGTAGTAGAGAAAAACAGAGCAGTGCCTTCAAAATTCTAAGAGAAAATTATTTCCAATCTAAAATTCTATACTTTGTCAAACCATCAGTCAAGTGTGAAAGGATAAAGACAATTTCCTGACATGGAAAGAATCCAGAAATATACCTGCCATGTGTCATTTTTCAAGGAAGCTACTGGAGGATGTTCTCCATGAAAGTGAGTGCATACCTCAAGAAAAGGGGGTGACTGGGGGTACACGAAAAAGGCTCTAACACAGGAGAGCAGCACAAGGAAATCCCAGAGTGGTCACAAAGGAAAATATCAAGACAACCCCAGGCAGGAGAGCCACAGAGCATACCGGGCTGACTGGAGCAGAGAGCGGAGGACCGCAAGGAAAAAACAGGAGCGATGGGATTAGGTGATACACGTCAAACAAATTTTATTTATTTATTTTTTTTTGAGACAGAGTCTCACTCTGTTGCCCAGGCTGGAGTGCAATGGCACGATCTCGGCTCACTGCAGCCTACGACCCCTAGGTTCAAGCAATTCTCCTGCCTCGGCCTCCCGAGTAGCTGGGATTATGGGCATGTGCCACCATGCCTGGCTAATTTTTGTATTTGTAGTAGAGACAAGGTTTCCCCATGTTGGCCATGCTGGTCTCAAACTCCTGACCTCACATAAGTCACCCAGCTCGGGCTCCCAAAGTGCTGGGATAAACAAATTTTCTAAAGGCTTACTAAATTCCAGGAAAGCAAAAGTTTTAAAAGGAAAAAATGTATACTACCAGGAAAGTACAATATTTAGCTCAGTAGTAGCAATATTTACATGGCCACGGAATTGTGAATAATGATTTCACTAAAAGGTGTAATAAGGTTTTGTTAGGAAGAGAATAGGCATGTATGTAGGTTGGGGTGTGGTGAAGGGCAAGAGTAGATGGGTGTGAAAGATCTCAATTATCAGAGCCACTGTAATATTGTCTCAGTAGATAACTTCTAAATTAGCAAGTCAAGGAAAGGCAATGTAAGCATATATTTATTTTAGAAAAGACGGGAAATATTTTGTTTCTGGGGAGTAGGGGAAAGGGTAGGTGAAGGAACTGCTATTTTTCTTAAAAAGCCTTCAAGCTCTACCTGACTTTTTAATATGTGAAAATCAATAGCTTTTATAAAATGAATATTAGCTTAAAGATGGAGAAGGAGGAGGAACAGAAGGAGGAGAAAAAGAGGAATAAGAGGAGGAGAAAGAGGAGAAAGAAGAGAAGGAGAAGATGAAAAAGAAGGGAAAGAAGAGGAAGAAGAGGAGAGAGAGAAGAAGAATCTATAGAAATATCTCTGTTCCAAAGAATGAAGTCTTGGTCTCCTGGGCACGATGACAAAATGACGATGAACTTTCACCTATGTCCCTCAGAGGCCCATGGAAATGCCTCGAAAACATAAACACACAGTGAAAACACTGTGGCTTCCCAGGGTCGGGCACTGGAAAGATGACCATGTCCAAATGCAAGGAATTTCTGCTGGACAAAGTGCAAGCAGAATAGGAGAGAAGGTTTGCCACCTTCTGTAGCTGGCTTCTAGGTCCCAACCGTTTGAAAGAGCAATGCTTAAGGAGAAAAAGAGGGGCACCATGAAAGAACCCCATCCTACCCCATTCACCCAGTCACCAACGTGGCTTCTGTAGCCCCTGCTGACTAAACCCCCAGCCAGCACTCTGGGGTGGTATGGAGGTGTGGTCAAGCTGTCCTTTGCTTCCTGAGATTCTCTGATCTTGTCAGATCCTATGTTGGGGAAATTCCTCAATGTTTTTAGCATGTGGATGGCCTTGCAGCATGAGCATGGATTTTCCCCAGTTGCAATATTCCTTTGGTTATTTCTTTTGCAATTTAGGAGCCATTCTTGAGGTCAGGAGCATGTGAAGCACTGGGAAGTCTCACGGTGACTCTCGCAGTTCCCCTCATGGGTGACTTCCCCTTCGTGGATAACCACGTGGACTGTAGAATTAGACCAAAATGTGTTGGAATACCAATTCCATCACCAGGTGGCATTGGGAAGTTGCCTCATCTCAGCACCTCAGTTTCCTCATCTGCAAAATGGAAGACACAATAATATCACCCTTGAAAGGTTGTAGTCAGGACTAAAAGCTAATTCTCATAAAGCATACAAAATATTTTTAAAAACCTATAACCAAGGCTGGGCATGGTGGCTCACACCTCTAATCCCAGCACTTTGGAAGGCCAAGGCAGGCAGATCACATGAGGTCGGGAGTTCAAGACCAGCCTGACCAACATGGAGAAACCCCGTCTCTACTAAAAATACAAAATCAGCCGGGCATGGTGGTGCATGCCTAGAACCCCAGCTACTTGGGTGGCTGAGGCAGGAGAACCGCTTGAACCTGGGAGGCAGAGGTTGTGATGAGCCGAGATCACGCCAGTGCACTCCAGCCTGGGCAACAAGAGCAAAACTGCATCTCAAAATAAATTAAAAAAAATAATAGTAAAAATAAAAAAATAAAAAGTATAACCAAAAAGGAATGGCATTTCAAGAAAAAGAGAAAGCATGTGTCAAGAATTTAATGCCCACTGGAATGAGAAACAGTACCATGGGCCCAGTTTTCTCTGACACAGTTACCACATCTCCGTTTGAGCAGATATCCCCAACCAGCTTTTATTTCTAGGCTCCTCTGAAAATCTGCCCTTGGAAATGAGCCTCACCCTTTGTGGTTTGAGTTTTTCCCAGCCTGCAAGATCTATCTTCACAGTGTTGGTCTAACCTTCAGTGTTCAAAGGTGATTAAGGCAGGGTTAGAAATGCCCCCACTCTAGAATAAAATAATCAGCCTCAGGGGCTACTCCAGCCCACACTTAAAAAGAGTTTTCCAATGGTGGGGAGACAAAGAGGAAGGCCAGGGAGTGGCCAAGAAGAGAGAAGCAAGAGAGATCTTATGCCATGCTCCTGCAGAAAAAGGATCCAACAAACGCCTAACCAAAGGATGACATTAATAATAATAACAAGGCTTTTATGTAGCACATTACCATTTCAAAACACTCCCTCATCTCATTCACTGCTCACAAATACTTTGAGAAGTAATTTAGGCAGGTGTTATACACCCATTTTGCACATGAGAAACTAAGGCTGAGGAGGATTCAATGACTCGCTTAAGGTCCTATGGCCAGTAAAGAACAGCACAGAGACTAAAAACAAGAGGTCTGGGTGCAAATCCCAGTACCCTTTTGTGCTCCCCTAAAGGCAGATGAGTGTAGTCTCTATGCAAAGTACCATGAAGCAACAATGATGGGAAACTCAGCTCCAGGATTCTGTTCAGCTTTGCAATCAATCGAGAAAAAAAAAATGCTCCTTCCTGCTTGGCTGGGGCAGCTTCCTCTCATGACAAGGGATATTGGAGGGAACAACACTGTACAGAGAGCACCTGGGCGGTTGTCCCTGGAGGACACTTAGAGGTCAAAAGACACCTGCCCAACTGGCATAGCACAAGTTCGAACTCCTCTAAAAATAACAGAGTGGACAGAGTCACCCCATGCCATATGGAACTCATTATCCTAGGAGCCTATACAAATCAAGTATTAATAGGCCAAAGAAGGCTTTGAATAATGATTTGGTCAATTGATCCAAATTGGATTATTAAGAAGGGAGTTGGGCTATTAGTGTTCCCCCTTGTGTTTGCAGAAAATGCTAAGACAGAGATGTATTCAGCGGACTTGATAGGAGCAGATCCAGAGCAGAGTTTTCTGTGCTCTTGTGTGGACAATTTCTGTGGTTTTGATAAACAGTCCCCTAGAGAACTATTGAAACTCCTTGGCATTGTGACAGGGCTAATGTCAATGAGAGAATCCAAATCATAGGCTTTATTTTCTTCCACTTCTAATTTTGAGTCTTACAGACTTTGGAATTGATTCATTTCTGACTATCTAGATTAAAAAACACACAAAAATATTGGTTTAATATGTCATGTTTTCTAGTGAGCTGTGCTAACCCCTATAGTCTTATGGTCTGGATCCTATTGAAGGTCTTTTTCACCTTCAACAAGGACAGTTTTGGGGTTTTTTGGTGATGATCTATTTATAAATTTCCTTGCACCAGGGACTCTTCCAGGTTGAGTTTTTGGGGGGAGGAGGGGATCAAAGGACAATGAGGAAGAAAAAAGTGAAGAAAAGGCTTTATAAGTTTATAGGGACGGAGCAAATAGAAAAGGTAAGAGAACATGCAAGGCACAACGTGAGGTAAATAAAAATGGTGGCGGTTCCACGAAGAGCCTCACTCACCATGTACTACTTCAGCAAATAAATGGGAAGAGAAGACAAAAAATTCCAGAAAAGAAGGAAGTGGAACAGAGAACTAGAAGAACAGAAAAAAGGAGGGAAAGAATAAGAACCTTGAAAAAGAAAAGGATGCAACCTGAAGTTAAAGATGAACCATTCAAGGCAGCAACACTGAGACCTGAAGAACAAGACTCCAAAAGTAACTAAAGGGCTGTGAGAAGATTAAGGGAAGCGGGGCTGTAGAAGTGGAGATGTATCCAAGAAGTCCCCAGGAGCTCTTCCCTAGATAACAAAGTATGCAGCAATCAAACCTGGGAACGACTCTACCCCCTCACTCTCCATCTCCCCCAGAACCATCTCACACATTCTTTGTCCTAAATTATCTCTCTATTAAGTATGTCTGACACACACCAAGCCGGCTGCCGGGATGGCCACAATCTAAAATAAACAACGACGAGGAAGGCGTCCATGATAACATAGGGCTCTAATCACCCAAGATTCTTATGGTCCCTGTTGCTATCAGCAGCCACTGAGCTGGGAGTCATGCCTGGTCCAGTTAATCCCTCCCATGACATGAGGACGGTTTCCCAAGGAAAAGCTGTAAATCTTTGTCATTCCTCCTCCAGACTTCCAGCTCATTAGAGCAGTTAGAGACGCACTGAGCACGTAATAACAGATCATTAGACGCATATTGGACAGCAGGATCCAGTTGCTATCTAACCACACCACTTGGGGAGTGGTGCTTCTGGGGATTCCAAGACCTAGAGACATTCAGTAGATGCTCAGGGTCACGTAGTTCTAACAAGATGAGGGATGGATGGAGCTCTGCTGAAGCAGGGTCGTTCTTGAGGGCTTGATAGTGCAATCACCCGTCTTCCTGCTGGAGAGGGGCTGAGAACCAGACATCTTTCCCCAGCAAGGAGGAGGGAAGAGGTCCTGGAGACTGTTTCAAATCCCATAGTGAGAGAAGATGAAACCTCTTGTAATCTGTTGGTAATTCTCTAGAGCTGCCTGTTTCACACTGTATTCCTAGTCACCCAGTATGGAAAGCTCAGAATCCCCTCTTAATATCCTTGTGGCTCCCTCTCCTTTACCAGTGCTTGCAAACTCTTATCCAGTGGCATTTTCCACTCTGTCTATCCCCAGCATCACAGCCTCAGTTCAGACTCATTATCTCCAAGGGAACCACTGCCAGTGCTCTCCAGCTGGTCTCTCTCCCCATTAGCCATTCCATGACCCACTCGCCCCTCATGCTAATGTCTTCCTAAGACAGAGCTTTCTTCCCTCTTCACATAACCTGTGGTGGCTCCTCTTTACCTGTTACTAAAATCTCAAAACTTTATTGAGGCTCTCCGTTATCCAGCCCCACCTGCCTTTCCACTCCAGGCTGACCATGCTTCTCCAAGTCCTGCACCTGCACCTAGCCTCCCTGTCACTTGGTCTCTGCCCTGCCCTGCTCTCTATCTACAGCTTTGCTGTCCAATGTGGTAGCCACGAGTTACACGGAGCTACTGAGCATTTGAAGTGCGTCTAGTCCGAATTGAGATGTGCTGTTAAGGGAAAATACACACAAGATTCCAAAGATGTATTAGAAAAGAAACAATCAAAATAGCTCATTGATAACTTTTTTCTATTGAGAACATGCTAAACTGAGAAGTGTTCTACCATCTTGAAGATTTGGTGCAAAAAGTACGTGAAAATGCCTCATTAACAATTTTATGTGGATTACACGTTGAAATGGTAGTGTTTTAGATATGTTGGGCTAGGTAAAGCATATTATTAATTGGATTTTGCCTGTTTCCTTTTTCATTCAGCCACCAGAAATTTTAAAATTCTATATGTGGCTCTAATGTGTGGCTCACACTCTATTTCTACTTCACAGTACAGATCTACAATGACATCCTTTCTAGCTCCAAGTATTCAAGTCCTTCCTATCCATTCTTCAAAGCCCAGATTGAAACTATTATCCATTAAGCTCTGCACCATCCACAGAAGCTAAACTGATCTTTCTCTCCTGTTAAATTTCATAAAACTTATCAATCTCTGCCCTGAAAATTGCAATTATTTCTGTCTATACTTCCCTGTAATACACCACAAGCCCTTCAAAGGCAAGAGCCATTTCTGATTCATGTTCCAGTTTTAGAGTTGCATGATGATAAAAGCATATGCTTGTGCATTGGACAGACTCGGGCTGGAGCACAAACTCCATGATTTGCCAGCTGTGTGATATTGGCTACGTTACTTAACCTCTCTGAAACTTGGTTTTCATATTATATAGTAAGTATAGAAACAATGCCTATTCATAAGGTTGTCGTAATGATTAAATGAAATAATAAGTTAAAGCATTAAGCATATGCCTATAGGTATGTATATGTAGTACATATTTATAGAGAGAGAGATTTTAAGGAATTGGCTCACAAAATTTACACAATTATGGGGAGTAGCAATTTTGAAATCCACAGGGCAGGCCAACAGGCTGGAAATTCAGGTATGAACTGTTATACTCTTGAGTCTGAAATCTGCAGGACAGCAAGCTGGAAACTCAGGCAGGATTTTTTTTTTTTTTTGAAGTGGAGTCTCGCTCTGTCGCCCAGGCTGGAGTGCAATGGTGCTATCCCGGCTCACTGCAAGCTCTGTCAGGCAGGATTTTTATGCTGCCATCTTGAGGAGAATTCCTTCTTCTTCAGGAAACCTCAATCTTTGCTCTTAAGGCAAATTGATTGCATGAGGCCCACCCACATTTTGAAGGGCTATCTCAAAGTCTACTAATTCAAATGTTAATCACAGCTAAATGATACCTCCACAGCAACAGTTAGACCGGTGTTTAACTAAACAACTGGGCACCATACCCTCACCAAGTTGACATATAATGTTAATCATCACACTTGTAAGGGAATGTGCAATGCATTTTTTGAAGACATTAATGACAGTTTGTTATTCTTGTATCTCACATCCTTAACTCAGAGAATTAAGTTGATTAACTGCTCTTTCTCAGTCCTCAGAAAATCTATGCAGTGGGTCAGTGGATCAGCAAATACTGTATTTACCAAGCACCTATGACACATTGCCAACTGTTCAATGTGATGGAGACAAGGGGGAAATAAGGCAGATCCCTGGAGCTCAGGGAGCTTACATTCTAGCATGGGAAAGTAGAGAACATAAACAAGCAACTAAGATATTTTCAGGCACTGATAGCCACTGGAAGGGAGTTAATGGGGTGGAGTTGGAGGATGATTCAAGAGGTGATCGCTTTACTTGTCCAGAGGCCTGACCAAGGTAGGCCTCTCTGAAGAGGTCATCTGTACTGAGGCCTGCAATGTAAAAGTCAAGGAGGCAATGTGACATTGGAACTCAGAGCTCTGCAAAGCACAGGGATGTGCTGAAGTGCTTTGCTCCTGGGAAAGATGTGTCGTGGCATCCCAGGAGACCAACAGAGCTCAGGACACTCCTGCCAGCCTAAGATGCTTCCCAGTGCCCAATGCTGATGTCACAAATGCTTCCAGAACTGCAGGCAAGCTCTGACTGAACCCCACCCCCCACACAAAAATACACACTCTCCTCCTCTCTGCTTGTCCTCCCATATTTACTTCTCAGTATAAACAATTCCTTCACAGAGAATGAGCCAAAAGTCAACACAGCACATACTACCCCAGGGAGAGGCAGGCTGTCTTCTGGAGATGCAACGAAAGTTCTTGCAGTTTGTTTCTTTCCAGGCACTAAGCTCAGTCTTTCCACACAATGAGGGAGACTGCAGAAAAGACCTTGATAAACTCCCCACCCAGTTCCCCACTCCCCATCCTAGATAGTTTTCAGTAAGGCAGGAATTGCCGGCTGTCACTAGACTGTCTACGTATTTGAGTCTGGAACATGAAGGACACTGGTGCATCCATGAGCATGCATGGGTAAATATGCATAAACGTATGTGGATGCATGAGCATGTGTGTGTGAATATGCATGAATGCATGTACATATGTGTGTGTGTGTGTGTGTGTGTGTGTGGACTTGTGTGTTGGGCTAGAGGAAATAGTAGGCAAAGGACACCCAACCATTCTAGGTGTACAGCTAAGCTGCCCTAATCTGCAAACTAATCTATATTTTCCTAATCTTTAATCCTCAACAAGAAACAAGCAGGATGGTACTTCAGAATGTACATTGATACGTATTGATACTGGTATTTATTGATCCAGAAGGGAAACTGTTAACCAAGGCAAAGAAAAGCCAGCATCCACAGCAGGATGTCTGTCCAACCAGACTGTGCTTATACCCATGAAAAGCCTTTGATGTCCTTTACATGCCAAAGAGGGCCAGAGAAATTCTGCTTAAAACGCATGGGTGGCCAGGCATGGGGGCTCACGCCTGTAATCCCAGCACTTTGGGAGGCTGAGGCGGGTGGATCACCTGAGGTCAGGAGTTCGAGATCAGCCTGCCAACATGGTGAAACTCAGTCTCTACTAAAAATACAAAAATTAGCCGGGCATGGTGGCACATGCCTGTAGTCCCAACTACCCAGGAGGCTGAGGCAGGAGAATTGGTTGAACCTGGAAGGCGGAGGTTGAAGTGAGCTGAGATTGCACCACTGCACTCCAGCCTGGATGACAAAGCGAGACTCTGTCTCAAAAAAAAAAAAAAAAAAAACCCAAAAAACCAAAAAACCATGGTTGAGTTGGCCTGTAGGGAAAAAACATGTGTGAGTTACAAGCAGATCAGGGGCAGACAAGCACAGCTGCGTGGCTAGCATGCACCACCAAATAACGGCCCACCTTGCTCTGCTAGAGGATTTCTGCTGTTTTCTTCTGCGGGTCACGTCTCATAGAACTTGCCAGAATCCATATACGGTTCCACTTTTCTCTGAAACAGTGTGTAGAATTGATGTATGTGTGCTGTTTGGAGCTGGGCTTACCCATTCAACATCCTGACATGCACTGAGCCACTTTTCATCTCAACATCAAGTTCCCATCCCAAAGTTTAATGTACAGAGCTCCTGGGAATACTTCGTATCCTGGATTTCTGACTTTTAGCTTTCTCCTTAGTTGGTCTCAGTAGACCACCATGTTTTAGGACACTCTTTCCTGATGTAAAAGAAAAAAAAAACCCATGTGGAAAAGGAAGCTAACAACCAATGAGTTCTAACTATAAAAAAGGCATTTCCATTTGCATTCCCCTTTCATCCTTGCAGCATGTAACACTAAGGGAGGCAGAGTAACTCTGCTAATGACTTTTTAAATTGAAAGTAATAGAAATTCAAAAAAAAAAAAAAAAAGAAAGTAACAGAAATTCAAGCTAGCTGAAACCTAAAAATGAATGTATGGCCTCAATAACTGAAAAGTCCAAATATGGAACTGACAGGTCATGCAAGGCTGATGTGGGCTTTCAAAGGATGTCTCCAGGAACTCTTGAATTTCTTCCTCTTCACTCTGCTTCCCTCTGTGTTGGCTACATCTTCAGGCAGTGTCTCCAAAAAAAGAGATCAGAAAAGTCCATTGGCAGTCCTAGGCTTGCAGTGTCCAAACCACAGGCAATCCAAACAAAAAAAGAAATGTCTCTTTTTTCAAATAGTTCTCACAAAATCCGCATAGCTGATTTTCATCAGCCCAGACCAGGTCACACAACCATTCTCGAGCCAGAGGGTGAGATCAGCCTCCTCAGGACCACATGGCCTGAGAATGGGAGAGGATGTTTTCCCCAAACAGATTTTGATAGATTTATTTTTTAAATGTGCCTATCATCCTCAAGTCAAGGAGGCAGACAGACTGGGAGATAAGTCCCTTACCAGAAACTGTGAAAAGGCCAATATTTTAAGATATTTCACTATACACATTTTTTAACCTTAAATTCTTCCATTCTGGTCTCTATGTTGGACACATAGTCTACTGATTTTCTATTCCCCTCCTACCTGCACACATCCTCATTCTGAAAATTACCCATAGTAATCAAAGTATTTTAAGGGCTGGCTTCTTAGGAGTAGCTGAGAGGAGGGCACTGGGGCGAGAAGAAGTTGCCTCTTCGTAGGACATAAACTAGGGCACCCAACTTCAAAATCCTTTTACACCATTTCTAAATGTTTGTTCTGCAAAACTTTTTTCCCTTTAGAGGCAAGATGAAGAAAGTTTCCATGATCAAATAAGGCTTGAAGACATCATGCAGTACATCCTCCTTCTTGGAGAGTCACAATACGCATTAGCACATTAAAACCTCCAAGTTCTTAGTAGAGAAATTAGTTTAACTCTTTTTGATGCAGTGTTTATCAAACTACCCTATCTTCAAAATGTGTTTTAGGGCTGACCACATACTAAGTTCTCCAGAACCCAGTAATACATGTTGTGAAGTGCTGGTCTGAAGATTTCCAAAAACTTTAGACTTCTATCTTTCACAACTGTCGATCAAATTTAAAGACAGAATAAAGCCCTTTCATAGATTCAAGGTCTCAAAAACTTACCTCCCATGGACCCTTTCTCAGGAAGCTATTGGCGAATATGCATCACTAAAATGAGGGGGTAAACTTGAGAAACAGGAAGACATGGCTACAGAAAGCAGAGGATTAAAGTCAGAAAAGAGAAAGTAGAACTCTTCAGGATAACGGAGAATTCTTACGGATATGGACCTCAGGATGACAGCCACATGTCAGTGTGAAAGGCAACCAGTCCAGACTGGAGCAGATCTGAAACATCCTGGAGAGATTTGTTCAGGAAGATGAAATTGCTAGAATCTTTGATGCAATGTCCAACATCTTAGAAGTAAAGTTGAAATATATATATATATATATATATGTTTTTGAGACGGAATCTCACTCTGTTGCCCAGGTTGGAGTGCAGTGGCACGATCTCGGCTTACTGCAAGCTCCGCCTCCCGTGTTCACAGCATTCTCCTGCCTCAGCCTCCCGAGTAGCTGGGACTACAGGTGCCCACCACCACGCCCGGCTAATTTTTTGTATTTTTAGTAGAGATGGGATTTCACCATGTTAGCCAGGATGGTCTTGATCTTCTGACCCTGTGATCTGCCCGCCTCGGCCTCCCAATAAAGTTGGAATATCTTAAAAGTTAGAAATTGAACTAAGTCATTAAAAAGTTATAAAGAAATACTCCAGAAAAAAACAAAATGTAGAGAAAGAGAAAATATCGATCCAACCAAAACTAGGATATAGGGTTGTTGTACGTAGGTACAGAGAGGGAGAGCTGCAATGATGGTTCCAATTCTTCACCTCTTTCTTTACCCATGGCTTTTGCCCTGTAACTTCACAGTTGCCATGTAACCCCACCATGGGTAGGATGGCATAACCTGCCTCTTGATCTTGAGATCAATCATGTCTCTTGCTTTGGCCAATGAGATGTTAGCAGAGGCTTCAAATAGACATTCCTTCTTGTGCCTCTTTCATTTCCGTGGGAACGTATCATGGGTAACTTAGTGAGAGATCAGTGACCAAAGAGGCAGAACCAAATTACCCCTGTTGCCAAGTCACACCAGCTGCCTCCAGTCTAGAGTAGCCAATGCCAGCCAACTCCCAGATACATGAGAAAGCTTAGTCTACGCCAGTAGAGTTGCTGGACATAAATCATCTAAACCCTGCAACTGAGAGAGAAATACAAGATTTTTGTTTTATGCCACTGGATGTTTTGTGGTTGGTTGTTATGTAGAATTTTGTGGCAATAGATAAATAATACAGGGGAGATGGGGATGGAAAGGGTGTGATAGTTGGTGGAGGTGAAGGGAAGACAGAGAGCTAAGAAACTTATCTTCTACATTAAAAAGTCAACTGCTTAAAACTTTAAAAAAGAGGAAGAAAGGGCTGGGCGCGGTGGCTCATGCCTGTAATCCCAGCTTTTTGGGAGGCCGAGGCGGGCAGATCACGAGGTCAGGAGATCAAGACCATCCTGGCTAACACGGCAAAACCCTGTCTCTACTAAAAATACAAAAAAAATTAGCTGGGCGTGGTGGCAGGCACCTGTAGTCCCAGCTACTCAGGAGGCTGAGGCAGGAGAATGGCGTGAACCCGGGAGGTGGAGCTTGCAGTGAGCCGAGATTGTACCACTGCACTCCAGCCTGGGCAACAGAGCGAGACTCCGTCTCAAAAAAAAAAAAAAAAAAAAAAAAAAAGGAGGAGGTAGAGGAGAAGGAGGAGAAAGAGAGACAAAAATGAAGAGTAGACAGAGAAGGAATGTGAGCAAATTATTTAAAAGCAGAAAACTGAAGTAATGGTCCTGGCAGAGAAGTAATAAGGAAAATGAGGAAGAAGAACTATCCAGCTTTCTTAGCAAGCAGTAACTCTTTCATTTATATGGATATATAATGTTATCAAAAATTTCCATAACAATAGATTTAAAAAATAAGAAACAAAGTTAAAACCCCTAAAGAAAATTTGCTAACAAAGTCAAATGAATTTAAAAAAAAAAGATAGACAAACTGAGAATAAAAAATATTAGAGAAAAGATTAGACCTTGGGGAGCCATCCCTGAAGCCCAATAACTGGTTAATAAAAATTTTTTTTTTTTTTTGAGACAGAGTCTCGCTCTGTGGTCCAGGCTGGAGTGTAGTGGTGCGATCTGGGCTCACTGCAAGCTCCGCCTCCCGGGTTCACGCCGTTCTCCTGCCTCAGCCTCCCGAGTAGCTGGGACTACAGGCGCCTGCCACCACGCCTGGCTAATTTTTTTGTTTTTTTTTAGTACAGACGGGGTTTCACCGTGTTAACCAGGATGGTCTCTATCTCCTGACCTCGTGATCCGCCCGCCTCGGCCTCCCAAAGTGCTGGGGTTACAGGCGTGAGCCACTGTGCCTGGCCAATAAAATTGTTTTTTAAGTTTTTTTAAAGAGCAGAAGAACTGAGGTTATCAAAGAAGTAATATAAGTATGTTTCTCAGAGCTGAATGCCACAATAATCAAGGTTGGAAAGGGCCCTACATTTTTATTAAAGCCACACCTCCTGCTTCATTATTTTAAAAGACTAAGGGTAAAAGTTCAAAAGCCTGAAAGGGAATAAAACACTTACCCACCAAGAATTAGAAACAAACTAAAAATCAAATTGTTCATCAGTTTGATGAACACCAATAGGGGTCAGAAAATAATCATGAGATTACATAATTAAGTTAGAAAACAATTATGAGATATCCTCAAACTTTTTTAAAGAAACATGATTTTCAACTAAGCCAAATCAGTGAGCAAATGTAAACAGTAAATGTAATCACGTTCCAACATAGAGGACTCAGAAAGCTTATGTCCCACAAACCACGTCTTTAGGAATTTTACTTGAGGTTATTCTACAGGAAAAGGAGAGAAAATGCCAAGAAACAGAGAATGAGAAGTAGAATCCAGTGGAATCAATCCAAGAAAGCAGTGACAGGAAGTTCCAGACCACCTAGGAAACAAGCAGTTCAGATGATGTGCAAGAACAGAGCCCCCTGGAGAAAGATCTGAGGGGGAAAAACATCAGTGCAGTGTGTGATTGGGTGAAAAGGGCAGAAAAACAGAAATAAGAAAGGCAAGTGGTACAAAGAAAAGTAAGATGCCATTTGAAACCCAGGAAAAACAAAAAGTAATACAAAAAGTAAGTGTTATTATAGCACCTGGTTTCAGAGTGAGTAATGTTTACGTAGTTACAATAATGTAAACACTGTTTTTCAACTTTCTTCTTTTTCTATAGATAAAATGCAAACAACTCAGTTGTGTTTCCAGAATAGAATATAAGTGAAATCAGCTTTAACTGTGTAAACCGTTTTTTTTTTTTTTTTTTCCTGAGACAGAGTCTCACTCTGTTGCCCAGCCTGGAGTGCAGTAGCACTATCTTGGCTCACTGCAACCTCTGCCTTCTGGGTTCAAGCAATTCTCCTACCTCAGCCTCCCGAGAAGCTGGGATTACAGGTGTGCGCCACCACACCTGGCTAATTTTTGTTGTATTTTTAGTAGAGACGGGGTTTCACCATGTTGGCCAGGCTGGTCTTGAACTCCTGACCTCGTGATCCTCCGGCCTCAGCCTCCCAAAGTGCTGGGATTACAAGCGTGAGCCACCGCACCTGGCACTAAAGCTTTTAAATAAAGGTGGCAGAAGCTAGGGGGCAGAGAGGGAAAGGAGAGTTGAGGGATACTGTCTATAATTGATGGAACAATAAACAAATATGTAATATTGGATAAGTGTAAAGAATAGAGGCCAAAAAAAAACTAATGTTGAAATTGAAGAAAAGAGGATAAGAAGGTAAGGGTGGGAACGAAATTATGAATGAGATAAGTCCTCACCTATCATAGTCCAAAGTCAAAATATAATGTCTACAACTGAAACAAATATATATATTGCAGCATAGGCATATTATTTACAGCTACCAGTAGAAATAGCTTAAAGAGTTCAAAGTCATTGCCTCTGAGTAAAAGAATTTAGTAATAGAAAAGATAAAACATAGTGTTTTATATTTATAAACCCTTCAAACATTTTAATTTTTTAATCATGTGCATCTACTACTCCAATAAAGAAATTTATTTTAAATAAATTCTGTTTAATTCAACAAATCATGACTACCCTCCTCTCTGTTTCTACTACTTATCTCTACAGTTCTGGAACTGGGGAGGGGAATATCCTTAACCCAAGTCCCTGACTGCCCCCACCCTTTAACCCTATCTGAGGTCTGGTTAGGACTGAGGTTCCTAGAGGGAATCAGGAGAGAATTCTGCAGGTAAAGTACTCATTCTACTAGTTTATGATAAGCCAAGATGGCGTAAATGAAGAAGAAAATCACAGCAGGTGACAAAATGCATTGACATGAGACACCATCACAACGTGCCATGCAAATAAAAAACGTGTTTTTAAACAGCAAAAGACTGAGCCACTTTAACACCTACTTTATGACACTCCTGACTACTTAGTGGACCTTTATATTTAAAAATGCACCATATTCACCAAAAAGGGGTCACAGTAAAAGGAAAAACAAAAAATAAATAAAAGAAAAATGCACCATAAACTCTGTAACTGATGTAAAAAGATGTCAGTGATACATTTTCAACGTGGTTTTATTTTTAAATTTTCTTTTTAGTTTGTAAATGTGCCATGTGATCTTAAAATGAATGTGCAATCACCATGCAATACTATGCAGCCATAAAAAAGGATGAGTTCATGCCCTTTGTAGGGACATGGATAAAGCTGGAAACCATCATTCTCAGCAAACTATCGCAAGGACAGAAAACCAAACACCGCATGTTCTCACTCATAGGTGGGAATTGAACAATGAGAACACCTGGACACAGGGTGGGGAACATCACACACCGGGGCCTGTCGTGGGGTGGAGGGAGGGAGGAGGGATAGTATTAGGAGATACACCTAATGTAAATGACAAGTTAGCGGGTGCAGCACACCAACATGGCACATGTATACATATGTAACAAACCTGCACGTTGTGCACAAGTACCCTAGAACTTAAAGTATAATAAAAAAAAAAAGAAAAAAAATGAATGTTCAGTCAGTGGTTCTTAGATGAAATTTCTCATAAATGTCAATTAGGTCATCCTTATTAATCATGGTTTTCTCATCTTTTCTGTCATGATTGGGCCACCGAGATGATGTGAGACTGAGGGCTAGATTATTTCTGGTTCATCTTTACTCCTGAAGGGCAGTCATTGAAGGTCCCAATCCAACTCCAGGTGATTCATCAATGTTTCTACTGTTAGCAAGTCCTAGACTCCAATTCTTATTCCTCTAGCTCAGCAAAGCTGTCTGAAGTCTGACTTACCTCTCATCTTCCAGCAACACATAGAATCAGTAGTGCTTCCAGGAGAAAACTGCCCTGCCTGGCGATCTCACTTCTGAATTTCTGTCTTCCCCATGGACCTTGGCCTGGTAATTCTTCACTGTCTTGTTAATTCTGCAATGGTTTCATAAGGATTTTTTTTTTTCATATTTGCCTTTCTTCTGTAGATGTTCAGACAGAGAATTGATCCAAATGACCTCAACCGTCATTGCTGGAAGTAATAGCCCTTGATGAGCGATGATTATTATTTGCTTTTTTACTGTGTTTCATGTTGTCTAAATCTTTTACGATGACAATGTATTGCTTTTTTATTTCTTTATAATTAGAAAAAAAAGGCCCTGTTTCATTAACTAAGAATACTTTAGTAAAAAAGAGTCCACAAAATCCCTAAATTCTGGCATTCTATTCTGTACCTATTCCATGCTATATGTTTAGTCCACATTGAAAGCCCAGTCAGGATTTCAATGTGATTAGCTGTTGCTTGTGTGATGGAAAGGCCCTTGTAGTAAAACTATAGCCTTTTACAACTTTTTAAATAAAAAATTGCTTAATTGGGAAAGAAAGAAAGGATGATTTTAGTTCTAA
This sequence comes from Homo sapiens, assembly GCF_000001405.40. Lineage (NCBI taxonomy): Eukaryota > Metazoa > Chordata > Mammalia > Primates > Hominidae > Homo > Homo sapiens. Next base: position 14,440,264 of record NC_000017.11, on the reverse strand, counting down.
TAATTTTCCATTTGTAACCTTGTAGAGTCCATTTTCTCTTGAAACCTCAGTCATCTTTCTCCTTCTTTCTTTCCTCTTTCTTTCTCTCTCTTTTCTTTCTTTCTCTCTTTTCTTTCTCTTTCTTTTTCTTCTTTCTTTCTTTCTCCTCTCTTTCTTTCTCTCTCTTTCTGCCTCCCTCCCTTTCTCCCTCCTTTTTTTCTTTTCTTTTCTTTTCTTTCCTTCTTTCTTTCTTTCTTTCTTTCTTTCTTTCTTTCTTTCTTTCTTTCTTTCTTTCTTTCTTTCTTTCTTTCTCTCTTTCTTCTCTTTCTTTCTGTTTTTTGAGACAGGATTTTGCTCTGTTGCCCAAGCTGGAGTGCAGTGCTGTGAGCCTGGGCTCAACTGATCCTTCCACCTCAGTCTCCCAAGCAGCTGGAACTATAGGCATGTGCCACCATGCCCAGTTAAGTTGTGTAATTTATATAGAGGTGAGGTCTCACTGTGTTGCCAAGGATGGTCTTGAACTCCTAGGCTCAAGTGATCTGCCCTCCTCAGTCTCCCAAAGTGCTGGGATTACAGACATGAGTCACCTGCCCTGCCTCTTTTCTTTTCATGCTAAGAAAGGAAATTCATTATGAGGCAGTGAAAAAGATAGCAGTTGGGGACACCCTCCAATTCTCCATCACCTGGACACTGCATACACATCAAATTCCAGGCCAAGGACAGCCTCATCATACAGCCTTCCCTCTGCCTATGCTCAACACTAATTTCTTTTCTCTCTAAAATAGACTCATAACATGATCCATGCCTCACTCACTTAGTTGTTTTAGAGATCAAATGAGGAGCCTTGGCAAAGCAATTTATAAACTTTAAAGCATCACACAGCTGGAAGTTACATATCTAACCTTTAAAGATCAGCATGTCCATTAATTTTGTCTTCCTAACTCTTTGGCAAAAACCGTATTTTTAGCTTCTTTTGTATTTCCCCCAAAGATTTTATTTAAGTGCTGAGCACATAGTAGGAACTTAACATAATAGGTTGAATGGCTGAAAGGAAAAACAAAACTTCAGTATTTGCAGTGAAATCTGATTACTTTCTATTCCGCCAAGTTCCTATTGAAAGTAAACTGACAAATACCAGGCTAGATCAAAGTCTTTTAAATTATTACAGTAAAGATCTGGCTAGGCTACCAGTTTAAGATGGCAAACTAAGTACATATCTCTGCTTCTCATCTCTCTTAAAACCTAATAGTAATGCAGTTATTTCTTTTCGAATCACAAGCACATAATGGAGAAAGAAACAGGATAAGGAACATCGGTAGTGGAAAGAGTTGAACCCATTTCCAAACAATGGAAAGTAAATGGAACCTAAAGTACCTATGGCAAAATGTTAACATGTGTTAAATCTGGGTGGTGGGTACCCGGTTGTCCTAATAATTTTTGTCTATTTAAATCATTTCATAATCATAAAAAATTAAAATTAGATTAAAAGCAGATGGAGGTGTATTGACGGATGAAACAGAGCAGATGATTCCACGCCCACAATACAAACAGAGGAGGCTGCAGCTGAGCAGCTGGCCAGGGTGGGTGGTAGAACCAGAAGGCTCTGGAAAACACAAAAGAGGGAAGAAGTGAGGAATGGGCCTCGATAAGGGTATTATTAAAGGCCTATACACCACTTTCTCTATGTCCCTGAAAAATAACAAAAACTCAAGCATTTTCTTCCAAGCTAAAAATGTCAAGATTTTTCTCTAAAAATTAAGCTAGTCCTTGGGGAAGATAAGGACAGTTAAAGCAAATATTGGCTATCCAGAGTATAACTTTTTCTAACATCTGCAAAACCCCAGATTCTCACCCACTTATACTAAGTTGCAGCCTGATTATATAGTAGGCTCATCACGCTCACAAAACTCTCAGGCAGACCTCTTCGTCCCCAGTTCTTACATAGGATCAGACACAAAGATCTACCAGGCAATTGGGGAACACACAGTATGATAGCGAATAATAGACACATCAACAGAAAACTGACTCAGAAGGAAATGATGATAATTTTTTTAAAATTGAAGAAAGCTTAAAAATGAAACAAAATCTTATAATGAATACAATTAGAGAAATTGAGGCCGGATTGCATTCTTCAAACAAAAATAGAATACTATGCCGGGTGCAGTGGCTCACGCCTGTAATCCAAGCACTTTGGGAGGCCTAGACGTGTGGATCAAGATCAGGAGTTCGAGACCAGCCTGGCTAACATGGAGAAACCACGTCTCTGCTAAAAATACAAAATTAGCCAGGCACTGGGGCTGGGCGCAGTGGCTCACACCTGTAATCCCAGCACTTTGGGAGGCCAAGGTGGGCGGATGACCTGAGGTCTGGTGTTCGAGACCAGCCTCAACATGGAGAAACTCTGTCTCTACTAAAAATTCAAAATTAGCCGGGCTTGGTGGTGCATGCCTATAATCCTAGCTACTCGGGAGGCTGAGGCAGGAGAATTGCTTGAACCTGGGAGGCGGAGGTTGCGGTGAGCCGAGATCGCGCCATTGCACTCCAGCCTGGGCAACAAGAGCGAAACCCGTCTCAAAAAATAAATAAATAAATTTTTAAAAAAAATTAGCCAGGCGTGGTGGCACATGCCTGTAATCTCAGCTACTCGGGAGGCTGAGGCAGGAGAATTGCTTGAACCCAGGAGGCGGAGGTTGCAGTGAGCCGAGATTGGACCGTGGCACTCCAGCCTGGGCAATAAGACCTAAAAAAAAGAGATTACTATAAGAATGAAGGAATCAGAGAAGAAGAAAGAGCTTTTGCAAAGCACAAATGTGAAAGTGAATGTTTTAAAATTTGATAGGGGATATTTGCACGTATTTGAGGAAGCCTCAAAATATAGAGAGAAAAAGAGAAGAAAGCAAGAAAAGAAAGAGAAAAGAGGAAGAGTCAAAGAAGATGAATTTAAGAGGTCCAGCACCCAGAAGAAAGAGAACAGAAAACTGATATGAGGAAGTTACCAAAGAATTATTATATTAAAACAAAATCCCGCAAAGCTGAACGAAAAAACTGAGTCTTCAAACAGAAAGGGTTAACAGAAGTCTGGGCTGAGCCTGCTGTGGTTGAAATGCCCTGAACTCAGGGAGGTCATTCTGATACCAAGTTTGAATTACTGAGATTTTACCTGGTGAACATGAAGCATTTCGGCACTTCTCTCCCGTCTTCTGACCTGGGAGATTTTTCTTTTAGCAGAATAAATCACAGCCCTGATTGGCCTCACACTAGGCTGCAGGGGGAAAGCAAACCTGCTTCTTTTCTTTCATGAACTAAGCCAGTCTCATCAAAACCTAATGATGAGAAATCTTTTTACATGAGCACCAAATCGCCAAGCGAAGGCTGAAGCTCCGGAGATGTGGAATCATGTTGGAGGTGATGCTAGCAAAATGGAAGGAAGAAACCAGAGAAAATGGATTTCTGCTGACTGCTGAACAATCTCTTTCCTCTCAGTCTCCTGCTGAATTCCTGTGAGGCAGACCAAAGCCGAAAGACAGGAGGAAGTGGAACTCCATCTTCCTTTTTCTTCCAAAAAAAGAAAATATAACCCTAGATCAGCCTGAATATTCACCTCAAGAACCACTTCACCCGAATGTAGCATTTTCCCCCAAATTGCAAAGGCTTATAGTTTCACTCATAAAGTGTCAAACTAATCCCCATATCGATGGGGCCCATAATTAAAACCAGAACCCAAACTGTGTTTGAGATGTGATGAAAATATTTCCCACTATACAGGATTCTTGAAACTAATAATATTTCCGGAAACCAAATATGTGCGTGAAGATGAATGTACTGTACAAGGATATCATTGCCTCATTACTTACAACGAAGAAAAACTGGAGGCCTCCCAAGCATTCAGCAATATGGAAATGGTTAAACAAATTATGGTATGTTTATATCATATATTATAGTGATTTAAAATTATTGATCCTGAGGAATGTTTCATGGCATGCAAAAATGTTCATAGGGTAATAATAAATGGAGAAAGCAGTATAAAAATATACACAGCACCATTCCCATTTGGTAAGAAATGCAATAAATGTATACGTGTGTGTAAGGGTGTCTGCCTATGTGTATATGCTTATAGATGACTATTAGAAAACACTCTTAAAATGTTAACCATTATTATGTCTCGGTCCTGGGATTGTAGATACCACTTATTTATTTATTTATTTATTTATTTATTTATTTATCTACATATTTCCTAATTTTCTGCCATGAATATGTATTATTAGATTTCTTTCTTTTTTTTTTTTTTTTAGACAGAATTTTGCTTTTGTTGCCCAGGCTAGAGTGCATTGGCGTGATCTCGGCTCACTGCAACCTCCACCTCCCTGGTTCAAGTGATTCTCCTGCCTCAGCCTCCCGAGTAGCTGGGATTACAGGCTTGTGTCACCATGCCCGGCTGATTTTTTATTTTTAGTAGAGACGGGGTTTCTCCATGTTGGTCAGGCTGGTCTCCAACTCCTGACCTTAGGTGATCTGCCCACTTTGGCCTCCCGAAGTGCTGGGATTACAGGCATGAGCCACCATGCCTGGCTCGTATTATTAGATTTTTATGGTTAGAGAAAGAAACATAAAAGATATAAAAAGCCTGCCCTGTCAAGGATCAGACTTTCTTTTCAACATCCAGCACTAAAAATAACAGGTCTCCATTTGAAGGTCAAGTTCCTCTCAAATACTCCCCTCATGCTCCCTCTCTGCTCCTCACTGACTGGTAAACCTAAATGAAGAAGCTTCAGAAGGACCAACCAGGGCTCCCCCGCCAGGTGCTGATGGCAGTCACAATGGTGCTACGGCTATCTGTGCCTCAGCCGTGGCTCATCTTGATGGTACAGAGGGCGAACAGGAGCTCTATACCAATTTCACTGGCATTGTAAGTTTCACACAAGGGCACCTGTCCACTCACTTACCTGGATGGCCAAGATGTCGTATTCATGTTCTCCTCCCGTGGAACCCACCTGGCACAAACCACCTAGCTAGCATTACCTGAGTGTAACAAAGGATCCTGAGAGAAACGACAGTGCTGAAGAGGCTTGGCAGTGAGACGAGTTTCACTTACATCCTTGGGAAGGAAGGAGTTTGCCCTGGACTCTCCAAGGCCCGTGATCCTCAGGAGTGCTGACTTAGATTCTGCTCACCTCAAAACTCTTTTGAACCTTCCTAGCTGCACCCCAAAATCACATGCCAAAGCCTGGCAAACACCTGTACCCAAGGAACGATCTACTGGCCACCCACATTGGCTTGACTTATCATTTTGATTGATTCCAACTGGCTACTTGGAAAGAAGGCAGGGGCTGTCCCATAGCTGAGTTGTGCCCACTGCCCACACCTCATTCATTTTAGTTGCCATGAAGGAGGATTTGATACTGGAGGCTGACAGCTGCCTTCATGGTAACAGAGAATACAGATTCAAACACCACTGGAACTGATGCATTACCTGAGATGGACAATTGCATATCAACTGCATGACTGGAACAAAGTCTCAGCCTGCACTGAATGTGAAAGAGCTGTTTCACTTCTCCATTGATGCCCTTGTCTAATGCAGTAGTGAGAATGTGTTGGCTGCATCTGCCTAGGTCCAAGGTTAATGTGTTATGGCCCATACATGCCTTTCCACCTACCACTTCCTTCACTCATGGGCTCATGTATTCATCAAGCATTCCAGGAACACCACATTTGTGTCAAATACATTTCACTTAGCCATAGAGTTGCTATTTAAGCAACAAACCAAGATGTCACTCTCTTTCTGCTTATGCAATGCCCTTGCCTCAGAAGTTATCCTCCTATCTGCAAATCTAAGTCCTGCCCTTCCTCAGGATGCATCTCCTACCTGCACCTCCTCCATCAAGCTTGCATTCCCGCACAGCTTCAGCCTTCGGCTGGACTTCCTTCTTCTGGCTGCCATTCTAATGACAGCAATAAAGGGTCGGCCTCCTGAGATCTGCAGGCAGGGAGACCCAAATTTCAGCCCTTGAACCAATATTCATTAGCTATGGGACACCAAGCAAGTTACATAACTTTTCTAAACCCGAATTCCCCCATCTCTCAGGTAGGGATAATAAGACTACCATTTTTGACAACATGGATGAACTTGGAGGACATTATGTTAAGTGAAATATTCCAGACAGAGGATGAAAAATATGACATGATCTCACTCATAGGTGGAATCTAGAAGAGTCAAACTCATAGAAGCAAAGAGGTGTGGGAAAGCGGTTGGTCAAAGGGTACAAAGTCTCGATTATGCAGGACGAATATGTTCTGTAGATCTAAAGTACAGCAGATTGACTATAGTTAACAATATCGTATTATGTATTTGAAATTTGTGAAAATAGTAGATCTTAAATGTTCTCAACACAATTAAAAATGGTAACTGTGAGGTGATGAACATGTTAACTACCTTGACTGTGGTAATCATTTCACAATATATATATATCAAAACATCAAGTTGTATACCTTACATATGTACAATTTCTATTTGTCAACTATACCTCAATAAAGTTGATAAAAAAGTTCTTCTTCATGATGTTAACATTATCAAACAAATAATTCATTCAAAGCACCCAGCATGATTCCTGGCACATAATCAATAGTCAATAAGTGCTAGTTAATAATGACAACAACTTAAATAGGAAAAAATCTGGAAATCAATCCGTAAACTTACCCCTTAGCAGAAAGTGTTAAGGTAGCTCTCTTATTTTCAGAGCCAGAGCTAAAACTCAAGTCTCCTGACACCCAGTTTAGGGTTCTAGGATTGTTTATAATACTTATCTGCTGCTTAGCATATATGGTGTAATTTAGGTTTTTGTGTGTTTCCTGAAGCACAATATTCTCCAAATACATGGCTTTCAGTAAATGTGTATTAATAATAATAACCTATAAAGAAATGAGTTTATTTTCTGATACATATTTCAACAGCCAAGTTTACATAAATCTGTAGAGGAAGCAATTCTGGCTTCAGCACAGGGTGAAGAACATCTCTTCCCAAGCTTGACTGTATGTTGTGCTGGGAAATTATTAAGGACTGCATTTGTTGGATCCTTCCTATACTTACTTCTTTTCTTTTTATTTTATTTTATTTTATTTTATTTTATTTTATTTTATTTTATTTTATTTTATTTTTGAGACAGAGTCTCTCTTTGTCACCCAGGCTGGAGTGCAAAGGCGTGAGCTCAGCTCACTGCAACCTCTGCCTCCCAGGTTCAAGCCATTCTCCTGCCTCAGCCTCCCAAGAAGCTGGGTCTACAGGTGCGTGCCACCATGCCCGGCTAATTTTTTTGTATTTTTAATAGAGACAGGGTTTCACTATGTTGGCTGGGCTGGTCTCGATCTCCTGACCTCGTGATCCACCTGCCTTGGCCTCCCAAAGTGCTGGGATTACAGGCATGAGCCACCGCGCCTGGCCTACTTATTTTCTTCCTTAGGGCTATTCACCCAGCCCTCACTATACCAGGATCAGTATTACCATATCAGCATTCCCTACCCACAGTCAACATCACTGGATTCAAAGAGTAAAGGACTTGTCCAAAGTCAAATGGCATCACCCTGCAGGGGACACTGAGTGGAACATCTTGCCAGAGACAGCCTAAGAGCTTACCACAGCTGCCAAAGTAAGAGTCGGGAACATCGTCTTAGTAGTTTTAAAAATATAAAATAGATCATCAGACTACATTTATACTTGTGGATTTCCTTTTTAAATAATTTTTTATTTCTGTTCATCTGCAGAATGACACATGAAAAAGAAAATCCCACAGTTAAAAAGAACATCTTTTATATTTAGCATGTATATATACATATACATAATACATTACATATATTATATGTGATACACACAATACTATATATGTATTCCTTCATTCATGTGCTCATTCATTCATTAAGCATTTAAGGAGCACCATGTTTGTGTCAAACACACTTCACTTAGCCACAGTTACTGTTTAAACAACAAACTGAGATGTCACTCTCTTTCTGCTTATGCAATGCCCTTGCCTCAGAGCTTCTAACGGATCTAATGTAGTTCTTCCAAATTCCTCTAGCAGAAGCCTGGGAAAGGCATGGTCCCAGCCTGGAGCAGATACAGAAAGTATTATACTCTGTCCCTCTGTGATCGAGTCTCTGATCCACAAGCTCTGGTTACTTTTTTTTTTTTTTAGGTACAGGTTCTCTCTTGGACACCCAGGCTGGAGTGAAGTGGTACCATCAGAGCTCACTGCAGCGTTCTTGTAGGGATCATACAATACATATAATATTATATGTTATATAATATAGGGATCTAATATATGTTATATGTTATGGGCTATATAAGTAATATGTGTAATGTTATATGTTATATAATACATGTGATATGTATATGGATATAAATGTATGTAGTATATATTATGTAATAAATGTATGTAGTGTATAATTATATGTATGTATGTATGTAGTATATAAATGTAGTAGTATATAAATGTATATATGAATGTATGTAAATGTATATATAAATGTATATAAATGTATATATGTAGTATATAAATGTATGTAGTATATAAATGTATGTAGTATATATTAGGTAATAAAATATATGATATGTAACATGTTATATTATGTATGTTATTATCTGTATATATGTTACTATATATGTATACATATGTTATATATGTAACATGTATATTTATATAATGTATATTATATATTATATAGTATATTATAACATATATGTTATATATTATAATATAAATGTGCAAATAAATAATATAAATCATAAATACATAATCATAATATATAATACATAATATAATATATAATATATTATATGTTATATATTATAGTAATGTATAATAATATGTATATATTATATAAAATATACAGTATACACTGACATATATAGATTACATATATTATATGATATATATACATAGACATATATAACATATAAAATATATACCCTATATGTTATAATATATACCATATACATATACACATACTTAATATATTACATGTGTTATACATATATTGTAACATATGTATGATATATGCTATATACGTAGAACATATAAATATATACACATGTTATATATGCTAAATATATCATATTTTATATAATATAATATATAATGAGTATGTTATATAATATATACTAAATATATTGCATATATTATATCTCTTAGAGGTTCTAGAGAGTGAGAAAAGAGAAAGGCCAGAAGATATTGTAATAACAAGATTTTCTTGACATCCAAGAGATTTCAAAATAACATTAAGAGAAAAAGAACACAAAATTGTAGGAACCACATAAATATTAAATGTACACAGGTAGATAAAGACTAAAAGTGAAAAAATGTTTATCTGCTATCTGCTGTGCTCACCACTACTGTCTCCAGTGGTGGGGATTATGGATGATTTTTTTTTTTTTTTTTTTGAGACGGAGTCTCGCTCTGTCCCCCAGGCCGGACTGCGGACTGCAGTGGCGCAATCTCGGCTCACTGCAAGCTCCGCCTCCCGGGTTCACGCCATTCTCCCGCCTCAGTCTCCCGAGTAGCTGGGACTACAGGCGCCCGCCACCGCGCCCGGCTAATTTTTTGTATTTTTAGTAGAGACGGGGTTTCACCTTGTTAGCCAGGATGGTCTCGATCTCCTGACCTCATGATCCACCCGCCTCGGCCTCCCAAAGTGCTGGGATTACAGGTGTGAGCCACCGCGCCCGGCCGATTTTTATATTTTCTAATTAAAACATTATTGACCAAATATAAGTGGAGTCTAAACTACTTAAAAG